>NC_000017.11:17460807-17763838 GCF_000001405.40 Homo sapiens | reverse complement strand
CTGTTTGAAGGGGCTGATATTTGGGGATATTTGTTATGCAGCACGCCCAGCCTATCTTGAGGAGTACAACCAGGCATTCTAGGCTTTTTGTGGCCTGGACCCTCCCAACCTCTCTGGCTTTGTGAAACAGAAACATTCTGACTATGAGTCCCGTGGATTCTACACTCCAGGCATGCTGGGATCTCACAGCTTTTCAAATGCACCAGGTTCTTTTATGACCTGGGCCCCCGTACCTGTGCCCAGCACACTTCTCCCTGCCTGCCTTCCAGGCAGACTGCTTTTGCTCCTTGGCCACTCCGGCAGAGTGGGCTGGCCCCGTCTTTTGGCTCCCAGGGTCCCTCGGTGCCCCCTCTGCCCCAGCACAGCTCACCCCTCTTGCTGCTGCCAGCAGCTCCTTGAGGGCGGGCGTGTATCAGTGGTCAATTGTCATTTCCCATAGGAACAAGCAAGGAAGGGAGTGAGACACACAGGCTCCTGACCTCCAGCTCCTTGGGGAGGGACTTCACAGGCAGCTCCCGGTCTGGATCACAAAGCTAAGTGCAGCCCAGCAGCCGTGGTCACTGGGTGGATCTCTAGGATTCCTCTGGCAGTCTCCACATGGCTAGCAAGCTCTGAAAATGCGGCGTGTCTTAAACCTGTCCCCCTTCTCTACTTCCAGGGGCTGCCATTCCCACCCCAGGAAAGCGGGGGGATGCAGGGAAGGATCTGGGGGAAACGGTGTTGCCAATTAACCTGTTTTAGACAATGCAAGTTGGAATCTCAGAGAAAGAACTTTTTTTTTTTTTTTCCAGAAAAGCCTCCATTTGAGGCTGTGTGATAAATGATCTCTGGGTTCAGCTCTGGCCTCGGAATCCCAGCTACAAATGCCAGCGGGGAACCACCTGGAGCAGGAGGGTTTCCAAGTGGCCTTTATCGACTCTGCCAATCATCGGGCCAGCCCCCATGGGAGCCTCTTGCTTTCAGCCCTAGAGAGAGGAGGGGGTTGGGGAGTGGGCAGTGTGGGCAGGAGTGCAGTGGGGAGGGGGAGGCGGGTGCATGAAGGAGTGAACAGGCTGTGGAAGCACAGGCCTCCTGGATGCCCTGTGTCCTGGGGGCTCTTGGTTCTACTGAGCTCACCTCTACCTGCCCCTCCCGACAAGTCCCCCACCACAGAGCAGAAATGACTGGGATCAAACCCCTGGCCAGTCACAGCTGGCGAGTCTCTGAGCAAGCACCTCACTTTCCTCTGTGTTGCCACAGACTCTGGAAGCCCAGAGAGGGTGGGCCACTTGCTCAAGGTCACACAGGAAAGTAAAGTGAATGCTGAGAGCCAGATCTCCTGCTTTGGTGGGGAAGCTCCCTTGCTGCTGGGGGTAGAGTCAGAACTTTCCCTCAACTAAATTTGAACCTCTTAGCTGTCTAAGGTTAGGGGTACTCCTCCCCAGCTTCATTTCCCACCCCGCTCCCATGCACACTCCAACCACACTGGCTCCCACTGGCTCCTCACACATGCCATGCCCCTGACCCCCAGGCCTTTGCACATGCTGTTCCCTCCGCCTGGGACGCCATCCTCCTGGGTCTTCTCCAATGAGCCCAGTCACCTCATCTGAGAAGCCCTCCCTGACTGCCCTGCCTAAGGGAACTCCCCTAGTCCCTAGCTCTTACCACTCTCCAAAATCACCTCCCTCGTATATTTATTCACTCTCTTTTCTCTCTGCACTGGTAAGCTCCGTGAGGGCAGAGTCCATCTGTCTTGTCAGGGCATACAGCAGACACACGCATGCCCAATGGATGGGTAGCTGCTGGTGGCACTCCAGCCTCGAGCCCAGTGCAGGGATGAGGCCTGTGGCTGTTTCTGGGCCGCGCTCACACTCAGGAACTTCTGGTTCAACCAAAAGTCCCTTGGATGCCCTGAGACCTCCCTCCCATGCCTCCCTCCCTGCTGGGCCCCCTGTCCTGAGACCTTTCCATCCCCCCACCTGCCCTCGCTCCTCAGTGACCACCACCTTTCTCCCACTCAACTGTGTTCCCTGCTCAGATGCTGCCCAGGCCCCAGTCACCAATCAGACACTGTCCCTGCCTCCTTGGCCTGGCATTCACAGGGGATTCCCACCCACCTCCCCAGCTCCCAAATTTCATGCCCAGCAACAATGACTTACAAGGAGCTACTGGCACCCTCTGGGAGTCTCCCAACCTTTTGTGCCTCCCAACCTTTCCACCTGCTCCTAGTTTGCCTGGCAAAATGCTAGTAGGCCTTGTCACTAGTTCAGGGATCACCTCCTCTCAAATCTCACTGTGACTTTCCAACTGATGCCTGCCCTAGATACCCTCTTCCCCTTCCACCATCCCCCGGGGCACTGGCCACTCCACAGGTCAGGATCCACAGCTGTCAGCCTCCCAGCGAGCCTGCTGCTTCCAGTTCCACCATGGTGCCCCTGTGCCTGGCACAGAGTAGGTGCTCAGAAAAAGCTAATGACGTGGGCTGGTAAATGGATTGGTACGATTCCAGAGGCTCAATCTGGTGGCTGCATGTGTGCCAGGAACCTAAGAGACCAGTGAGGAATCTGCCACCCCCACTTCCTTGGGCACTAGTTAAAAAAAAAAAAAAAGCCTTAGAAGAACCATTTTCATTTGCCAAGCACTTACTATGTGCCAGTCCCTGTGCTGAGGCACTCACATATGGGTCGCCTCTTTCAACCCTCAGGACAATACTGGTCTATCATTATCATTTCCACTGTAAAGATGAGGACTCTGAGCACAGAGAGGACAAGGAACTAGCCTAAGGTCACACAGCTGGGAAGTGAATGAGCTGGGGCTTGAACCCAGGTCTGTTTGACTCCAAAACACTTTCACTGTGAATGAGCTGCCTATCCCCTGAGTATGCAGTTCTAGGAGGTTCTTGGCAAGGGGGTAATCTGCGGGGCTTCCCTCCTGAGCCCTCTACGCCCATCACCTATAGGCACGCCTTGATGCCAAACTTCTCCCTCCCATAAATCAATCCCCAACTTCTTTGGCTAGGAGGTGGGGGCTTCTTCCTGAAGCCTTTCTTGGCCTGGCCCTGGGCAGCTAGGACCAAGCAGGAGGAAGGGTTTTCTGCAGTGTGGCCCTAAGCCCTGTGGCACCAGCACCTGGAACACATTTTATTTTAGCTCCACACGTTCCCTGCAGGGTGGTGCCACCATTTGACAGCCGAGGAGACCAAGGCCCAGGCCCCACAGCAGCTCCAGCTTCTAGACTCTGGAAAGATACACCCTTTGACTTCTGGGTGGGGCTGGGGGCCTCCTTGGTGTGGGACTCTGGGAGTGGACGTTGGACGTCAGGGGCCCCTCTCCATGGCGGGGACCCAGGGCTAGGCCACTAACTGAGCTGCCATAAACCCTCGGCATCCAGGAGTTCCCAGGCCAGGGACACTGGGCTGAGCCAAACTTCTGGGTACAGTCTGGGTGACCTTGACCCTGATGCCAAGCCCATCCCGAGTATGCAGGATGTATGGGCTTCCCTCCTGAGCCCTCTAAGTCCATCATCTACAGGCACACCTTGATGCCAAACTGCTCCCTCCCATAAATCAATCCCCAACTTCTTTGGCTAGGAGGTGGGGGATATCAGTAAAGTGGGGGCTATCAGTAAAGTTGGCCCCTCACTGTCTACCCTTCCACCATTACAGCACTGCTCGAGCACACAGCCACAGTGACCTGGGCACTTGTCTGTCTTTCCCCCAGGGCTGGCAGCAGGTGGGGGCAGTACTCTGTCTGGGTGCCTAGTCCTGTCCAGCACAGGGCTCTGACCAGGAGGGAGCCCTCTGGGGATGTCTGTTAGATGAGTGAATGGACAGTTATGCATTTATTTCCCTTCTGCTTTATTCTACAGCCCATCTCCTCCAGGAAGCCCTCCCTGAAAAACTTCCATCTATTACCCCAAGCATCCAGAGCCCTTAATAAGCACAAATCTTACCCCAAGACTCAATTTAGCCCCAGATCAAGATTACAGCATCCTAGTGGGCTCTGTCCAACTTGTACTCAGCTTCACGGACACAGCTTCCACTTCTTTTCACAGCTCTGCATTCAGCATCCACTGGGGGCCTGTCTCCATGCTTGGTGCTGAGTGCAGCAGTGGGCAGGCCAGGCACGGCCTCTGCCCTTGAAGACAAGCACCGAACATTCTAGGTCAGCTGGGTCCCCTCTGGCTAGCGTGGCTCTTGGCAAACCTCACCCCGAAATATGTGCAGACATGGGGAACTATTCCAGCGTATGAAGGGCGAAAAGCAGGTCACTGAGGGTATGCAGAAAGAACATGATGCAACTTCTGTTTTAAAAAATGTGTATCTGTACCTGGTTCTGGAGCAACTGGGCCCAAAATGTGACCTGGCCATCAGAGGGTGGGGGTGGTGGGGTGAGACTGCAGGGAAACATTATTTTCTTGAGACTTCTATTTGCTGAATGTTCTGCAATGAACATATATATTATTTGTCACTAGGTGGAGAGACTGCCAACGGACGCATCCATAGCTGGGCTGAAGTCTGTGTCTCAACTTGTGTCCTGATTTCTGGAGATGCAAAGAGTGAGACAACTCCTCGTAGTTGGCCACTCTGACCTGGCAAGAGCCCACAAGCTCCCTGCCCGCTTCTTCTTCTCTAGGCATGCTGTCCCAGGGTCTGAGGTCACACCACCCTTCCCCATGTGGGGATGGACATACAGCAGGTGCATCTTAACAGCTTGCAGAGAGCAGCCAGCCTCCCCTGCTTCCTGCCTGGGCAGGTGTTCTCACCTGCGCAGGCCTTGGTATCCTTATCTGCGCAATTAGGGTGATACTCCCCAAACCCAAATCTTTGTTCCTCCTCAGCTGAAAACCTTCCATGGCGACCAGAACCTCTAAGTAAAAACTCTCTTGCTTGCATTCAAGGTCCTGCACCCTCTGACCCCTGCTCCCTCTACCAGCCCCCCTCCCCACCAAAACAGGTCAGCCTGTAATCCACCTGTCAGCTGGGCAGCTTCATACCCCTGGGCCTTTGCATACACCAGTCCCTCTGTCCAGAACACACAGACCCTCCCCTGTTCATCCTTCAAAACCCTGCCCAGCATCAGCCCCCGTGAAGGGCCCTCTGCGATATCCTCACCGCCCTGAGTATGCTCCTCGTACATACGTTGATCATTGCACAACTGCAATTAGGGGTTGGCGCGTCTGTCTCCTACCAAGCCAGATGCGACAGGGATTGGGCCTTTTGTCTTTGTTTTAAATCTCTGGTGCCCAGATACTGCCTGCAGAGAAACAGGCACTCAGGAACGTCTAGCTGACAGGTGGGTGAGTCGGTAAACAACATCTGCACAGCCCTTTCCAGTTTACGAAGCCTTTTCCTGTCCTCCATCTCACAAGCTTCCTCTAACCAGGGCAGCAAGGAAGGGAGGCTCCCGGAGCCCGTCCCTGTCCATAGGTGCTGCCTCTGAAGGCCTGGGAGCTTCAGGGCCCCTTGTCTTCACCTAGGCAGGAGCTGGGGTCTTCAGGGCTCACCAAAAGCAGCTGGGACCTCCTTTCAGCTGTAAGCCACCCATTTCCTCTGCCAAAGGCTCCCTCCCCGCCCATCCCCTGGAGAGGGTTTGCTGAGTGCCCAGGTGGTGGCCGGGTTGGTAGGGCTTGTGGCGGCCCTGCCATCCTGCCCGGAGCTGCTGGGATGCGGCCGCTGGAGCAGCAGCTCCACCACCGAGTCTTGGTAACAGTTGCTATGTAAAACGCTCGGAGGGGGAATTTACTGTCAGCGTTAATAATAGATGAAGGTTTCAGAATTTCTGATGCCTTACGTTCTAAGCCGTTTGATTTATAATGTCTCTGGAAAGGGAGAGATGAGGGTGGGGGCGAGGTAGGAGGCCCAGAGGCATGAGCTGGGAGCTCATCTCCCTGCACCTTTGGCAGACAGGGAAACCGAGGCCCAGAAGGGGAAAGCTACTGAGTCGTGTTCTTCCAGAATGCCAGGACCCGTGGGGACTTCAGATGCCCAACACTGCCCTGTTCCATGGGAGGGGAAACTGAGTCTCAGCCTCTCCCGCCCCGGCGCCTGGGGTTGTTTTGATGGATTACTGCTTCTCCTTTTAGCGTGAGCAGGTGTATCTCAAGTAGTCTCCGGAAGTGGCACTGATGGGCGCCTGCGGCGGGGGCTGTGTGGGGCTGATTACAGGCGCTACAGAGGCAAAATGCGAGTCCTAACTTCCCTTCTGCTTAGCTGCAAGTGGTAGTGGTTGTTGAGTTGTGGGAAAAAAAAATCCTCCGAGAAGAGGCGGCAGCCACGGCTGGGCAGGAAACAGGGCTGTTTAACTGGGGTCCTGCTGTCCCAAGAAAGCCGCAGTGCCCGAGGGGGAAGGTGGAGCGCAGGCAAGGCACACACTGGCAGGTGGGCCCCGCTGCAGCCAGGCTGTCCCCCACCCCTACGGCAGGCTGGGGTTACTGGAATTGAACTGGTCTGTAGAAGGGTTGCTGCCCTCTCTGTGCTCACATCCTGCCGCCCCCCGGCTTGGCCCACACTGCCTCCTGATCTGGAGCTCTCTCCTGCCTCCGCAAACCCACCTTGGCCTCTCAGTCCAGGCTCAGGAAATCTTTCCTGACTCTGCAGCCAGATGAGCTGCCGTCTTCAGGCCAGAGAAGCCAGGCCCAGGGCTGAGCACCCAACACCTCCACAGCTGTCCCCACTTATAAACTGGGGTGTGTCTGGGCTCAGGGTCTCCCTGCCTCAGGGAGCCAAGAGCTCTCCCTGGACCCCGCTCCAAGCATGTGACACCACCCTATCCCTCCCTGGGCCTCCATCTGCTCCTCTGTAAATGGAGGTGGCCAGCCTGACCCCGCGGAGATAGGGTGAAGTGTACACAGGGCCCGGCATTCAGCACCCTCTGGGGGCTGCCCGAGAGGGCCCACAAACTCTGAAAGGCAATGGGCATGCGGTTAATAACAATGGCAACAGTCATGAACAGAATACCGTTCCCACCGGGCAAGCACATCACCCCAGTGAACAGGTGGGAAGCCTGAGGCCTGGCCAAGCACACCTTCACAGAAGCCCCTCTTCCTCCCCGTCCACTTCCCTGCCTCGTTACCGACGAACTGATTTGCTTTCTCCAGTGCCCCCGACTCAAGCGTCTGCTTCACTAAGAGGATTTTTGGTCTATTTTGTTCACACTGTGTCCTGAGCACCTGGGACAGATTAGCACGTAGTAGGCGCTCAAGGATTTGCGGAAGACTCTATGGAGATTTTCTGATTTGAAGCTAGCACACTTTACTTGACTGCATCTACCTTTATACGTAAGGGAGGTAAAGGTGAAGAACAAGACAGTGGAAAGCAAACACACTATTTCAAAGGAGTTTCCAAAAATAAAAAAATTCATTCATGCCAGGTGCAGTGCTCACACCTGTAATCCCAGCACTTTGGGAGGCAGAGGCAGGTGGATCACCTGAGGTCAGGAGGTCCAGACCAGCCTGACCAACATGGAGAAACCCTGTCTCTAATAAAAATACAAAATTAGCCAGGCATGGTGGCAGGCACCTGTAATCCCAGCAACCTGGGAGGCTGAGGCAGGAGAATCACTTGAACCTGGGAGGCAGAGGTTGCGGTGAGCCGAGATCACACCATTGCACTCCAGCCTGGGCAACAAGAGCAAAACTCTGTCTCCAAAAAAAAAAAAAAAATTCATTCACTCCTGCTGTGGCCAGGCACCCCCGTGCCAGGTCCCATGATGGATGCTTAAGTTTCGCAGGCTCCAGAACTCCTGTCCCAGGGGAACAGGGACACAGGCAGTCCCAACAGGCCCTGCAATAACCAACCAGACCCCACATGGAGGCTGGCCAGGCCCTCCTGGCTTTCCATGGTGGCTAGGGCTCACGTAAGGACTGGGTGCACCGAGGGCCGCACTGGGGACACTGGTCCCTGGTGAGCTGCAAAGAGCGGCCAGCTGGATTTATCACTAAAGGGAGAGGGTTGGGGATAGGGAAGGGTGATGTGTGCAGAGGGTACAGCCCTGCCCAAGCTGTGAGGCACGGCAGGCCTTGGGGTGAAGAGAAGGCGGGCTTGACAGGGTGTAGGCCGGGTCTGAGGGATGCTGGGTGCCAGGGGAGGAGCTGGGCTTTGTCAGAGAGCCCTGGGGCGACCCAGCCAAATCTGAGGGTCAGGATGACATGACCCCATGGGAGAAAGCATGGCTGGGCCCAGGATAGGATAAGCAGGGAAGGATCTGGGGGGACGCACCCCTGCTGGCTAGGACACTGACTGATGGAGGAGGACATGCTCCTTGGAGGGACTAAGGGTCTCTGCTGGAGAAATGCCCCCAAACAAAGAGCTCTCTCCTGAGTCTACCACCCTCTGCCCTCCCTGGGCTCCAATGTCCAGGCCCCCTGCCCTTCAGTCAGGCCCAGCTGGGGCAAGTTGGTGAGGGTGACCCCAAGGTCGTGGCAAACAGGGAATGCCAACTCACCCTGCCAAGTGGTTCCAGTGCCCAGTGCTCTCCCTGCCCTCCTAACTCTAGGCCTACACCTCTCCTTTCTGCATCACTCCCGCCCCATCCACCCAGGGAGCAAAGCTGCCAGAAGCTAGAGCCCACTTAATCAGCCACTCAGCATTCCATAGAGCTGTATTACACACCATGCGCTGGGCCCTGTGTGGAGGGCTCACAGTCCAGCACTGGGGTGCTGCCAGGCTCTTGGGGTGACAGTGTGTAAACAGGCCTGCTAAACCAGGGTGGCAGCACCGTGACAGGAAGGCTCAGGCTGTGGGAGCTCAGAGGAGCCCTCTAAACAGTCCAAACGTCAGGCAAAGCCTTCAGGGGGAGGCATGGTGTGAATGTTGTGGGGGTACAGCTATGGCTATTTCCTCTCCTCTCCTGACCTCCCCGCTGTCGCACTCCAAAGCCTGTGTTCATAAAGCCGCTCCAGACAGGTGGGCCTTCTCTAATCCAAATTACCAGCCCTCTCAGAGCCTCAGTTTTCCTGATCTATAAAATGGACCCAATGAATGTAGACTGGGAAAGTGCTTACCAAGCACCTACTATGTAGTTACTCCTCTCTCCCACCCTCTGTGCAGAGACGGGCCTTGCACCCTTGCCCTATCTTCCTAACCCAAGTTGAGGCCTGGTGGCAGCCCCCCAACCACTGCCCAAAAACGCTTAGGGCTCTGGAGTACCAGGAACTGAACACTAGTAGGTACAGGCTGTCGGATATTATTTGTTATGGCTTTAATAACAGTTTACAGAGGGCCGGTTTCCCATGGCTAAGGCACATAATTTCTGTAACTTTACTAGTGCCACTAACTTGAGTTGTCATGGGAGGCAGGAGGGGAATTAAAGATCAGGTTAGGGAGGCTGGGCGCAGTGGCTCATGCCTATAATCCCAGCACTTTGGGAGGCCGAGGCAGGCGGATCACCCGAAGTCGGGAGATAGAGACCAGCCTGACCAACATGGAGAAACCCCGTCTCTACTAAAAATACAAAATTAGCCAGGTGTGGTGGCGCATGCCTGTAATCCCAGCTACTCGGGAGGCTGAGGCAGGAGAGTTGCTTGAACCCGGGGGGCTGAGGCAGGAGAACTGCTTGAACCCAGGAGGCGGAGGTTGCGGTGAGCCGAGATCGCGCCATTGCACTCTAGCCTGGGCAGCAAGAGCGAAACTCTGTCTCAAAAAAAAAAAAAAAAAAAAAAAAAAAAAAGATTGGGTTAGGCGAATGGCATAAAATGCCTTTGTACAAAACAGGAAGACACCCCAGGTGCCAGGCTGCACAGCTGGCCAGTGGCTCGATTTCTTCCAGGGATCCTTGTACAATGTACAACTTGTACAACCATACACTTTGGCCCTAGGTTCAGGTGAGTGTCAGCATGGAGGCCTTTCCCCAAATAGGTCTCCCCTGCTTTACAGACCACCCAGCCCAGGTATGAGACCTTGAGATCCAATGCAAAGTTGAAGTGTGTGTGGACAAGCACATTTTTCTGAAGAGGGTCTAGAACTTTTTTCCAAATCCCAAAGGATCCACAGTTCCTCCAGTCTAGACTTGAATCTGGAGCCAGGGTCTGGGGCAGAGAACGGTAGACTTTCTAGAGCCTGGAGAGGAGTTCAAATGTGTTCTGAGACACAGATATCTGTCATTCCATTTCTCAAATGATGGACTTAAGACTGAGTATCAAAACCACACACAGGCAGTTTGAATAAAAGGGCATTCCTGAGCCCCACCCCTTAAAATCTGTGATTTGAGGGTGGCCTGAGCCCAGGAATCTGCTCCTAGTACAAACTTCGGGGTGGTTTATAGCACCCAGCAAAGCTCAGGAAGCTCTGATTTAATACATTGTTATTAGCTTGGCTCAAATTGCATTTTCTTTTGGTGTTGGTGAGGAAACAATGTATATACCCCAGAGATCACCCAACTCCCAAAAGGCTATCCATGTATAACCGTGAAGCCGATTTCATGAGTTTAGCTCCCTTTTGTTTTGTGGGAGTGCCATGGGGGTAAGGGGTGTGGAGATTTTCTCGCTGCTCTACCACTCCAACCCCCACTCCAACCCTGTCAAGCCAGGACAAGGCACAGCAAGTAATACACAAACGAAGAGTCAGATGCTGGGGCTCCCAGGTCTGGTCGGCAGGGGTCCTGAGCAGCCCTCACTCCAGGCCCCTCCAGCCTGTGTCTGTGACCCTGCCTTCCTCCTGAGGCAGGGCCAGCCCCTGGGGCTCCTGTCTGGCCAGCACAGTAGGCCATTCACCAAGGGCACACACCAAACCAGGCTCCTCGGGCCTGGGGTCCAGGCCAGACACTGACCCAGTGCCCTGGCTTTGGAGACAAACTCTTCTGTGTCTGGGTCTGAAGGCACATCTGTCTCCCTTCCTCCCAAGTCCCGGGCCAGTACAGCCGGCACCACCCACCAAGGAAGCCTCAGGCAACCTGATGAATGGAGGCATTCAACAACACAAACCGAGCACCTACTGTGTGCCAGGCCACAGACAGGGCCCTGCCCTGAGGCACACGTGTGATGAGGGCGGAGAGTGCACAAAAAGAGATATAAACGCTGGGCAGAGGAGTGCCAGGCAGGGCAGGTCACGGTCTGTGTGGAGAGCCTCCTGAGGGGGTGAGGAATCGGCCGGAAAGAAGGACTTTAAGAGTGTCCAGGAATGACGTGCAAAGGCCCTGTGGTGGTGAGGAGAGGGAGGGGCCAGCGTGGCAAGTAAGGTGGTCGGCCCCCGGGGACACGTCTGCAGTGCCTGGCCACCCACGGCCGGATGAGGATTAGGGGGCGCTGGCCTAGCAGGCCTCTCACTCTCAGACTCCAAGGGCCAAGAAAAACTACGGACAGGAAGCCCGGGTCTGGAGGCGTCCTTTGTTCGGGGCCGCCATCAAGGAGCACTCACCCCTATCCCAGGCTCCCGGGGCGGCTGTTCCGGAAGCCCCGCCCCTTTCCAGCCGCGCGCGGCCGCGCCCGCCTGTTAATCACAGGCAGCGCGCGCCAGTACAAGACCAGCCTCGCCCCGGGGGCCCCGCCCACAGGTCAGCCCCGCCCCTTTCCGCTCACCCCGCCCCGCCCCTCCGCAGTGTGACGGCCAATCAGGGGCGTCTGCCCGGGCTGGGGGCTGGGGCATGTGCGAACACAAAAGGCAGGAAATACGAGTAGTCTGGGGCGCTGTCACCATGGCTACCTGCGCCCGCGCGCCGCCCCGCGCCCAGTCCCGGCACTGGCCCGTGGGTATGCCGGGCGGGAGGCTCCTGCGGGGCGCTGGGCAGCCCTCTCCCCACAGGGCTGCAAGACCCTGGGCCTCCACTTCCTAGTCTGTGAAATGGGGTCACGTTTTGCCCAGGGCTGAATTCACTCATACTTCAACAAACATTTATTGAGTGCCTACTATGTTCGGGTGCTTGAGATCCACCACTATAAGAGATTAAAAAAACAAAAAATAAAAAAAAACTCTGCCCTTGGTGGCTTCTATGGGAGGAGTTGGGGAGACGCACGGAAGGGAGGCAGCCAATAAGCAGCAACATAAATCAGTAAATTGTACAGGGCGTTACACCGCGACTGAGTGCTCTGGGGGAAACATTCGCTAAGGGGAACGGGTACTAGGTTCGTAGTTTTAAATAAGGTGGTCTGGCAGGCCTCATCAAGAGAGGTAATTTGAGAGAAGACTCTAAGGAGAAGGAGGAATCGGCCCTGTGGCTCTCCAGGAAGAGCACTGCAGGCAGGACAGGCGGCCAGTGCGTGCAAAGGCCCAAGGCAGTAGTGTGCCCGCAGGAGAGCAAGGGGCCACGGTGCATAGCTAGGGAAGAGTTATGGCAGTGACACAGCAGAGCAAGCCAGCAGGTGCTCAGTCCAGTCGCTCTCTGTTCACTTTCCCTCCTCACCTTCCTTCTTTTTTTGCTACCCTTTCCTTCTCTACGGACAAGGGGAAAACACCAGCTTGAGGTGAGATAAACAGTAGTTTTAGGAGACATTCCCTCTGCAGTGTGGGTCGGAAGGATCTCAGACTTAGGTCACTGTTCTGGGCAAGCTCTAGGGGCAAAGCAGACACAGGAGCCGAGAAGCCAGGCTCTCTTAGCCTTTGCACAGGCCCCTCTGCCTGGCATGCCTTTCCTTTTCAGTCTGACAGACTCCCACCTTAGCCTTCAAAGCCCGACCAAATGTCACCTCCTCGGGAAGCGTGGGCTACCTGCCTTGATGAGGCTCCACTTCCTGGAGCTACTCTTCCATACAGACCCCATCCTAGCACTGGCCACACACCCCTCCCTCCCGCTTTCCTGCATGGAGGGCTGCTAAGGGGCAGAAAGGCCAACATGCCAGCACTTGTCAATCATAAAGAGCCAGAAAGACAAAACCGGAAGTCGACGGCTAATGGTTACTAGCCACATGTGTACCCATCTTCCTCCTCTGTGGAAGGCGGAAGGAAACAGATGCCCTCCAAATATGGACAGCTGAAATGATGAAGTGCTGAGCCCTGGCCCAGACCCTCAGAGAGATGTACTCAACCACCTCCCCACCCTTGGACAAGCACAAAACCAGAGAAAACAAAGGCCAGCAACTGTGGCTCAGCCCGCATAAATTTCTTCTGGACACTGGCCTGTCTATTTGAATATCTGTAATGTTTGGTGGAGTCAGGGGTGAGGGTCTCAGCCTTTGGCTGCTGCATCTCCAGACACCCATCATGTGTTTCTTTTCTTTTTTTTTTTTTTTTTTTTTTTTGAGACGGAGTACAATGGTGCAATCTCAGCTCACCTCCGCCTCCCAGGTTCAAGCGATTCTCCTGCCTCAGCCTCCCAAGTTGCTGGGATTACAGGCACGCACCACCATGCCCGGCTAATTTTGTATTTTTAGTAGAGACAAGGTTTCTCCATGTTGGTTAGGCTGGTCTCAAACTCTCGACCTCAGGTGATCCACCCGCCTCGGCCTCCCAAAGTGCTGGGATTACAGGCATGAGCCACCGTGCCCGGCCCATCATGTTTCTAATGGGTATTTTCCCCTTAACATGTCATTTGAGCCCCTGCCTGCTCATCAGTAAACTGGGCTAATTATAATACCCTCCTGTAGGGCTGTTGTAAGAATAAAATGGACTAATTTGAGAAAAGGGCTTACAACAGGGTATAGTGACAAGGACTCGGTAACGGTTGGCTCTGCTGATTAGAGAGACCAATACAGCAACCTATGGGAAGATTTGGAGTCACGAAAACCTGTTCTCCGTCCTTGGAGCCACAGCTGGACTACATTTCCCAGCCTTCCTTGCAGCTGGGCATGGTCACATGACTGTGCTCCAGCCAATGGAATGTGAATGCAAGTGATATCTCCTTCCAGGGTGGACCCTCCACACTAAGCCAGCTTGATGCAGACCATGCCCCGGCCACATTGCCATGTGGAGGAAACCTCCACCCACCAGAAATACTCACCATCCTCCGGAAATACAAACCTCCATCTAGAAATGCTAGGTTGGTTTGTTGCTGCAGCTGATCTTACCCTAACTAGTACAGGCATGTGCTTATCCATTCACTCATTTGCTCATTCAATAAATACTTAATGAGGCCCTAGTGGAGCTACATGCCCTATGCTGGGTGCTGGGGATACAGAGGGGAGCAACAGAAGGTAGGGGAACTCCCCACTTTCATGGAGCTTACAGTATGGCAAGAAGGACCAACCTTAGTAAATAAACCAGGGCAGGAAGGCTTCTCTGAGATGAGATCTATGAGAGAGAAGGAGGAGAGAGAGTTCCAGGCAAGAAAGACCAGCAGAGGCAAAGATCCTGAGGCCTGAAGGAGCATGGTCCACTTCCTGGTACCAAGAGGGGGGGAAGATGAAGCGAAAGTGAGCCATCTCCATCACATCCCCTCTCTGAATTTCAGTTTCCTCATATTTAAATTGTGGCCATGCTAATAGCCTCTCAAAGGGCATCTCTGAATCTCAGAGGAGAAAATAGCACACTCGAAGTGCTCCTGGATGCTCATTCATTCCTTGATGTTACCAAGAGTGGGCAGAAAGACCTCCGCCTGATGCCTAGGCAGTGCGTGGAGGATGCCGGCTAGGAGGTGAGCAGAGCTGTCTCTGGGGCTCAGGAGGCAGGAGCAGGGAGGGAGAGTTGCTGCTATTAAGGCTCCTGCCACGCAGGCTAAATATCAAGAGTCGTCTCCAGCCGGGAGAGCTATTAGGCGGCAGCGGAAGCACTGGCTCTCTGGGGAGGCGGGCAGGACTGTCCCTGGAGGCAGCTCAGGCGAGCTGGTGCTAAGAGCGGGAACTCTCTGCTGACGGGCAGATGCTGGCCGCCATTCAGCCTCTTTCTGGACGGGGATGGTTGTGAAGGGTATTGCAGGATTCGTGGGGAGATCCAGGAGGCCCCCAGGGGCTGATGTGTTGTTGTGCATTTCCCTGATGCTCCATGCCAGCCCTGCTGCTGTCTCCTGAGGTCAGAAGCAGGAACAGATGCAGCAGTTCTTTGAGGTGTGCCTGCCACCAGGTGCCAAAAAGGGCACAGGCAGGGAGGGGGGTGCAGCTAGAGGAGGTCCCATTAGGGGCTGAAGCCCCCAGTGATTTGTAGCGGGACCACATCACTCCCTTGACTCACATACCTGTCATGGCCCCTGAGGTCCCTGCCGCCAGCTTTCAGGCTCGCCTCTGCTCACTCCAGTGCTACCAAGCCCTGCAGCCCTCCACACCACAGTGCCCCACCGACATACGCGTGCGTACACTGTTTCTTCTGCCAGGTATGCCAGCCTCGGCTCCCATCCTCCTACACCTTTTCTATCATCATTTAAGAACCTATTGGAGTTCTAATCATGGCTAAGCCAGTTGTCCAAGCAACCTCCCCTCTCTGATCCTTAGCTTACTCACTGCTAACATACGGAAGCTATTTCCTATCTCACAGGGTTGTTGGTACAAATTAAACATGACGATGTATGTGAAAAGCACCTAATAGCATGTGGCATGAAGTAGTTATTTAAAAAGTGGAAACAAGAAAACCCCTACAAAAACCACCCAATCAACCTTCTCGGAGCAGCACCTCCTTCAGGAAGTCTTCCCTAATCACACCCTGGCTGTCCCCTTCTCCATGCATTTGAGTTTAAGTGCCTTTTTACTGGGCCCTCAGCTCCCTGGATGGCCCCTGGCATGGCACTACCTGGGACAACAATGACTTATTTGGGCATCTGCCCCATCTCCAACAGCCTGTAAAGACTTTGAGGGCAGGGACATTCCTGGTGGGTGCCAGGCCACACAGTCAGTGTTAGATGAATGAGTAAAGAAGATTGGGTGTCCTCATTCTTTGCCTGCCACCATGTAAGACATGCCTTTCGCCTTCCGCCATGACTCTGGGGCCACCCTAGCCAGGTAGAACTGGTCTTGCTCTGTCGCCCAGGCTGGAGTGCAGTCGCACGATCACAGCTCACTGTAGCCTCGACCTCCCAGGCTCAAGTGATCTTCCAGCCTTAGCCTCCAAGTAGCTGGGACCACAGGCACACTCCACCATGCTCAGCTAATTTTTTAAATTTTTTGTAGAGATGGGGTCTCACTGTGTTGCCCAGGATGGTCTCAAACTCCTGGGCTCAAAGATCCTCCTGCTTCTACCTCCCAAAGCACTGGGATTATAGACATGCACCACTGTGCCCAGCCAGACTGGCCCTTTTGAGATATCTTTTCAAGTTTTTTGCATGTCTGACAATTGATGGCTCCACCTGGACCTACCAAGCACTCCTGTGGCCTCCATCTAGAAGCGACTAAGCACAAGAGGGCAGCTCCAACCCAATCAGTCGGCACTCCCCATACTCTAGGCCCCTGCCACCAAACTATCTTTGAAAAAGCCCCTAACCTCAGAGTGTGGCCGGCCTCGTGTCAAATGCCCCTGGAACCCTAGAATTCGTTCTCAGCCCAGGATGGGCTGCCAGGACAGCCCTATGTCGGTTGCCCTCACCTCAAGCTCTGCCCAGTGGTCCTGACCTCAGCCCAGGCTTCAGTCTCCTTCCCAGGCTGCCACTAATTGCAGCCTCCAGCAACAGGGACTGGCCCACCCCATCTTCCACATCCTCTGACAGGCCACTAGTCAGCCAGTGGCTAAGTGCCAAGCAGCCAGCCTGAGCTCAGGGCTGGCTGGAGAAGGGGTTATAAAACATCCCAGGCAGCCCCAGGGGTTTGGGGAGGTGACGTGTGGGGGTCTGTGAGCTGTCTCCATTTCTTCTAGAAACCTCAGGGGTACTGTGCATTTACCCCAAATGAGGCTCCACTGACACAAATCTACCAGTGCCCCTGATCTGGGTGGGAAGGCTGTCAGCTTGAGGCCCCGCTGGTTCTCTCCCCAACTCAAAGCTCAGATAGGCAGTTATGGATGTCTTTGATTAATAAGAAATGGGGGCGATGAATTAATCATTATGTAATAAATGCAGTTTGTTTGGCAGCCGTATCTTTCAAAAACATGGCTCTAGTGTGTGTGTGAAATAATGAAGGAGTCCTCAGAAAACACATGGGGCTGGGCGTGGTGGCTCATGCCTGTAATCCCAGCACTTTGGGAGGCCGAGGCAGGCGGATCACCCAAGGTCGGGAGTTCAAGACCAGCCTGACCAACATGGAGAAACCCCTTCTCTACTAAAAATACAAAATTAGCCGGGCGTGGTGGTGCATGCCTGTAATCCCAGCTACTTGGGAGGCTGAGGCAGGAGAATTGCTTGAACCTGGGAGGCGGAGGTTGTGGTGAGCCGAGATAGCACCATTGCACTCCAGCCTGGGCAACAAAAGCGAAACTCCATCTCAAAAAAAAAAAAAAAAAAGAAAAGAAAAGAAAAAAAAAGAAAACACATATGGTGCTCTGGGACAGGCGATGGCTTTTGCCCCAGCAGCCCCCATCCTTGGGGGAGGCAGTGACCGAGGCTTCTTAAGGGGATGGCAGGAGCTCCTGAACTCCCAGTTTAGGGAGGGACAGAGAACGGTGGTAGCTCCTCTTAAACCCCTTAGGGCAGGGGCTCTGGGCTCAGCCCAGGTTCTCTACCTCCTGCCCAGAGCCAGACCGACCCAGTCCGCTGCCTGCCTCGCTCTGAAAGAGGACTGAACAGATGTTTCCTTCAATCAGGAAAATAACGTTGGCTCCCAGATGGGCTGCGGCACGGAAGCGCATCCTCTCCCTGCCTCCCTTTGTGACAAGGTCTTTCATTCTGGGGAGCAGCTGAGCATCGGAGATGGCGAGTGGGGGCACGGTGGCACCCCCGGGGGCATCTGCCGGGCTTGGCTATCACCCGTGTCCCTGGAGAAGGAATCCTGAAGCACAAAGGCCCCGCCGGCTGCCGTTTCCAGTGCTCGGGGCTGACAGGTGCTGGTGGAGGATCTGCTGGCCAAGAAAGGGGCAATGGTGGCCTGGTAGGCAGGGGCTGAGCCCAGAGGGATGCCTCCCAATGCATGCCAACTCCACAACGCTCATGTGGGAACAACGCACCCAGTCCCTGTCCCCGGCCATGGTATGGCTCGGCTCCCCACTCATGCCCAATCATGGCCCAGGGCAGCACCCACCTCGCAGGGCCCAAGCCTGCCCCTCTCCTCCGGCCACATCCTCACGGCTTCCTCCACCCGCTGGCCACCGTCCCTGCCTGGCCTGGACTCCACACAAGCCCCCCGGGTACACCCTGCTCACCCTTCTGTAAGCTCTGCTGGAGAAAGAGTTTTTAAAAACACATGCTGGACCAGCTCACTTACCTCCCTGCTTAAAAGCCTTCAGGGCTGGGTGTGGTTGGTCATGCCTATAATCCAGCACTCTGGGAGGCCAAGGCGGGTGGATCACCTGAGGTCAGGAGTTTGAGACCAGCCTGGCCAACATGGTGAAACCCTGTCTTTACCAAAAAATACAAAAATAGCCAGGCGTGGTGGCACGTGCCTGTAATCCCAGCTACTCAGGAGGCTGAGGTTGCGGTGAGCCGAGATCGTGCCACTGCACTCCAGCCTGGGCAACAGACCCTGTCTCAAAAAAAACAAAAACAAAAACAAACACACACACACACACACACACACAAAAGCCTTCAATGGCTCCCTGACTTAGAGAATAAAACAGAAACTCCATGGCCTGGCATCCAAGATCCAGAACCCCTTGGTGGCTCCCTACAGTGGGTTGATCATGGCCATCCCACAGGGACTCCAAAGTCAGCACATCCCAAATACCTCCCTTTCCTTAGAATATGCTCTTCCAAGCTTTTCCCTCTCCTTTCTTCTACCTAAAAACTTGTGATCTCTGTGGAGTCCCAGTTCACACTCCATGTCCCTTCAAGGTTCCCCGATCCCCATTCCCTGTCCTGCCAACCCACAGTTAGTTCCCTCCTTTGTGGACCCTCTTCCATCATCACTTTACAGGCCCACTCCCCATGGAGGGGTCATTTATCAGCTTAGGGGTCAGTCTCCCCACCAGGACTGTGAGAGCCCCTAACAGCAGGGCTCAAGGTCTGAAATCCTCGGGGTTCAGCACACAGTAGGTACACAGTAAAGATTTAATTGTGTATGTAAATGCCCACAAACAGAGTCAAAGACTCAGATTACACTAGTAAAAGTAAAGACCTCTAGGGAAGCCTAGACAGGAACTCTGACCTGTTTATGTGCCTCTACAGTTTTCCTTTTTTTTTTTTTTTTTTTTTTTTGAGACGGAGTCTCAACCTGTCACCCAGGCTGGAGTGCAGTGGCACAATCTCGGCTCACTGCAACCTCCACCTCCTGCGTTCAAGAGATTCTCCTGCCTCAGCCTCCTGAGTAGCTGGGATTACAGGTGCGCACCATCACGCCCGGCTAATTTTTGTATTTTTAGTAAGACAGGGTTTCACCATGTTGGTCAGGCTGGTCTCGAACTCCTGACCTCGTGATCTGTCCGCCTCGGCCTCCCAAAGTGCTGGAATTACAGGCGTGAGCCACCCACCGTGCCCGGCCTTCCCTTCTTTATTTACAACCATTTCCTTTCTTTTGGAATTAAAAAATGATTTTGAATGAAAACCACGCCAAGGCTGCCCCTGACAAACTGCCTGCTATTTCTGTGAACCAGTTCTGTGTGGGGCCTTGCCTTTCTGGCTACTGACCCTCATGGCCACCCTGAGGGTACAGAAATGGCTGGACCCACTTTACAGAACAGCAGACTGAGGCTCTTAGCAGGGAAGGGCCACCCAGGGCAGATGGGCTGGTGTTTGAACCCTAGGGGAACCCGAACCCCATGCTACCCCCTGGCCTCCCCCAGGCAAGCTGGGAATTAATGACGAAGAGGGGTGATACTGGCAATCCCACAGGGAGTCCTAGGTGGACAAGTCCCAAATCTGTTCCTCCTCAGGCGTCCCCGTATGCACCAGTGCCACCATTCACACAGTCACTCAGGTCTGTAGGCAAAGCCTCTTAAATACTGTGTGGCCAGAACTGTGCAAAAAAATGCAATGACTGTCTCACAGCCCAAACCAGAATCGGGCAGACAGAGCTCCTGCTGGTCTCCCCTCCATTCCCTTTTAGCTCCCCTCCCTGCCCTGAGCCTGCCCGCTCTCCTACGGCCCAGCCAGGGGCTGCAGAGTGGATCCGGGCTCCATGCAGCCTAAAAGATGTCCTTGGCCCTCCTATGCCTCATGCCAGTTCCTGATCCTGGAAGGGATCCATGGCAGCCAAGAGGCTAGTAACAATTCAGATTCCCAGGCCACCTCTAAGGATTGAGATTAAGTCAGGTCCTAGGACGGGAGCCGTGCATGTGCCCAACCAGCCAAATCCTGGGCTGCTCCTACATTTGCCAGCTGAGCTTCAGAGACCTGGTGCCTGCCCATTGGGGTCAGGAGGCAGCCCCAGAGAAACCACGTGTGTGGGGTCTGCTGCGCACATGTCCTGGAGTTTCCAGTGGCATACACCAGTCTGAAGGAGGCTGGATACCAGCAGTGATGGGCTGCTGCGGGCAGGGGCAGCGACTGGGCTCCTGGACGCTGCCACTCAGGGGCCTCCACACCCCTCTGGAACCGTGTGTTCCTGCGCCCTGGGGGCCTGGCATATAGTATGGCACAAGCAATGCTTAGGATGTGGAACCAAGCATAGCACTGGGTACAGATTCCTCCCAAATCACAAAGGCTACCATTTATCAAGTGCCTACCCATGGTGAGTGTTCTGCCTTCAGGATCTTGTTTAAAACTGGGGCTGGGGTGTGAGCCCATTGGGAGGCACTCTGGGAGGCCAAGGCAAGAGGATCACATGAACCCAGGAGTTGGAGACCAGCCTGGGCAACATAGTGAGATCCCACCTCTACCAAAAAATTAAAAATTAGCCGGGTATGTTGGCATGTGACTGTAAGTCCCAACTACTCGGGAGGCTAAGGTGGAAGGATGGTTTGAGCCTGGGAGGTTGAGGCTATGGTGAGCTGTGATCATGTCACTGCACTCCAGCCTGGGCTGCAGAGGGAGACCCTGTCTCAAAAATCAATAAATCAGGGACTGGAATGAAGGGAGTTGTAATAGCAAAAATGTTTTCCTACATTCACCCCACAGAGACTTACATAAATACCTGGCTCCTGTTCCCAGGTTGGAGAGCAGGAAGGGACACTCTGCAGCCCAGGGAGGTCTGAACCACATCCAGATCTCACTGGGGACAGGGATGGCCGAGGGGCCCCATAGGGTTGTAGAACAGTGCGTGTGCAAGGACCCCCAAACCAGATAAGAAATGCAGGGGATTCCCAGAGCCTGGAGGAAGGTCTAAAGGACCTTCTAAGGGTGCCCACCCTTGGCTCTGGGGGACTCAGGTGTGGGACAGCATGGACATGAACTTGCGACTTCACACACTTCTCTCTCTCTCTCTCTTTTAAAACGAGTGCATATTATTTGTTAAAAGCAGAGGGGATATTATTTTTGGCAAAGTTTCCAGTGAATTCAGTGCCAGAGCTTAGGGAGAGTGGGGTTGGTTGGAGGTTAGTCCTTCCAGATAGATAGTTTCAGACTCTGGAGAACATTCATTCCTTTATTCATTCATTCATTCACTCGTTCATTCATTCATTCATTCATTCATTCAAACCAAGATCTGACCCTCTGAGCAACTTGCCTGCTACCTCAGGCCTCGGCAGTAAGAATTCCTTCATTCATTCCACAAATATTCATTAAGTGTCTATTGTGAGTCTTGGGAGCCTCTGCCAGCCCTGTCTGTGGTGAGCCTGGAACCATGATCAGAGGCTGGGCTGGGAGTGGACAGGCCAGGGTGGGGCAAGCAGGGCAAAGCCATGTGGCACTGCCTGGCATCTGCTGTGGGCCCTGACGTCCCTGCCCCTTGACTCCTGAATATCATCACCCGTGGCCACAGAAGCCCACCTCCCACCCCAGAGCCGGCAGGCACCCAAGACGGGAATTATGGTCTCCACAAGAGACACTGACATGAAGCTGGTTACTGCCTTTTCAGCAAACGTAATTCCTTTTTATTAGAAAATTAAAGGGTAGGACCAGCTTGCCAAAAGCCAAAAGAGCTGAAATGTGCTTTCCTAAGATATGCAGCGTCTGATAAAACGGATTTACCCATCTCCCTCCTGTTCTATCGTCATCTCCCTCACCCAGTCTCTCCTCCATTCATTCCCCTTCCACTGGCACCGAAGCAACGGCCGTGAGCTTGGCCCTGGCCGACAGGCCCAGCACCCTGGATGTGGGGAGTGTGCTTTTGTTTCCTTCATGCTGAGCCCCACTCCCGGGCTTTAAGCCTTTTTAGAACCACCTCGGGGATTCTCTTGCTTTCCTGAGACGCAAAGGCTGCCTGTGGCCTCTGCTAAGCTGAGGGTGTCAGGAGGGGAAAGGCAGGAACAATAAAGGATTGAGCTCCCGGAGAAACAAGCTCATCCATCTGGAGACCCAGGAGCAGGCAGTTCCAGACAGAGCCAGCTGAGGGAGGCGGCCAGGGCAGAGAGCCGAGGACGAGTCCCGCACTGCCACACAAAAAGCAACTAT
Organism: Homo sapiens; assembly: GCF_000001405.40. Taxonomy (NCBI): domain Eukaryota; kingdom Metazoa; phylum Chordata; class Mammalia; order Primates; family Hominidae; genus Homo; species Homo sapiens. The sequence goes on along the minus strand of NC_000017.11, from coordinate 17,741,498 downwards.
TCAAAACCACCCAGGGAGTTCTCTCTTATTGAAAAGTCCTTGATTCTTCCCTTTCTGTGGCAGAACTCATGAACAAGGGCCCCGTCTTATTAATGGGGTGATGGAGGGGCCCGGGAGGGAGGGTCCCCCTGCTCAGGAAGGTGGCCGAGCCCGCCCTGCGAGTCATTAGGAGCTGGTAACTAAGGTAACTCCAGAATCGGATTTTCTTCCCACTAATCTCTCTTTTTCTCTTTTCCTTTCTCTCTCTTTTTTTCTCTGCTGGTCAGATGCTACCTTCCTGGTTTAGAGGGGACTCAGGAGGGTGGTGGGGAGAGACGGAAAGAAAGGCGTGCGTGTACGTGTGCGCTTAAGTGTGTGAGTGTGAGCGTGCGTGTGTGCGTGCGCGAGTGTGTGTGTGTGTGTGTGTGCGCGCGCGCTTGTGCTGAATACTAACATGGTCACCACACTCCGGATGCTCTGACGGCGGGCGGGGGTGGTGTCTCGGCTCAGGTATGTGTGCCCCTGCCCTCTCCCCACACTGCCTCACCCACCCCTCCCACCCGCCCACGGCCTCCCTGTTCAAGGGCAAAGCCATTCCCTCACTCCCTCCTTGAGTAACAAAAGACAAGATTGAGTTTCCTTTCACCTGCTCTGAGGAAGTATCTGCTTTGGCAGGTCTAGCACAGCCTGCTTTGTTCTGGCGAAAACCAAAACGGGATCTGTCCTGGGGCTTGCCGGGGTGGGCAACAGGATGCAGGTCAATACAAAAATCAATATGAAAAATAGCATTGTCCCCCAGGCTCCTGCTGCCTGGACCTCCCTCCCTGAAAGCTGAAGTCCAGGGAGGTGCAGCCAAGTCAGCTTTGCTCTGAGAAGACAGGTTCAAACCCCAGCCAGGCCACCTGATGGCCACGTGGCCTGGGGCAAATTCATTCACTCTCTGAGCTGATTTTCTTGCCCTACACAGCAACCTTAGAGAAGTGCCTGTACCTATTCGAAGCCCCCAGCACGGCATCAGGCCTCTTTCCCACCTGGTCCTCTTTAGGGCTCAGAGCAGATGAACCACTTCCACCAGGGTGGGTGGGGAGCAAAGAAGAGATGGGTGACCCCCAACTCTCCAGAGGTGGCTGTGTTAGGGTTCCAGTCTTGCAGGTAGTGTTTCTGAGGAAGAGGAACACCACCAGCCCCTGGGACCTAAGGGTTCTCTGGATGACAGAGGAGGAGCTAGGGACCCCTGGCCAGGGTCCTCCCCAAAGGGGGCCTGGACCACCAGCACAGCTTGGGGCAGGCAGGACCCCTAGAGGCTGCACAGCTCCTTTCCCCCTGAGCACAGAGAAGCCCAAGGGTCTCCCAAGGCCCTAGCTGGGCACTAAGCCCAGAGTCCCAGGCACAGGGCTTACCCCATGCGGGTGAACACCCCCTTCAATGGATGCTGATGTCTGATCCCCAGCTATCCCCACTTTGGAAGGGCTCAGCCTGGCCTGTGATTCCCTCAGGGTGGGGCTGCAGCATCTGGAGGCTTCCATCCCCACTCCCAGTGGGGAGAGGGAGCTGCCACGCGGTGAGTCATGTTAGCTCAGCGGCTGTATGTGCTTGGGGGAAGGGCCGAGCACCGCTGCCCTCCATCTGGGCCCAAGGTGACAAGGTCAGCCCCCGTGGCCCACTGGCCAGCTGGACTGGTGCCTGGGACCCACCCCAGGTGGCCTCCGGGTAGTTCCCACTGCTCCAGGACCACTCTCACCACCCCGCACCACCACCAACACAGGGAGACTGAGCCTGCTCAGAGTGGAGTGGTGGCATAAGACCTCAAAATCCCCAAGGAGTGGAGGTAGGGATGGGGTCTGTGGGGCAGCCAGAGGTCAGGGGAAGCAGGCAGGTGCTGGAATGTGTGGTGGGGATGCGGTGTCTGGAGCTGAGACAGAGCAAAGCTTTCTTAGCTCTGGAAGGCAGGAGGGGCCACAGCCTCAGTAAGCAGCAGGCATCCCAGGCCTTACGGCCAAAGGCTCCCTGACCCCTGGCTGCCAGATTCTCTCTCTGTATCCTTATCCCTCCCCATCTCTCCCTGCTCTGCCCTCTTCTTTCTCTCCCTCCTGGTCAGGGCTGCTAAGCAAATGGACTGCAAATGGGATTCTGCGTTTTCATTTGCACCCACCTTCGCTTCCCCAGCTCCTGGGGGCTGGCTTGTCCCATCCTGTCCAGCCATCTCTGTCTTCCCCTCCTTGGAGGGCAGCCATAGCCACACCTCCACCAAGAATAGGCTGTGAGCTTCTAGATGCCAGGGGTCAGGTGAGCTAGTCAGGGCCTTGCAGAGCTTGGCTCCTATCTCCACGGTTTTCAAGAGAGCCTTTACTGGGCACGTGGCTGCCCCAGTGTGTGAGCAATATGCACGGAGGAGGCGGCCTCACTCCCGTTCTTCACTTTGAATTGCCTCTGTCTCCCTTGTCATACAACTTGTCTTCCCCAGGGGTGGAGGAGGCCTTGGGCAGGCTGTTCCCACTGACAGAAATTTCCTGGTTGCCAGGAAAACACACCTCAGAAATAACACTGATGACAGCTGCTGCCCTTCCCCAGGATACTACGGGCAGCGTGCTGGGCTGTCTGGGTAAGGCTGGGGCCCGTGTACTTATAAAAACAGGGAGGACAGCCCATGCTTGCAGCATGAGCCCTTTGAAGGTAATGCAGGCCTGAAAACTCCCACCAAGCCAACCCATTCCCCAGATGGAGAAGACTGACACCCAGAAGGGCCCACAAGTAGACTCTCTGGCCCTCTGCAGCCCATCAGGGTCCAGTGAGTACAGCAGCTTCCTGTGTGGTGCCTGGGTTGCCTGAGCTCAGACACACACAGCTGCAAGCTGGCAGTTGCTACGTTTACCCCAGCACCTCAGAGCCACCTTGAGAAGCTCACGGAGGGGTGGACCCCAGGCTCATTTCAAGCCCATGGCTTCTCCCAGTTTCCTGCTGGTCCCTGGAGTCCTCTGCCCCCGCCTTCACCCGCAGACAGGCCAGGCCCAAGGCCGTGTAGGGCAGCAGGGACCACCCAGGTGGCGGAGGCTCCTCCCAGCCTGACCGCAGCAGCCGGGAAAACAGGCTCCTCAGCTGCACCCTCCTGCCCACCCCACCCCGCCCCGCCAGGCCAGCCGCCTCACCCAGCCCTGAACCAGGAACTGGGCCTGCCGCCAGCCAGCCCGCCCCACTCACACCATAGCCCCTCACCCACCCCAGCCCACCCCTCAGTGCCCGCCAGATGTGGGAGGAGGCAGCAGTCTCCTGGTACTCACTCCCTCATGCTACCTTAGCCTAGATCAACCCCCTCACCTTCCTCTGTCAGGAGTCAGAGGGAGAGGCCCAACCTTCCCATGGCAGCTGCCATACTGGCCTGAGCCATACTCAGGCCATACTGAGTGCTCAGGCCATACTATGCCATACTGGCCCCCTTGACCCTGCCTCCTTGACCAGCAGCCGTCCACCTCATGCCCACCCACCAGCATGTGAAGCCACCTGCCCCCCTGGGATGGCACTGCCTCCCTCCTTCTGGGGCCAGGGTGGGGGGCGCCCCCTCCCCCCACCAGGGGCAGGGTCTCTGTGCCTGCCTTACACTTCTGAGGCTGGATCACTGAGGCTGAAATTTCAATTAAGGAAGAGAAATAATTACTCTGGGGCTCCAGGCCTGCTCAAGTGGTGACAGGCCTCAATATCTGCTTCTCTGGAGTAGGCGGAGGTGGCTGGGGCCCCCCGCCCTGAAATCAGGCTGAGCCCGAGAAGGGCCCTGGACCCTTGCCCATGTTCAGCCTTGTAGCCCCCCTCCATCTGTCTGCTGCAATAAGGCCACCCTCAGGTATCCCCATGGTAGGGGGATATGGGGCGGGGGACTGGAGGAAAGGTACAGGCTTCTGGCAGAGGGGGCTGGGGAGCAAGCCTCAGCTGGCTTGACAAAATTGAATTAAATTAAATTTAACCATTCAGTCACTGCCTATCCCTGTGGTGAGCCTAGAGGCTGCCAGGACCCCACCAGAAGCAGGTAGGGACCCCAAGAGTAAGACTGGGCAGCTCTGGCCTCCCTCTGGTAGTATTCCAGCACAGGCCAGGGTTTTGGGCCAGGGGGTGGCAAAGGCTGCATTCTGGAAAGGTTCCTCAGAAGCCCACTCTGCAGCTCAGCAGGAGTGAGTCTGGGCAAGACCCTCCCTCGGGCCATGTGCAAAACAAGGACCACAGGTGGGGTCTCTGGGCCCCTGAGACCCTCCCCTATTGCCTCCTCAAGTGGCCTTGAAACAGCCAGGCTGAGCTATGACCCCCTCATCTTCAGAAAACTCCTTCCCTAGAAATGTCCCATCCTCAATCCAAAAAATGTCCCTTCTCTGAGAATGACCTGTTTCTTCCCCAGAAATGCTTCATTTTAACCCAGAAATTCCCCAGCTCCAAAATGTTCCATTTCCAGAAATGCTCCATCTTATCTCCAGAAATATTCCCCGTCATCTTCAAATGTAATCCATCTCCAGAAATGCCAGTGGTCTACTGAGGCTCCACCCTAACTCCAAGAATGTTCCACTTCCAGAAATGCCATATCCCATCTCCAGAGATGTTGCATTTCAGCTCCAAAAATACCTCATCTTCAGAAGTGCCCTATTTTATTTCCAGAAATACTCCAGCATCATCTTCAAAAACACACCACTTCCAGAAGTATTCTAGTTTCTCTCTAGAAAGAATCCATTTCCAGAAATGTTCCATCTCTAGCAATGCTCAGAATCCAGAAAAGCCTCATCTTTACTCCTCAAAAATGCCCTCTCCCATCTCCAGAAATGTTCTCATTTCATCTTCAGAAATGCCCCTCCTCCAGAAATGCTTTTCATCTCTTCTCTAGAAACGTCCTCATCCTGTCTCCAGAAACACCATGTCTCATTTCTAAAAACATTCCATTTCTGGAAATGTTCCAGCTCCTATCTGGAAGTGTGCATGCCATCTCCAGAAAGGTCTCTCCATCTGGTCCAGATGCTGCAGAAACACAAAGACCCACTTCCTTCTACATCTCCTACAGAGAAGCTAAGCAGTGACTGGGCCTCCTCCCCGCCTGTTCCTCTGTTCCTTGGGACCTCTCGGCCATCTGCTGGGCCTGCTCTTATCCCAGAGCAAGGACAAAGTCAAGAGCAGTGCTGGCAGGTGCCAAGGTCTCTGGGAGGGAGAGCATGAATGGTCAGAGTTTGGGATGACTGAGAGCCTCCCAGGTCTGACCTGGGGGCAGGGGCCATGAGAGGAGCCTGGGGTGGGAAGGAATGAACCAGGACAGAGGCGGTGGGGGTCTCAGCACAGTTCCCTCCAGACACGTTCTAGCCACAAACACCTCCACTGGCCCAAGTGCACATACTCACAGTTCACAGTCAATACCCACACAGCCCAGAAATGTCCCCCCATCCTCCAGGGCCATGCGCAATGCACACTCACAACATGGATATCCACACTCAACCCTTGAAGCCCCACCCGCACAAGTACACACACCATACACAGATGCACACACATAACACAGATACACAAACAAGTCCACTGTCACACATCACACACCACACACACAATCACAGTCCCCTATATTCCTCAGGCCTTTTGTGGGCCAAGTTCAGGGGACACCTAGGGGCAGAAGCCCTGTCAGTCCCTCCAACCAGGCTGGGTTGGCAAAATAGGGCCACCTCAGAACTGCCGCCAGGAGATACACAGCCCTAGGCACTTTGCGCTTAGAAGGGACCACAAAAGAGAGGAAGGCACAGGTTGGGCATCTGCTTGCACACCTACCCACCTAAGATGGGGCACTCACTACCTCCTGGAGCAGCCCAGGCCACTTCTAAATCACTTCTGAATGAGAGGAAGTGCATCTTTGGGCTGGGCACGGTGGCTCACGCCTGTATTCCCAGCACTTTGGGAGGCTGAGGCAGGTGGATCACTTGAGGTCAGGAGTTTGAGACCAGCCTGACCAACATGGTGAAACCCCGACTCTACTAAAAATACAAAAAAAATCAGCCGGGCGTGGTGGCGCACGCCTGTAGTCCCAGCTACTTGGGTGGCTGAGGCAGGAGAATCACTTGAACCCGGGAGGCGGAGATTGCAGTGAGCCAAGATCGCGCCACTGCACTCCAGCCTGGGTAACAAGAGTGAAACCCCGTCTCAAAAAAAAAAAAAAAAAGGCTGGGCATTGTGGCTCACATCTGTAATCCTAGGACTTTGGGAGGCCGAGGCGGGTGGATCACCTGAGGACAGGAGTTCAAGACCAGCCTGACCAACATGGTGAAACCCCATCTCTACCAAAAATACAAAATATTAGCTGGGCGTGGTGGTGGGAGCCTGTAATCCCAGCTACTTGGGAGGCTGAGGCAGGACAATTGCTTGAACCCGGGAGGCAGAGGTTGCAGTGAGCTGAGATCATGCCATTGCACTCCAGCTTAGGCAACAGAGCAAGACTCCGTCTCGAAAAAAAAAAAAAGTAAGTTTCTATTTGGATGAAACTGAAACCTTTCTATGTCACCTCTGTCCACACAAGCAAGTCCTGCTCTCTGGAGGTGCAAAGCCCATGTCCTGTTGAGATTTCAAACAGATTCTCTCCTCCCTGCCCCATGTCAGGTGGGAAAGGAGAGAGAGATGGCTGTTCTTGGGGAATGGGGCCTGGAAATAGCTTTGTGGAGGGCGAGCTGGTGTCGCGAGCTGGTGTCAGAACACACAGATACGCACACACTTAGATGTACAAACATGCAAGCACAGATATGTGCCCCTGTGTGTGTCCAAGGAGCTCACACGCAGACACACAGGCAGGCATGTAATACACCTACACGCTCTGACCCGCACATAGGAAAGCAGGTGTGGGCCCACTGGTCTGCACCAGGTCCGTCCCTGACACCTCTGCAGTGGAAGTTCTTGGAGCCTTCAGGTGGGTGGGAGGGAAAAGGGGCTCTGTCTCCATGACCCCCATTCCCAGCGGCCTTGGTTAGCCCTGGTCTGCTCCCACGGGAGGATAAGTACCATTTGTTAGGCCTCCCAATTTAGAATCAGCCACAATTAACTGGAACCTCCTTAACATCCCCCCAACTTTTTATTTTTTTGAGACAAGGTCTCGCTCTTTCACCCAGGCTGGAGTGCAGTGGTACAATCTTGGCTCATGGCAGCCTTGACCTCCCGGGCTCAGGTGTTCCTCCCACCTCAGCTTCTGGAGTAGCTGGGACCACAGGCACCCACCACCATGCCTGGCTAAATTAAAAAAAAAAAATTGTAGAGAGAGGGTCTCGCTATGCCAAGCCCCCTTTTGGTCGTTGGGGGCTAAAGGCAGGCGTGAACAGCACTTGAACATGCCCTTCAGTTTGCCTTCTATGTGGACCCCTTTGTCTGATACCCCCCAACTAGCCAGTGCTTGACTAGAAACAAGGCTTCAACGTCTGCCTCAGGCATCCTCCTCAATCTCTCCCCCTGTCCTGGATGCTCATTTTCTCTCTGCCTAGACCTCCCTCCTCTAGGAACCAAGATCCTCACCCAAAAACGTGAGAAAAATAAACCAAGCAGTGGAAGACGAATCAGAACGTACACGTGGTCCCAGGGCCCAAGATGGCCAGACCTTTGCATTGGGTGGTGAGGGGGCCCCGGGTCTCCCAGCCCCCAGGAGCAGCCAGGCCTTCTGCAGAGGCTTCTGCATTGGTATTCTCTGTCCCTCACAGCCCAAATTACACTGGCTCTCCTGGGACCCTTTTATCGCACGTTGTCACTTCAGCAAAAGGTTATGTACGAGAACATGGAAATCCCTCCTGCATATTAACTAAAGGAGCATTTAAAAAATGTGCCAGAGAAAGAAGCCCACCTAAGAGCCAATTTTTCCAGTGTCTTAGAGAGAACGAGCACTGGACTGGGAGTCAGGAGTCGGAATTCTTGTCAGGGTCCTGCCCTTACTGGGACCTGGGGCGTGCCATGTCACTTCCCTGAGATCCAGTGTTCTCATCTGCTGAAAATGAGAATAAAAGCACCCACAATGGTGCTCTATCAGGGATGCTGTGAGGGTCATCTGAATGCCTGGAATGAATGAATCATCTTATAGAACAAGCAGAATCTGATTGGTGTTAGTATTCAGGCATTGCCAACCAAGTACTTAACAGGCAAGGAGAACATGGTATTATTCCCCAAGCATTCTGCATCCTTTCACACCTCCTTATCTTTCCCCACGCAGTGCCCCGCATCTGGTGCACCCTTTCTTTTTCTTTCTGGCCTGGAGAATTCTCAGAAAACACTAAGACCCAGTTTGGAATCAGTTTCTCAGTTTTGACATTTACTAGATGAGCTTCAAAGATAGAATCTGCCTCGGATCAGGGAAAGCCAGGATGCCAGGGCAGGAACCCAGGTCTAAGCAGGGTGGCAAGCTCCAGAGTGCCAGGGCCCAGCTGGCACATGAGTGGGAACTGCAGGGAACCAGGTGACTCAGAAGGTGGCAGTCCCATGGTAGCTCTGCCGATAGTGCCCTGTGGGTGTGTGGCCCTGCAATGCCGACCTGATTTTTTTTTTCAGGGAAGCAAAATGTAGAATTTTTATGTGAAATCCAATGTTATTTTTAAAAGCCTGGGCTGGCCAAACAGCGCCCACCTGGGGGCATTGCCAGAGGACAACCTCTGGCCTATGTGCTCAAGCCCTGGCCTCTCTGTGGAAGAGATGGCAGAGGAGGTGGTAGGCTCTGCACAGGGCATGGGAAAGTGAGGGTCTTCCAGGCAGGGCCAAGGAGACAGGCAGGAGCAACAAGCTGGGCAGCAGGACTGCACGAAGCAGGTTTAACTGGTGAGGAGAAGGCTGACCGCCAGGCAGCAGTAGCCTCTGGGCCTTGGTGTGCTCTTCTGTCAAATAGGGATGATAATAGAGCCCAGCTCCGGCAGGTGATGAAAGGAGTGTGCCAGGAGCTCCTGGCATGAGAACAGGCTCAGTTGGGACCTGTAGGATTAATGAGGGAGGAAGAGATTCTTAAAGAAGCCTGCAAACCCCAGGAGAACACAAGCCCTTTATAGAGGAGATGCCCAAGGAAGGACGTCACCTGCCTGGCATCACACAACAGGTGACTAAGTGAATGGCAGATCCAGTCACCACAGTGTGACCCCTGATCCCATCCCCCTCTCCCAGACAGAAGGCCACAAACATGGGGAATGTCCTGAGGGGTCTTCCCTGCTCCAACCTGTTCCTGCTTCAGGCCTGTGGCCTGCCCAGGACTCTGCCATCAGACAGCCTCTCTCTGAGTTAAGCAGTGCCTTCTTCTCAGTAAGGAGGCCAACGCTCCCAACACAGCCCAGGGTTTAGCCGCAGGCTCACTTCTTACCAGCCATGGGCCTTGAACCACAGTTGCCAGACCTTTCCAAGCCTCAGTTTCTTCATCTGTAAAATGGGGATGGCAGGAACCTTTCATTGGCAAGGAGGGTCTGAAGACTGGAAACAGCAAAGTGCCCAGGGCTGGGCACCTAGGAGGCCTCACCGAGAGGAAGCTCTGAACACGATGGTTCCAGGTATCATTCTTATTCCCCCCACCACCACCTCCCCCAGCAATCCTCCTCCAGCCTGTGCCAAGGCTCTGGGCACTGTTCCTCCCTCTCTGTGCTGAGCTTTCTTTCAGGGAATTATAATCTGCTGAGCTTTAATTATCAGTCCCCCAGGACCATCACCTACTTCTCAGCCGAGACTGAACAGTCCCTCCCAGTGCTCAGCTCACAGGGGATGCAGGGCTAGGCCGAGCTGCTCTGGGCTTAGGCAAGAGGTTGGGGAGATGGTCAGGTCCCTGCTTCCCTCTAGACCAGCATTCTAGGCCTGCACAGCAGCTCCAGGAGGAGGGAGGCTGCTCTCATCCAGCCCACACCCCAGAGGACTCAGGAGTTCTCAGGGAGGAAACTGAGGCCCCACCTGGGTCCTCTTCTGATCCTCTTAAGCCTCTCCTCATTGTCCCTGTGTGTTCCCACTGCCGAGACTTTGCTCCAGCGGTGCTCACTGCCCAGAGCACCCATCTTTTCCCACTGCCTTCAAGATAAAACCCTTCAAGCAGTCAAGGCCCAGACTCCTTTTTGGCCTCAGTCCCTGCCTCCACCTCCCCAATCCCACCTGCTCGCCACCCACACCCCCAGGCCTCTGGCATGCTGTGTCCTGCAGCCAACACCCTTCCTTCTGCAGCAAAATGCTTCCCCTTGGAGACCCAGCCCCTGTCCCTTTGGGTGCCTTCGCCAGGGCATCTGGGCCAGAACCTTGGCGCCATCAGCAGACACTGTGGAAGGACTGAAGGGAATGAAACACAGCCTGTAAACGAGGCATGAATCAGATGTGCAGGACAGGCCTGGCCGCCAGGCACCCCAAGTGCAGGGTCAGGCTGACCCGGTTCAGGCTGGTCCCGACACCCTATGTGTGTGGCCCCTCTGCTCCCACGTCCTCACCTCTAGGAGGGCTACCAAGGGCTGGGTGGGTATGAGAAGCATACCAGGCTGGCACCATGCCTGATGCTCTGGCAGTTCCCAGCTCCTGCAGAGCCTGCCTCCTTGGGCATCGCCTGCCCTGCTTCCTAGAAAGGGCTCTCTCTCGGCCACTCAGGGACTCTAGCCCAAGGTCCCAGGCTGCGAGTGGGCCCGAAGTAAGGCCCCTGTGGCTGGGACACCCACAGAAGAGTGACACCGGCAAAGCTTCTCTGCCTCTCCGCCCCGTGCCACACTTGGAAAGGCCTCCTCCAGCCTACCCTCCTGGGCCAACAAAGTCTCATCTTGTGCCTCGGTCCCCCAGTCTGGTGACAGCACCTCATATGACACCTCAGCCCTGGCAGGGCCTCACTGGCCTAGACTTGGGCAGGGGAGCTCCCCTCTGGGAGCCCCAGCTTTGCCGTCCCTGCCCCACTTGTATTGCAGGATGGTCACAGTGATCACTGGGCAGCAGCATTGAAGCCAGGAGGCTGCACTAGTGGCCCCAGGTCTAAATCTGGTCGTAGGGGTGCTGCTGAATTAGGTGACAACATATACAGACCAGGAAGTGTCATGTCAACATCTAATCCTGTTCCTGAGACAGTGGGCAACAGGCGCCATGGGCTGCATCCCCATGGGCTGCCCTGGCAGAGCTGAGCTACCGCGCCCCATGAGGGCCAGGCAGCCACCACAACCCCATCAGCACTGCCTGCCCGGCCCTGCGGGGCCTAGGGGTGGGTGGCCTCTGCATTATGCAAACATGAGTTCATCTTCTGATCACTCCTCCAAGTAACAGTTTGCATTTTAATCAGGGCCTTCCATGCTCTGACCTCGGCAGTGACTAACGGAAGCATTTCAGGCCCTGGGAAGGGCAGGAAGGGGATATTTAGGAGGAAGGCAGATACCAACATCACAAAAACTGTTCTCCTGAAAGGTGGCATCTTGCAGGGATGACCCAGCGCAGGCAGGGTCTCTCTGCCTGCTTCAGTGCAAAGGGCTTTTTGTGGAATGAGTGAACATCTGCCTGCCTCTCTCCCAGTTCTGCCTTGGGGAACAGGTGGATGCTGACTTCCTGTTCTGCCCGCCCCTCTGATGCCTCGTGATACTGTTTCTGGCTCCTGCTAAGATGTGGGACCAGGTTCAGCAAATCTCACTAGGACCTACCCCAGCAGAAACATCTCTCCCTTCTCCCACTCTACCTTTGCTAACATAGCCTCAGGTGGGTCCAGTGAGCATCTTTGCCCCCTAGAGGCTCATGCTGAGATGACAGTCACCTGAGCCCCAGACTGTCTCCTAGAAAGCACTGAAATGTGACAGTGTGTGTCCCTCCCCAGAAGCCAGCAAACCCAAGGCCTGTGGCAACACACAAGTGCCCTGAACGGATGGACAGTTGCACAAATGCACAAATGGGCCTCTGTGTGCGTTCCAGGGCTGCCAGGCACTTGAACAAACTTGACCTGGTTTTCCTTACTCTCTTGTCAGTCCTCTCCGGAAAAAGCTATCATCCCCATTATACAAAGGGGAAACTGAGGCTCAGAGAAGCAGAAAAAGCCCCCACTCGTGGCCAGCGATCTCACTTGCTTCTGGGTGTGGCCAAGCCACAGTGGGTCTCCTCCTCTCGGAGAAGCTGGGCTCAGGGAACACAGAGGTGGCACATGGGTGGATGGGAGTGGGCAGAGGTATGGCAGCAGGCAGGTCCCACAAATGCTGAGATCTGCCACGCTTGTGAACCCCGCAACACCTGATGCTGGGGTGGAGGTGGAGGGTCGTCTGGTTTATTGTTACCACTACTCTTTTCTACCACCGTAGTCCTTACAAGGCTTACAGCAGACAGATAACCAGGCAAGGCCCAGCGTGACCAGGCCCAGACTCCTTCCAGAAAAGACATGGCACAGGTACCCAGCAGTGTGGATACAGTGTCTTGAGCCTCACGGGGCACCTGTGGCTGGTCTGCTGTGGAACCATGAGCCAGTGTTGGGGAGGAGCAAGGTGGGGCGAGGCAGGCCTTGCCCAGGTTGGCAAAGGTGACCTGAGTCAGCCCAAGGCTGCTCCAGGCTAGTGAGTCACCCAGCTCCCCACGTGAATGGACATCACAGCCGCCCAGCCCTGTGCTGCTCGGACCTCAGCAAGGAACCACCTCAGGGGCGCCATGGAGAAGTTCTTGTCATGGTAGGCCCCAGCCTCCCAGGGGTCCTGCAGAGGTAGGGGCTCATGGTGGGAATCTGGGGGCAGCTAGGAGCTATGAAGGGCATCTGGGCCTCGGGGTCAGAGGACTGGGTCCAATCTGGGGCTCCCAACTCCTGGCTGCATGACCTCAAGCATGTCACTTCTCTGTAAAACTGGAACCACAAGCGCTGACTTGCAGGATCTGTGCAAACAACAAGCTCAGTGCCTGGCATATGAGTGGAGATCCATGGGGCTGGGTGGCTGCCACCCACTCCTGGGATCTCAGAGACCACCACTGGAAGACAGTCCCTAAAATTCAAAGGAGAAGCTCCAATCAGACTTGGGCACGTGCCCCTCAACACCTTCCCACTTGACTCCCCCAGCCTGTGCTCCCCTCCGTGGGCTGTGGCTCCACCTGGCTATGCCCTGCCATTGGACCCTACCCCATTTTGCATCCTCTGCTCTCAGCCTCTTCCTCTCCCTGGCTGGGGGATGTGAGCAGGAATGGCTCAATCAGGATATAATCGTTTTTAATTAACGTGCGGATCATTTCACAGCCTGATCTCCTTGGAGACCAGAGGGAAGACGGTCTTTTAAGATTTTCTTTTGCCTCCCTCAACCCCACCCCTCCCTGTCGAAGGCCTTCCCTCTCTTCGCCCACCCAGCCACAACCTTGAAGCAGCACAAAAGCCTGATGCCTGGATCCCTCCTGGGGCCATTAGGAGGAAACAGTGTGCTCACACACAGACATGCACACATGCATGCACGCGCACACACAAGACCGAGCTCGGGGGCACCCTCCCTTCCCCCCAGAAATGCACAAATGGGATCAGAGACTGACACCACAGAGGGGACACACACAGGGACGGACACACACACACACAGAGGCACGCATGCACAACACATGCCCAAGCTGGAAGGCACACAAACCCCTTAAGCAATACACAAGCAGGATCAGAGGCACACGGATGGTTGGTGTGCTGCAGGGGAGGGGGCAGAAAGTCCCTGTCCTCTGATGGGGAATACTGTCTCTGCTTCAACTCTTTCTTCCCTCTCTCTCTCCTTCCCTTCTCCCCGGGGGGTCTCCTGGGGTGAATCTCGGGCCAGAGAGAGATTTTAAGGTGCACCCCATCCCCCACACCACTCCTTCATACCTCATATCTGTGCCAACATCTGCCTCTGCTCCTGAACAGATCCAAGGTTAGGTCTCTGACAAGTAAACTGAGGCATGGGGCAAGGACGCAACCACTAGGGTCCCCAGAGACCTACAGTCCCACCCCCTCACTGCATCTGCTTTGGATCCTCAGCTTTTTGTCTGGAGAATGGGATGGCAAAGAGGAAGGGGAACTGTGGTGGGCAGGTGGGGCGGGCAACAGGGAGCCTGTAGCCGCCAGATCCCGTGAACACACCCAGTCGGGGGTGGCCCAGGAGGGCCGAGAAGCCTGTCTGGGGCTCCAGCTGGCGGCACCAGGGGTAAGCTTGGGGTCTCAGTCCCCCCATCTGTGAAATGGGCAGGGTCAGCCTTAAAGACCTCAGGAATCTTTTCAGATGCGAAAACCAACATGGCAAATCAGTAGCTGGGTCTTCGCTGCTGCATAGCCCAGCAACTGCTGTGTGACCTTGGGACTCGCTTCCCCTCTCTGGGCTCTGGCTTCCTCTTCTGTCAAAGGAGGGAGGTCAGATAGGTGATTCATTGCCAAGGCTCTTTTCGGCTCTGATGGAAGGTTCTAGATTGTGGGGAAGGAAAAATAGTGTCCCATTTATCCAAGGAAAACTAGAGAAGCCGTTTCTCCCACTGCAGGCAGTCGGAGCCTTCGGCATCAGCAGTGGCATTTTGAGCAAATCATTTTAAGTATCAAGAAAAGCTATACAAAATATATCCACTACATCATTCATCAGGAACATCCAGAATGTTGGACAAAAGGGGAATATTAAGTAAATTATGGTACATCCACTTGATTGGAAAAGCCTGAAGACATTAACCATGGTGTTTATGAAGCATTGGTTACAAAACAGGAAAAGGCTCACATTATGCCGGCAAAGCAAGCAGGATATACATCTGAATATAGAGAATGACGACAAAGTCTTTAAAAAACAAACCAACCACCGAGTCGAAAAGGACTGGGAAGAACTACATCAAAATACTAACATTGTCAGAGCCCTCTAAGACTGTCAATAACCTTATTTTTCTCTTTTTTTTTCAGCTTTTCTGTGAATGCTATTTTACAATATATATTTCAAAAAGGTTTAAAAAAAACCACAAGGGCTAGATGCTTCCAATTGAGAAACTTTCCCTTTTCATTCATTCACCACTGATTCATTCACTCCATTTAGCTGGACAAATACAGGACACTGTGAGTGACTGCTGTGTGCTAGGCCCTGGGGGCCCTAAGGAAGATAGGAAGAAAAAGGTTCTTGAAAACGGAAACTCGAGGTCTGGGGAAGGGAAGGCAGCCCCATAAATAAGGGGGTTGTGCCATAGGGCATGAGCAGCAGTGAATCCCTTGCTGGTTTCAGTCCTGCCTCCCAGAGCCTCACCCAGGCCTCCCTCAGCCACTAGGGTCTCATGGTCCAACCTATGGGTCAGACACCCACATTTAATGGCCAGGCCTGCAGCTGAGTGGGTGTGTGGGAAGGGTGGGGAGCAGGGCAAAGCCTTGCTCAGGAGTCTGGGCAAAGGGTAGAAGGGCCTCTCCCTTCCCTCTACCCCAGACCCATGGCGACTTCCCTTCCAGTTTCCGATGGCCCTGGCTTGTAACCCCTCTTCCCTCCGGGCCACAAGGCCACTGCTTTGCTGCCTGACCCTCTCTGGGCTCTCATTTCCGCCTCCCACAAGGTCCCTGAACAAGGCACCACCCAGCCGAGTCCTGTTGGGCTTTGAAGGGGGAGTCCAGGGTCTAGAATCTGCTAGCTCCAGTCAGCCGGTGTCACACTGTTAGCATGTCAGAGGGTCCAACAATGTTTCCCTGCTGTGTGGGGGCTGACAAATTTCTGGGGGAGGGTTAACTCTTTCTATTCCTGGACCAAGAGACAGAACAGCCTGAACACAGTCTAGCCGCCCCCCTCCCTCTCAAAAGGTGCCTCCCCTCTCCCCCAGGAATTCTCTTTTTAAGTAGGGAGAGGAATTGCCTTCACCTGCCTGGGTTGCCAGCTTGGTGTCTCTGGACCTGGCTCTCTACCCCAGGAAGAAAAAGGGGAGGGGGCACCTTGATAGCCTGGCTGCTTGCCTGGGAATCCAATTAAGGCTGATTTCCACGGGCTCTCCACCCCCGCAACGCCAGTCCAGCTAGCCCTTCGCTCTTCCACCTCTCCCCTTCCTCTGCATCCCCCGATGGAGCAAAATAATCTGGGGGCTTCTGCGTGCCGGGAAGCCTCTGACCCGGTGGTCCCCCCTTGGATTGAGTCCCCGCCTCAGAACTGCGGTCCCCAGAAATTTTCTGGGCTAGCATTCCCTTCCCATGGCCTCAATGGGAAAGGAGAAGTTCCCACCACTCTCCTCCCCCTTCATCCTCCTCTCCTCCCGGCCCTGAGGGAGGGGTCGAGGCGTCCGGATCTCCGGGTCACCGGAGCAGCGTCTGCTGAGGATCGCAGGAGACAAACACTTCGTCACACAAGCACAGCACCCTCGGGATCACCTCTTTCAGCCCGCATTGTACCAGAGGGGAGGAGGCTGAGGTTGGAGGGGCCCTCGACGTGCCTGAAGTCACCAGCCAATCACCAAGCCCAAGAGGGGCTGCCATCCACGACCCCCGGCCGCGAACCCAAGCCTGCCGCCTTCGCCGCGCCCACCCCCCAGCCCCCTCCCTGCCCCGGCGCCATCCCAGGTCGACGTCTCTAACCAAAACAAGCCCCTCCCCCAGGAGCCCCCTCCCCCTGCCCGAGGCCCAGGGTCAGCAGCCCCAGGAGGGACCTCCTCCCCACCCCACTCCCCCCGGCAGAGGTGCGAGATTTCATTGTCAGCCTGGCCACTCGACCGCGCGTGAGACTGGGGCGCAGGGCAGGGGGGCCACTGGGCAGGCTCTCGTGCGGGGAGTGGGGAGGGGTCTCCAGGGGAAGTGTTTGAAGCCACTCCTGCAGCTCTGTCCAGATCCGGAAGCCGCCGAGGAAGGGAGGAAGGCGGGGGTGGGGAGAGCGCGACCTTAAGCGCTGGCGGGCGGCGAGGAGGGGCCGCAGCGGCCCGAGGAAGCGCCTGGAGGCGTCAGGGGCGCCGAGTCCCCAGGGAGGCCGCGCTCTCGGGAAGTTTCCCATCGGTTGCCCGGAGCAGGATCGGACGCGCGGATCGCCCTCCCCGGTCCGACCAGCTTCGGGGCGCAGATTGCGAACTTGAACAGAACTCCTTCCTTCTCTGGCATCTCTCGCCTCCCCATCCGTGGCCACCAGCCCCGCCATCTCAGCCCCATGCCTTCCGCCAATACCACATTCGTCAAGACCGCTCACCAATGCTTTGTGGAGGAAAGGGGAGGGGGGAATCCCCAGCACAACCAAACTGTGGCCAAAAGCGGCCAAAAAAAAAAAAAAAAAAAGGAAAGAAAGAAATTCCTTCTTCTGAGACCGATTCCCTCAACCAGCGTGGAAAACCCCCAAACATGCAAATCCGCAACTCCAGCCAAGATCCTGGCGCCGCGGGAGGGGTGTCCGCGGCGGGCGGCGACCCCAGCCTGCAGCCCCGGACTCCGGGCAGGTCTGCGCGCGGCGGCGGGCCGGGGGCTCGGGGAGCCCTGGCGCCCACAGCAGCCCGCCGAAAACACAAAGCTCCGCCGCCAACAATACCTGCGGGCTCCTCCTGGGTCTCCCGGGCGCCGGCGCTGCGCGTC
Source organism: Homo sapiens (assembly GCF_000001405.40). Classification (NCBI taxonomy): domain Eukaryota; kingdom Metazoa; phylum Chordata; class Mammalia; order Primates; family Hominidae; genus Homo; species Homo sapiens. Next base: position 17,724,115 of record NC_000017.11, on the reverse strand, counting down.
TCGCCGTCTCCCTTTCCCCCGCCGTCTCTCTCCTCTCGCGCACGCTCTCCCTCTCGCCTCTTCCAGAACGCGGTGGCCAGATGAGATCCTTGGGAGAAACAAATGTGAGCGCTCGCACGAATCCTTTCTCTCGCCAGCCGCTTGCAACGGCCCCAGGCTCGCTCCTTTCCCTCGCGCTCCCGCGCGCGCCGCGCCTCTCGCGCCCCGCGTTTCCTTCTTAGCAGCCCCTGCGAGCGCCCTCAGTAGCCATTATTCACAGGCCGCCGGGGGTCAGGAGGTAATTAGAGACGGCCCCGTGGCCGCATCCACTCGGTAAGCGCGATGCTGGCGCGGGGCGCGCGCGGGGAGGGGCGCGCGATGAGGGGGCTTGGCTGCGCGCAGCCCGCGCCCCAGACTCGGGGGAAGGGAGGAGGAGGAGGGGGCAGGGAAGGAGGAGGCGGGCGGGGGGGCGAGAGATGAGCTCGGGAAGGGAGCGGGAGGAGGGGGCGCCGGGGAGACGCTCCCTTGGCTCTCACCGCGGGGCCTCGGGGTCACCCGCTGCGAGGCTCCGACGCGCTTAGGGACGGGGGGTGTGAGTGTAAGAGTGCGCGCGCGCGCAGGCGTGTGTATGTCAAAGATAGAGGAGGGGAGGGAGGGAACGCTTTAATATTTTTCCAGTGACTTACGAGCCTGCGGGTGAGGTCTTGGCTGTGCGTTTAGGTCCGTGTGTGTATCAATGTGGCTGTATATTTCTGGTCTGTCCTACGAGTGAATGTCACGGGGCTTGGGGGGGGGGGTCTGGATACAAGCTAGTGAATGTGTTTCTGGGTCTCAGTTTGACTGAATGATGTGGCGCTGCGTGGGGCTGTGTCTGTGCGATTGTTTATAGGGGGGTTGTGTGACTCCGTGAGGTACTGCGTGGGTGGGATTGCGCCTGTGTGCGGTTGTGTGTATATGGGATTGTGCCTGCGTGGGGCTGAGTGTCCAGAGGGCAGTTGTGTGGCCATGTGGGCCTGTTTGCGAGTGGGCTGGTGGGTGTGTGGGGCCGTGGGGCTGCGCATGTAGGGGCAGTGCGCCTGTACGGGGCTTTGGGTTAACTTAAAGGGCTGTGGTGGGTATCTGCAGGCGGTTGCGTGTGTGGCTGGATCTGCGTGGGGTCTGAGGCCTGGCGGGTGGGGGTTAGTCCTCCTGGCGTCGGGGATCGCACCGCGGCAGAAGAGCCGCTTAAGGCGCCAACAGGCAGCGCCGGGGTCGCGGCGCAGCGCGACGTGTAGTAGCGGTGGGGCGTAGAGAGAAGGCGGAGAAGAGGGGGGCCTTCATCGCGCGCCTCCCCTAGCCGCATCAGAGACGCAGCTTGGAGATCCTGCCGCTTGCCGGCCCCGCGGTCCTAGAAGCACAGGGTTTGGGGGACCCTCCCCAGCTGGGGGAGACGCCTACTGGCCGGGAAGGCAGCGAGAACTGAGACTCGATGATTCTGGCGCAGCACAGAAGCATGCGGCAAGGACCGCCAGGAGAGGTGGGTCGCGGCCCGGAGACAGCCGAGAACTAGGCCGAGACAAAGAAGAGCGGGACCGGGGACCTTGGGGCCAAACCGCGCCTCTAGGTTTCCCGGCGGCCGAGGGGAGCGCACTCAAGGCCGGCGCGTGGAGCCTGGCGGAGGTGGCGCGGGCCCCTCTTCGCTGCAGTCCCAGCAGCCGCTCCAGAGCCCTGGGGGCACGTAATTAGGCGCCACAGGGCAGGGCCACGGTGAGGGGGGTTCTGAGTGCAGCTGGCGGGCGCCGAGCCCCGGGGCTGTGATTGAGCGCTCAGCTGGCCCGCCCCTCTCCCGGCCGCTCACCGCCCACGCATGCATTCATTCATTCATTCATCCATCCATCCGTCGCTGCATCCACCCACCTTTCTATCCATCCACGTGTCCATCCATCTACCGGAGTTACTGCACCAGGGATCACACAGATGTGTCAGCCCTGGCTCGTCCCACCACTTTCTCCCGCTGGCCAGTGAGTCTGTCTGTCTCATTCTCCTCGGCCTCCACCTCCACTTCCTCCTACTCAGGCCCCTCTGCTCTGGCAGGAGCACACCGACCACCTGTCACACTTGGGTTTTGCTGCTCAATGATGTCCCAATCTCCCTTCTCCACCTACTAACCCCCAACCCTGCCCATACTAAAGTCTCTATACATCCTACAGCCAATCCTGCCCATCATTACATGCCAGGTGGGCCTCGGGCACCTTTTTTCTGGCATTCCCTGAAGCCTGGTAGCAGCCCTCCCTACCAGAAGTGAATCCCTAAGGTCCTGGGCAGCCCCGCCCCACTCGGGGCTCCCCATATTTAAAATGTCAGACTGCTTAGTCTCTGTCTTCAATATCTGTCTTGGGGACCAGGGTCACTCAGTCCTGAGGCTGCTGAGTGAACCAGGAGATGCGCATTGTGTATACCATTAAGGTGGCAACGGAAAAGCCCAAATGCCCGCTGGGGATCACCAACCTGGCTGGAATGTCTTCCCTCCCCTCCTCAGTTTCTGAGTGATGAGGAGGAGAAAGTCCCCCAGGTGGTTGATGACAGCCCACACAATCAGGTCCCCACCAACTCCTGCCCTCAGTCCCAGCCTGTTGCCCCACTCACATTGCCCCTTGCAGTTCCTGAATTCAGCAGGCACACTCTCACCTTAGGACCTTTGCACTTGTTGATCCATCTGCCTGGAATGCTGTTCCCTACCTTCTAATATACCATGTAATTTACATATTTAGGTATCTGGTAGGTATTTTTGTCTGTTTGTTCCTTGGTGTATCTTCCGTATTTGGAATGGTTCCTGGTATACATTCCATAAGCACTTGTTCAATGAATGAGTGAGTGAATGCATGGAACAATGAAGTTAAACCAAGCCCTCCTCCCATAAGCCTGACCAAGCCCAAGTTTTCTCTTCTTTGAGCCAACAGTTCCCCTGGATAAAATGGGGGTGGGGTGGAGCATGGAGAACATCAGGGCCAGGACATGTCGGAAGACTCACCTGAGGTCGCTCAGTGAGTACCCTTCACAGATTCCAGGTCGCTCAGTGAGTACCCTTCACAGATTCCAGGTCGCTCAGTGAGTACCCTTCACAGATTCCAGATTCTGGGGATGGGTGTAGAGGGATGGGATGGTGGTGGGTGGCTTATCTCAAAAAAGGGCAGAGCCTGTCATTTGTTCCAGGGGCCTCTCTTGTTCCCTGGCTCCCTGGGGACTCCCTGGAGCTCCTGGGGCAGTGGTACGGAGGGATCTTGATTCAGCAGGGCTGCCATTCACATCTGCCAGAGGGTGATGGAAACCCTGACCTGGCCAGGGCCCTTCCACAAGTGGTATCATGGAGAGTCACAAGACAGTACCCCAAGGTCAGGATCTGACCATCCCCTAGAGGAGAAACCCAGGCTGAGAGCCTGCAAAGAACTTGCCAAGACCACAGCAACACAATCGGATCCCATCCGACTCTCAATTTCAAGATTCTTTGCTCACCTCCACCAAGCACAGTGCATGGCGTGTGGCAGTGCAGCAGAATGGAGTGGCAACCTCACAATTCAAACCTAAGTGTGCATGGACCCCAAAGCCTTGCTTACTCCATCAGACCCTACTGGCAGGATTCCATGGGATCATGGTGCCAGCAACCAGCACCCAGCACCCACAAATGTTGCTGGAACACCAGCAGAGGAGGCTGCCTGGCTGGCAGGCTTCCTGCTCCCTAGGTTCTGATTTCACCTTTCACCAAGAGTCTGCCCCAGGGGAATTAGGATCCTCCCTCCTCGCTGGGATGGTAGGGGTGCTCACAGGTTTTAAAGGGCCCAGTCCTTCCTGGTGAGGTGAGGCTGTGTTCTGGAGAACCTAGGTCTGGACATGTCAGCCCTTTTGTTTGCCAAGCACTATCTCAATAGCTGCTTTCATGCAAGTGTGTGTCCAGATGCCATTCCAGAGCTAAATAGTAAACAGGAGCTGTTGACCAGAGAGGCAGGGTGGGTAGAGGGCTGGGGACTCTAAGCAGGGTCCTAGGGAATGCAGGCAGTGGAGCCAGCCAAGGACAAGGCTCACTGACAGGCCACCAGGGACACCCAGGTGGAAACAAGGGACGGGGAGGCCCATCAGGCCAGGCTGGTACACTAAGACCCAGAAGTCGCATTCAAGCTCAGCCCTGGTCTGGTAAGCCTCACGCTGGAAGCCTGCAGGCCTGAGGTCAGATGTGGGCCAGGTTTTAACATCTATTCCACATGTTTATTGAGTAGTGGGGCAGCAACTTCAAATCTCTATGTATCTCCCCCCGCCCCATCAGTCAGCCTCATTTGAGAGACTGGATCACTGAGGTCCAGGAAATGCACTTGCTCCCAGTCACGTAACTTGAAGGTGGCAAAAGTATGCATCCATTGGCTTGGTACATATTTACTGAGCACCTACTAGATGCCAGGCTCCATTCTATGTGTTGAGGATTCAGAGCAAGGAATGAGACAAAGCTTTCATTCTAGTCTTGACAGACAAGAAACAGAATGAATAAGTAAATGATGTAGTATGTTACCTTAGGTGAAGCGTGCTATGGAAAAATAAATAAAGCCAAGGAAGCGGGCTGGGAGCATCTGCAGGGGCTGTTTTTCTACACTGAGTGGTCAGAGCTCATACTTAAGAGCATTTGAGAACACACTTGACAGACAAAGGTAGTGAGGCATGCAGCTGTCTGGGGGCAAAGCTGTGCAGGCAGAAGGAAGAACAAGTGCAAAGACCCTGAGGCAGCAGCCAGGCTGGGATTTTTGAGGAATGGCCAAGAGGTTAGTGTGGCTTGAGGGGAGTGAGCAGAAAGAGATGTGGGCAGAGAGGACGGGGGGCCACACCTACAGGGGCTTGCACACACACCATTGTAGGGACTTTGGCTCTTAGACTGAACGAGATGAGGCATTTCTGCAGTGTTTTGAGCAGGGATGGGACACGCTTTCCCTTGGGTGGTCAGAGTTTCTCCCTGTGAAGAGGGCAGATGTGGGGCCAGGGCAGGAGCACAGAAGCCTGCATCCTACACTAGTCCAGGTGGGCAATGATGAGGCCTGGCCAGGGTGGGGCCGATGAGAAGGGGTCGGATTTTGGATTTATTATGAAGGCAGGGTTAGCAGGATTCACTGATGTATCTTGCCTGAGCAACTTGCAAGAAGGATGGATACGGCTGCTGGGATCTGCCATTCATGCTAGTGGGGCTGGTGGGAGAGCAAATGCCTCAGGAAGGAACCCTGCCCCTCCTCAGCCTCCACTGTACCTGCTCCAACACATTAATGCCCTTCATGCCAATGTGGTAGCTTAGAAAACTGCTGAAGAGGCCCCATTTTTAATGACTGTACCAGGAGCTGTGCCCTGTCTGAGTCAGCAGGGGGTCATCTACCCCAGTCACCTTCCCAGTTTCCCAGCCTTAATATCCCCTTTTTATGAGCATGTTGATCCAGGTCTGCAGCTGCCAGCCCTCCTGCCCCCATGGATCCGGTTTTGTCTCCCAGACCAACTGCCCACACATATCTCCTTTGGTATACGTTTATGGAACCCACCATGTTCCAGGCGTTGTTCAGGGCACTGTGGGACAGCAGGGAACAGAACAGGCATCCCTGCCCACATGGGGCTGGCATGGTCCTTCAACAACTACAGCCCTGTTCCCTTTTCTCCCCATCAAAACCCTCTAACGCCAAGCACTTCCTGAGCAAGCTGGGGCTACCATGTGAAACTGAGAGCAAAACACTCGAGAAAATGCTTTTCTTTGAAAGCAAAGAGCTTGATATTTTAGCTGATGGGGGTGGAGAGCATCGGGAGTACAGAGATCCAAGTTCTCTTACATTTTTGGAACATTTTCAAATGTTCCAAACATTTGAATGTCCCCTCAGTGTCCCAACTCCCCTGATTCCAGGATGGAGGCTAATCTGGCCCACCCACCCCGACCCATGCAGGTTCTGGCTGGAGTGACGGCAGAAGGCTTGCCTTGGTGGCCACCTCCCGACCAGGGGAAGCAGGGGGAGAGGGGAGAGGGAGTACATCTCAGTCTCTGCCCTGGGCTGGGGTCTGCACAGGAATGCTGGTGCTGGGCCAAGACCGAGGCGTCTTCTGCCTGCTTTTGATCTGAACGACCTTTGATCTTTTCTGTCTGTAGTTTTCCCTGTCATCTGTGTGTCTGTCCATCCTTCCCTACTTGACTGCAGGAGGCCATCCCATGAGGTCAGTGCAGCTTCAGGCTCAAACAGGGCAGAATCCGAGTCTAAGCCCCCCTTGACCCCTGCTGTGGACCCTTCACTGGACATGGGCTCCAGGAAGACGGCCCCCGCCTGCAGGCGTGTGACTGGGCCTCCATGCAGCCTCCTTCTCCTGGGGCATCCAGACTATGGGTATTCATCTTCCTTCCTCAGCGCCAGCGTCTGAGTGAAGTCAAATCTGCTGAACTTAAAAGAGGCAAGGCCCTGGGGTTCAGAGGGCCCAGGTGGGGGGCAGGAGGCTGGCTGGGGGAAAGAGAGGACAGGGCAGCTGCAAAGGAAGACAGATTGGGGAGTGGGGAGGATGACAGCAGATAAAGGAGAGGGGAAAGAAGGGTAGGAGAAGAGAGAAGGAGGGTTATAGAGCCACAGGGTTAGGCACCAGAGGGTGCCTGAGGAAATGCACTGAGAGGCAGGCAGGGGTCTTCTCTCAGTCTCACTTGGGAAGCACTGCCCTGCTCACCCTGGCACGGTCCTGGGCACCCTTGGTTCCTGGCTACAATGAAGCCACACACTCTGGACACGTTGGGCTGGCTGGGGTTCTCTGCCATGGCCATGGGAACAGCTGGGCCCAGGCCTGCTTGGTAGCAGGACTCACAGGCGCTTTCTTCTCTCTGCCCCTTGTTCCCAGGGCTCAAACTTACCCCTGGGCCAGGAAGCCACCAAGGGGCTGGGGACAGTGGTGTGGCTGAGGCCTAACCTGTCTTCTGTGCCATACAGACTGATCTGCAACTGCAGCCACAGACTGACCCTTAGCCATGGCAGCAGCCACATTCTGACTCTTGACCCTGGTCCCTGTGATCCCTCCCCAATCCCAGCAACAGACTGACTCCCAGCCTCTTCCACAAATGGACTTCTGACCTCAGGCACAGGCCCCAGCCACAGACATCTAGCCACTGCTATAGACGGACCTCTTAGCCTGCTACAGCCTAAGCCTCAGCCCCAACGCTGGTGGGGTCCCCCAGTGGTGGGCATCCCGTGGGCACATTCCACCAGGCCACCCAGGGACATCGGGATGGGCCTGCTCCATGCCATCCCACCCTGAGGTTAAGTGGCAACATCAGCCCCACCAGTGCCCCACGCTAAGCCCACGGGGCCGTGGTGACCACAACAGAGTCCAGCAGCACCACACAGGAGGCCCCTCCATCCTGCCCTGGGCCAGCATATGTGGGCCAGACACATGTGGGCCAGACACACACGTAGACACACCCAACACAAAACACACCCAGAGTCAGACAGAATCACACAGTTACCTCATACGCAGCCCCCAGACCCTCCATACAATGTGCACTCAGACACACAGGCACCACACACATGAAAAGACACAAAACCACATACACATGCACACAGACACGTGTACACACACACGTACAGAACCCTGTCCCCCCCTCAGGCTGGGCACACACATCCAGAAACATGGGCATATACATCTGTGTGTACACACACTCATGCAATCATATAGACATACACACACAGCTACATGCAGAGATGTATACACATATACACATGTATACATATAAATGACACATGCACATGCAAGAACACGGAGATTTCTCTATGTAGAAGTCCACACACACCCAAGTGTCAGTCACCTGCCTTCACACATCTTTTGTTCCCTGGCCCCAGGGCTCATGGGTATCTCTGGGTGGCTTAACCACCCCACAAGTGACCCCTCCAGCCACTTCCCAACTCAGCTCAGAGCTCCATGGGCTTCTGCCCTCCCTGGACTTGATGGCAGCAGGGATGCTCCTTCCAGGCCTTCTCCTGGCCGCAGCTGGGTGAAGACCTCTCAAGTCCCCTGACTTTGTCCCGACTGGTGGCTACAGCTCCTGCCTGGACTCAAGCTGGCTATGACATGCCCTTAAGTCTTTGGCATGACTTGGACAATTCCCTCTCTGCTAAGGGAAACCCATTCCCCCCGCCATAGTTTGTCATCTGCAAAATGGGTAACAGTGTGTTGCACAGCCTTCCAGCACTCCTCCACTCCTGACATAGGAGGGCACGGAACGGACAACAGGAGGAGGATGTGGAACAGAATATGTACGATTCCCAGGGGCAACTTGGCCCTCTCACAGCCTCCAAGTTCACACCCGCAAAGGGGCGAGGATCGGATCGGGCACAGCCTCTCTGGGGCCAGAATGAGTCCAGGGGAAACTTTGAATGGAAAGCCCTTTCCGGGGGGCATCTGAATCTGTGGAGATCACTCCTGGAAGGATGGAGAAGAAACTGCTGGAAGGTCAGGAGCGGGAGGGACACTTGCTGCTGTGCTATCTGAATTTCTACCATGTGAATGGAAGGGGCCGGGGGAGGCAGAGGCAGAGGAAAGACGCCAATGACCACACCACTCCTCGCACTTCTCCTCCCGGTCTGGTGTCATCCCAGAATGCCCTGGTGGAACCCAGGTGGCTGCACCATGGGAGGGGGTGGCATGCAGAGCTGGAGCTAACTCTGCCAAGCACCCCACATGGAATCCTCTCAGCCATCCTCTGAGGTGAGTGTCCTTAGCCCATTTGAGAGATGCAGACACTGAGGCTCTGCAAGCAGAAGAGAGAGGCATGGGCCTGGGTGGAGCCCAAACCACTGCCCGGTCTCACAGCTTGTCATGGGGCTGCTTATTTACCTTCCACACCAGTGCCCAGCTCAGAGCAGCCCAGCACAGGGACAGTGCAGAGGAAACAGGCAGAGCCCCTGGCTTCAGATGTCCCCTGGCTCTCCAGGAGAGGATTGGGAAAAATGATGGCTCTTGGCCTCCCACATACCTTAAGCCAGGAAAGCCATCCCCTGCTCACCCCCAGTGCAATTCCTGGCTTGGGCCTGTCCTGGCTGTGTGCCCCTGGGCAGTTCTACACCCTCTCTGAACCCGTTTCCAGAGCTGAGATGAAGGACTGCATTTCTGCTCCTGCTTACCTAACAGAGGGTGATGTGGGTGGGATGGGAAGCAGCATTCTAAACTGGGAAGTCCATGAGGTGGAAGGCGACATTACTACCTCTCTCCCCAAGCTGAGCAAGAAAGCTCCTAGGCCGAGACAAGGAGAATCCTCCCAAAGTCAGCACCTGCAACGAGGCAGCTTGGAGAGCAGACCTGCGGACCAGACCCTTCACCCACCACGACAAGTGGATGGCCCGAGCTCAGCCCACAACCAGGATTTCCTTCCAGTCCTGCTTCTGTGCCCTTCTGCAGGGGAGAGGCTGCCTGCTGCTCAGCTTCCTTATTCGACCCACAGCACTCCCACAATGTGTGCCAGGAGGCTCGCACCCAGCTGCTTCCCGTTACGTTTCTGAGCCTCAGGTTTTTCACCTTTAAAATGGGGAAGAACAGCAGGGCCCGGGATTTGCTGGTGATAAATAGAAATGAGTGCATAAACGTCACTCAGAGTTGGCCACGCCACAAGCCCTCCGTAAATGTTAGCACTGATGATTATCATTCCCTCCTGGCCTATGGAGAGGTTTGAGTTTTCAATCTCCAGGATTAGTATCAAATTCCAATTTCACAGCGATGGCCTAGACACTGAATGTGGAAATCCTACTTGGTTATGCCACCAGGGCACAGGCCCACCCACGCTTTGTCCCGAGAGCTGAATGACCACCGACACAGGCTCTGGGCTGCTGGTCCTCCAGTCTCTTCAGAACCTCCCAGTGGCCAAGGTAGGCAGGGAGAGGCCTGGGAGCCCCCTTCTGCAGACCCAGAAACTGGGGTTCAGAGAGGGAGCTGAGGAAGCAACAGGAAGACAGATTTCACCTCCATATAAGGAAGAGCTTGCTAGCAGGCAGGGCTGCCCAGAAATGGAAGGAGGGAGCTGCTCGGGAGGTGGTGAGCAACCTGCGGCTGAAGGCATGCAAGCAGAACAGGGCAGCCTCTGGGTGGAGGCATCGTGGGCGGCTGGGACACTCTCCAGGGGAGGGCCGCTGGGATCTCTGGTCCTGTGACTTGACCAAGGCCATGTGAGCAGGAATGGAATTCCAGAAGGTCAGAGACGCGGACCAGAGCAAGCTCCTGCTCCCAACCTCCCAAGTGAAAGCCATGCAGCTGAATGGATCCACAAGAGCTGGAGAGAGAGGCTGAGCCCCTCCAAGTGGATCCCCCATCTCTGGCCCTAGTCACAAAGTCTTTATGATTTTAGAGAGAAATGCCTACTTTTAAGTTTTAAAAATTGAAAAGTACACAGAAAACAAACAAAATCCAGAATCCCCTTCACCCTATGACAATTACTGTGAATATTTCCTTACAATCTTTTTAAAATTTTATTATTTATTTATTTTTTGAGATGGAGTTTTGCTCTCGTTGCCCAGGCTGCAGTACAGTAGCAAGATCTTGGCTCACTGCAACCTCCACCTCCTGGGTTCAAGCGATTCTCCTGCCTCAGCCTCTTGAGTAGCTGGGACTACAGGCGTGTATCACCACGCCCAGCTAAATTTTTGTATTTTCAGTAGAGATGGGGTTTTACCATGTTGGCCAGGCTGGTCTCGAACCCCTGACCTCAGGTGATCCGTGCACCTCGGCCTCCCAAAGTACTGGGATTACAGGCATGAGCCACTGCAGCTGGCCTATTATTATTATTTAGAGACAGGATCTCACTATATCACCCAGGCTCTAGTCTTGAACTCCTGGGCTTAGGTGATTCACCTGCCTTGGCCTCCCAAGCAGTGGGGACCACAGGCACCATCACGCCCAGCTCCTTGCAATGTTTTCTATGTGCATCCAATTTTGGTTAGAAATCTGGACATGCCTTAAAAAAAATTTTTTTTTTGAGGTATAATTCACTCACTATAAAATTCACCCTTTTAAAGGGGACAACTCAGGGTTTTGGTATATTCATGAAGTTGTGCAACTATCACTGCTACCTAATTTCAGAACATTTTCATCCCCCTCCCAAAAAGAAACCTGTTCCCATAGGCAGTCACCCCCCATTTCCCCACCCCCAGCCCCTGGCAATTGCTCACCTCCTGTCTGTCTCTCTGGATTCGCCTGTCCTGGGCATTTCGTATGAATGGAATCATATGATCTGCAGCCTTTTGCATCTGGGCTGGTGTGTTTTTAATGTACAATTTTCTAATCCTATTTTCACATAGCATTATACACAGTCACCATTTCCATGTTACTACCAAGTCCTTAGAATCAGTATCGTGTTTACTGTTTACACCATGGAGAGGCTTGACCACAGTTTCCTCAGGTCACCCTCTGGTGACTACCCCCTTCCTGTTCAGGCCGCATCATCACTCAGCCAGACAAGTGCAATAGCCCCTTCTGGGCCTCCTAGGCCCATCCTTGCCCCACTCAGCCATTACAACACCCAGACAGAGCCTGTTAAACCAAGTCTGATCCTGACCCTCCCTCCCTAGGAATCCTCCATGGCTCCCACCTCACATAAGACTTAAAACCAAGCTTATACCACAGCCCACAGTCTCCTATGCCATTTGACCTATGCTACCTTCTGACCTCACCTCCTCCCACTTCCCCACCCACTCCCGCTGCAGCCACACAGGCCTCTAACACACCTAGCATAGCCCCACCTCAGGGCCTTTGCACTAGCTGCCCCTTCCACCCAAATGTGGGCTTGGCCTTGCAGCCGCTCTCTGTTCTGGAGCCCTGCTTCCATTTGCTTCCTAACACATATCACCTGATATATGTTTATTCACTGTCTTCTCCCACTAAAATGGCAGCTCCGTCACATGTTGTTTTATTCGCTGATAGAGCCCCGGCACCTAGCACAGAGTTGCAGCTCAGTGACTATTTGGGCTGTTTCCAATAAAATAAGGAATGTAAAAGAACCAAATGCAAAAACCCAAGCGCCCCACAGCGCAGACATTAGAAACTGGTGGTCCTCTGCCTGCGGACATGTGTGGTTTAAACCACACTGTGCCTTTTGTTAACGGAGCCAGCATTTGAGAATCAGGAGAGTTCACATAAAAATCCAAATTCCAGCTTCTCTTGAAAACACATATCTGGTCATCAGGGCCGGACACCGCGTGACAGCCATCAGCAGGCACTAAAGGGCTGGGCCTGGGGACATTCCCACCCACAGGTCCCGGGAGTTGAATGCTTTGTCCCTCCTCGGAGGCCCCAGATGTGGTGCGCAGGAGGAGGGCTTGCCCTGGGACAGAGCCCGGGCCTCACCTCATGCTGCTGCCTGATATCTGGGCCCTAATGCCCCAAGCTACCAATAAGGTCCCACCCACCTTTATTCAAAGACTGGGACCTTCCCAGGGTCCCTACACTTTCTGGGAGCCCTTACAGCCACTGTTCCTTTACGTGAAACTTCATCCTAGGTCCTCTAAGGTTTGCCTCACCTTGTACCAAGACCTGTTGAGGCCTCCAGCACATTTGGAACATACACAGGAGGTGTCCATCCCGTGTACACCTCCCACTTCCCTCCAGCTCCATCCCAGCCTCCCCAGCCCCTGGCAGTGTCCAGCATGCCGTAGGCCCTTGGCTGCCTCTGAAAGGACTGAATGGCAAGCACCCGCCCCCCAACTCCGGGGAGCTGGGAGGACCTGGGGGACAGGGCACACACAGGAGGGTCTGACTTGGGTCACACTCAGTGCCAAAATGCATGTGTTTGTCAGCTACAGTGCACCAGATGCCTCGGGGACACAAAGATGGAAATCATGGGGGACGGGTGCTCCAGGGGTGCTGCGGCAGCCAGGGCCTGTGTGTTTCTGTCGAGGAGGGACAACCCCCAGCCAGGACGTGACCAGAGTTCTTCCAGGGCCTCAGTCGCCCCACCTGCATGCAGGGCTCCCCTATCACCAGCCTCTCAGGCCCCAAGGCTCAGCCCCGCCTCCCTACCCTGGAGAGGTTTTCCGGGTACTGCGGCCCTGCCTTCCCATCCATCAGGATTTTGCTGCATTCCTGTGAGTCATTCTCCAAACAAACCGTGTGAGGGAGAGAAGGGAGCAGGGGAGGGGGAGGAGGCTGGGAAACAAATCAGCCTTACCTCCTCCCTCCCACCTGCCCCCCATCAACACCCCCGCACAGACACATGGGGGCCCTCAGGAGAGCTCTGGAGTACGAGGCTGGCTAGCTTATGCCATGAACTTGCTGTGTGACCTTGGGCAAGAAGACGGCCCTCTCTGGGCCTCTGGAAAAAATGGCCCCAAAGGTCCCCACCTACAGAATGCACAGGCTTCCCAGAGGGCTCTGTCTCAAATGAGGCAGGGCCTTGTGGGAGGGGTGCCCTGGCTGTCTCCACTTTTTTACCTCAGTTTCTCCACCTCTGAAATGAGGAGGGGGCCAGTCCTTGGGTAGCCACAAGGGGCACATCTGCCAGGTGGGGCTGGGTGAGGCCAAGCCACCAGTGCCAGGGCCAGCAGGGCCTCCCCAGGGAGTCCTAGTCTTGGTGGCCACTGTGCTGCCATTTCCCCAGCAACAGCCGAAAGGCCACCACTGGCAGCCTCTGACTCACAGGCCCCCAGGGCCAGGAGGGTCTCTGGGCAGCCCCCTGTACTCTGGGGTGGGGGATGGAGCACTGCTAAAAAGGAGCAAAAACCCCTCCTCATGGCCGCAGCTGCAACTGTGGCCGTATATCCACGTAGGGATGGATGTTGGAGGGTGGGATGGGTACCCCGGGGTCTCCATGGGGCTCAGCTCCCACAAGGGGTCCTGGGTAGGTGAGGGGCGTGTGCTTGGCATGCAGGCAGCCCTTCTCCTTGAAATGCTCTTTTTTTGTGGCTAAAGCCCCCGCTGGGTTCTGATTCTCTGTGAAAAGCAGGCTTCTCAGTCACCTCCGCTGCTGCCACCCTGGTGCCAAGTGTATGTGTGAAAGTGCACGTGACCAGGTGCGTGTCTGTGTGTGCTCGAGGTCTTCAGAATCCTGACATGAGCGTGGCCGGGGCTAGGCGAGTGGTGCAGAGTGTGTGTGTGAGGGTGTGAGAAGAGTGTGGGTGTCCAAGGGTTGACCACCCATGGTGGGCAGGTGAGCATGTCCGTGTACTGTGAATGAGCGTGAGGTGCGCCGCCACAGGGCTAGCATCTAGGAATGTGCGCACGCCTGTCTGCTGTGCAGGTTTCCTCCTGAAGCACCAGCTCTTGGAACTGCCTCCTCCTGGGTGCTCATTCTATCTGGCTCCATGAAAAACAGGTTTCCAAGATTCTGGAAGCTGCACCCCAGGCCCGCACGGAGCTGATCTGGGGGCCCCTTAAGGTTCAGAGGAAAGCTCCAGGCCCCGGCACAGACAGTGGCCCTGCTACATCACTTTGGACCTAGTGCTGGGGTTCCCCCTCCCCGAGGCCCAGCAGCTCCTTGGCCCAGAGAAGGGAGCTCAGGACCAGAATGAGGCCAGGGGCCTGGGGGCAGACCCAGGGAAGGGAAGGAAAGAGACCTAGTGGGCAGCTGCCCAGGCTGGAACTGCAAATGCCCCACTGTGACATGTATTTTGGGGCAGCTGTGGAGAGGGTCAGCTTCCAGCCAGGACTGACTGTGGTCAACCCAGCAGGGAGGCCGAGGCAGGCAGGGGCCTTGGGAGCCTGGAGGGGTGGAGAAGAGAGTCGGGGTAGGAGTATTTGGGGGCCAGCAAAGGGCTTTTCTGAGTAGAGGTGAGACCAAAGAAGAGAGACTGAGAGGAGCCCGCCTGAGTATCGCCCCTTGATACGGCAAACAGCAGACAGCAAACAGCAAAGCCGCATGGCCAGAGCCCAGCCAGCTCCAGCTCTGCTCTCCCTAGGTACTCTCAGCCTCACAGCCTCCTCCTGTGGACACAGATGCTACGCCCTCCTTGGGGTCTCTCAGCACAGTGCCCGGCACACTAGGCCCTCCATCAGTCATCATTGTCATAATGATGGTCCCCGGGTGGCTGCTGGAGCATATGGGAAAAATCCCAGGCCGGGAGCCTGGAATGGGCTCCTCTCCTTCCCTTCCACTCTCTGGGCCTCAGTCTTCCCATCTGTAAAGCGGCATGTCCTGGCCCACTCTGCAACTGAGGATAGGAAAGGCCCGTGGTGGACTGACGAACTGTTCCCTTTGTGCCTGGAGCAGGGGTGGCAGGAGCACGGGACACAGGGTTCAACTCCAAACCCTGGCAGCTGTGAAGCTGGAATGTTTTGGTTGTTTCCGGATGAACTGCAGCATTTGAGCACAAAAGGAGGATGGGTCAGTTATGGTGTCCACTTATGGTGCCCAGCCTGTGACTGGGACCACAGTCTTCTAACTTCTGGACCATTGCTCTGTCCCCCTCACCTTGTCCAGAGGCCCTCAGTCGCTAGAAAGAGAGTGAGCTGCCAGGAGTCACAGGAGGTGTACAAGGAGGGATGTGAAAAAGTAACCCACTCACTCACTGAGTCAAGATGCAACCCAGGGGACCCCTAAGATTCCATGATTCTAGAATGGAGTCCCTAGCCAGGCACTCTAGCACACACCTGTAGTTCCAGCTACTCAGGAAGCTAAGGTAGGAGGATTGCTTGAGCCTAGGACTTTGAATCCAGATTGGGCAACATAGTGAGACTCTGTCTCTAAGGGAAAAAAATGTACATATATATATATGTGTGTGTGTGTGTGTATATATATATATGAGAAGAGAGGACAGGAAGGTGCAAAAGCCAATTCCTTGCTCATTCAATCTAGGCTGATTAGCACAAGTATTGTTGGAGAAAAAAGGGCTTGCTAAGCAACCAGCTTCTCAGAGTTCATCAAGGGGGTCTCCTCCTGGGGAGGGGGCCTGCCTCCCCTCCTGCTGCCACCTCAGGGTCAATATACACTTGGAGAGGACCCAGAAAAATGGCACAGGCTGAAGCACCATCAGAGGGTGGCAGCAGGAGGAAGGAGGAGGAGCAAGGCAGAGGCAGAGACCTGAGAGGCCTGGGGTGCCCATTAACCCATTCCTTGGAGATGGTGGGTGGGGTCAGCTTGGTCGATGTGGCTGCAGCTTCTGAGGTCTGCCAGAGCCTCCAGGAGCCTTCTACTCCCCTTCAAGCTCTGTCTGGCCCCCTCAACTCCTGAGGGAGCCTGTGAGATAGTAAGTCAGCTTGGAGCCTGCCTCTTGCAGTCTCCAGCTCACTCAGAATGAAAGCTAGAGTCTGGCCTGCACGGTGGCTCACACCTATGATCCCAGCACTTTGGGAAGCTGAGGCAGGTGGATTGCCTGAGCTTAGGAGTTTGAGACCAGCCTGGGCAACATGGCAAAAACCCGTCTCTACCAAAAATACAAAAAATTAGTAGGGCATGGTGGCACGCATCTGTGGTCCCAGCTACTCAGGAGGCTGAGGTGGGAGGACCACTAGAGCCTGGGAGGTGGAGGTTGCAGTGAGCTGAGATCATGCCACTGCACTCCAACCTGGGTGACAGAGTGAGACCCTGTCTCAAATAAACAAACAGTCTTCCAGGAACCCTCTCCCCTCTCTCAGTCCCCTCCAGCCACAGTGGCTCCCCTGCTGTTCTTGCAACATGGAAACACGTTCCTGCCTCAGGACCTTTGCACTGCTATTCCCTCTGCCTGCAATGCCCTTCCCTTTGACATTGCAAGGTTCACTGACCTCCCTCGAGTCTTTGCTCACCTGTCACCTTCTCAGGGAGGCCTTTCCTGGCACTCCAATTTAAAACTGCACGCATCTCCCCCATCCCTGAGCCCCTTCCCCACCTACTTTTTTTTCTCACTACATCTATCTTCTTTTTAAAAGTATTTAGTTATTTTCAGAGACAAGGTCTTGCTATGTTACCCAGGCTGGATTCAAACTCCGGGGCTCAAGCGATCTTCCCACCTCAGCCTCCTGAGTAGCTGAGAATACAGGTACACACCACCATGCCCAGCTAATTTATGTATTTTTTGTAGAGGCGGGGTTCTGCTATGTAGCCCAGGCTGGCCTCGAACTCCTGAACTCAAGCGATCTGCCTGCCTCAGCCTCCTGAGTAGCTTAGGACTAAGGAGCATGCCCCAGATTGCTCGTCATTAGCTGCCTGTCTCCCACTAAGACAGGAAGGAGCTCACCAGGGCAGAGATCGCTGTCTGTCTGCTCACCCATGGGCACCTAGGGCAGAGCCCAGCTCACAGTAGGATCTCAATAACTGTGTTTCAAATGCATGGATTAAAACATTCCTGTTACACAAGACCAGCATTCCAATGGTGGAATCTTTAAAAACTTTTCCCCTGTGGGAGTTTCAATTCTTTTTTTCCCCTGAGCCCACACAGAGAAGAAATGTGTGCTTCCCGGCTCCCAGGGCAGGCCCCACCCTCAAACCAATGGTTTGTCTATGGGCAGGAGGGGTGATTCTCACTTCAATGTCCTGTCCATTCACCACCCTACATCCTGGACATCTCCCCTGGATGCCGCTCGGGTGCCCCAACTCTACTCTGATCCCTCAAACTTTCCCCGTCACTGCACAGGGCCACCCCCATCCAGTCCCCGGCTCCCTCTGGCTGCTGGTGCAGCTCACAACCACTGGCCATCCAGCCCTGGGCTTTCCCTGGCCCTGCTCTTCCTCTTCAGACCCATGCCAGCCCTTGTCCACCTGGATCCTTGGCCCAGCTGCCTACCTGGTCTTCCTCCCTTCAGCAGCTGGCCTCTTGTTTCACCTATGCATGCCCTCTCATCATTCAGTGCAGAGCACTGCACACCCCATGACCCAGGGACCAAAGTCCCCCTCCAGCTTGGCCACTACACGGTCCCATCCCTGCTGGCCGGACCCAACTGCCTAGTGCTTCCTGTTACCTGTAGGCCTTTCTCCAGCAGACCCACTCCCCCAAGTGCCATTCCTTCCCTCGCCCCAGCTCTGCAAATCTGACGCCCCACCCCAAGCATCCCATAGGGCTGCTGACCTCTGGGCAAGCACCGTGGCTCTGCAGAATGATCCATAGCTCCCTGCTGGCCTGTGCGCTACCTCAGGGCCTATGAAACAGGTGGTCAAGTGGCGTTTGGTTTTTGTTGCCTTTTTTTTTTTTTTTTTTTTTTTTTGAGACAGAGTCTCGCTCTGTTGCCAGGCTGGAGTGCAGTGGTGCGATCTCAACTCACTGCAACTTCTGCCTCCCGGATTCAGGAGATTCTCCTGCCTCAGCCTCCCGAGTAGCTGGGACTACAGGCACGCGCCACCATGCCCAGCTAATTTTTGTATTTTTAGTAGAGAGGGGGTTTCACCATGTTGGCCAGGATGGTCTCCATCTCTTGACCTCGTGATCTGCCCACCTCGGCCTCTCAAAGTGCTGGGATTACAGGCGTGAGCCACCGTGCCCAGCCTTTTTGTTTGTTTTTTGAGAGAGGGAGTCTTGCACTGTCGCCCAGGCCAGAGTAGAGTGGTGCGATCTCAGCTCACTGCAACCTCTGCCCGCTGGGTATAAGCGATTCTCCTGCCTCAGCCTTGCAAGTAGCTGGGACTGCAAGTGTGTGCTACCACACCTGGCTCGTTTTTGTTTTTGTTTTTGTTTTTGTTTTTTGAGACGGAGTTTCGTTCTTGTTGCCCAGGCTGGAGTGCAATGGCACGATCTCAGCTCACCGAATTTTTGTATTTTTTAGTAGAGATGGGGTTTCACTATATGATGGCCAGGCTGGTCTCAAACTCCTGACCTCAGGTGATCTGCCTGCCTTGGGCTCCCAGAGTGCTCGGATTACAGGCGTGACCCACTGCACCCAGCCAAGAAATGTTTTTGAAGGAATAAATGATGTAAAGAAATTGGTGATAAAGCAAACAAATGAGTGAGAAAATGAGTCAAACAATTATAGAAACAGATTGGTAATAAAGTTCTATTTTTTGACGGGTCTCCTCCATGGCTGTTGTTCTCCTGGATGGACCCCTGGCCGGGGGACAGGCTTGAGTGATGATGATGATGATGATGAAGAATCAGTCAGGATGTGCTAGCCATGTTGCTGTAACAAAACTCTCAAATCTCAAGGGCTCACAACAACAAAAGTTGGTTTATCCTTCACACTACCATCCACTGGGGTAGCAGGGAGGCTCCCTCTCACTGAGCAGTTGCCACCTTGACTTTGGTCTACCAGAGGAAAGTGAGTTCTGTGGATCCTCATGGCCATGAAAGGCTCTGGCCTAGAAGGGACATGTCACTTCTGCTCACACCTCACGGGCCATAACTGGTCACATGACCCTCCCCCGGCCCCCCCACCCAAAAACCACCAGGAAGCACAATTTCCCCACGGGCTTGGGAGGGTGGGGAACTGGAAACTTTGGCCAACATCTCTAAGGACATCTCAAACACCACCACCAATAACAACACAAGCAGCAGAGGCCACGTATTAGCTCCTCCCATGCCCTGGACACCAGGCGAAGGACCTGAAGTGGGAGTTTCACTTACTACTCATGGTAACGTCCTGATGTCAGGACTATGCATATCCTGCGTTCCAGATGAGAGTTAAAGGCTACACAGAAAAGGGACTCACCAAGGTCACAGAGCTCATGAGGATGGAGTTGAGATCGGAACTCCTGTCTGTGTGTGCCAGGCCTTTACACACCCCACTGCCCGGCACGGGTGCCTGGGGAGGCTGGCTGGTGGTTAAGGACTGCCCTG
Organism: Homo sapiens; assembly: GCF_000001405.40. Taxonomy (NCBI): domain Eukaryota; kingdom Metazoa; phylum Chordata; class Mammalia; order Primates; family Hominidae; genus Homo; species Homo sapiens. The sequence continues at coordinate 17,704,460 of NC_000017.11, read as the reverse complement.
GGGAGACAAAGAGCCCCCCACATGGAGGGCCATTCTGACCACCCCACCACAAAGAGCCCCCTCACACTGCCATGTTGTCCACTTTCAGGCGTCCAATGCTAGAACCCCTGGAGATGATGTGGCCAGTCCCAGATTCTGCTGAGAAAGAGACAGGCCCAGAGGGAGCAGTGCTGGAGCCAAGGTCACACCTTGTGCAGGGCTGAAACGAGACTTCAAGTCTTTGTCCACCATGGTCTGAGTGTCCCCAGCTGCCTCAACAGCACTGGGTGTCCAGGGACAGCCTCTGCCTCAGGAAGGCCCCTCAGAAGCAAGGGTGAGCACACGCACTCCACTTTCCTGGCAAGCCAGGCAAGGGCACAATGGTCCACCATGGCAGAGTCCCCAGGCCCTGGCCCATCAAGCCTGCCGCCCTGACTGCTTGGGCCACCCCCCGAGGAGCCGGGCTGCCCTGGTGCACAGTGGCTCACTGCTCCCACGGTCAGTCCCCAATAGGGAGACCCGAGAAGCCTGGAGTGAGGGAAGACCATGCTCTAAGGCTCCCCAGCCAGGACCTCTGAAGACAAGGACTTGGGCCCTCTGGGAAGCCAGACGAAGGTTCTGGGCAGAGTGGAATGGAACAAAAGAAAAGGGGTTGGTGGAGTTTGAAAACAGTCCCAGCTAGGCATGAAGGCTCATGCCTGTAATCTTAGCACTTTGGGAGGCCAAGGCGGAAGGATCGTTTGAGCTCAGGAGATCGAGGCTACAGTGATTTATGATCATACCACTGCACTCCAGCCTCGGCAAACAGAGCAAGCCCCTGTTGCAACTAAAACAGAAACAAAAAGAAAACAGACCCAGCTCTGCTCTGTGACCTTAACCTCTATGAGCCTCAGTTTTCACTATGCTTGTTTTGCCCACCAATGGCCCCCTCCCCCTGAGCCCCAGAGCCGGAGCCAACACCTTTCCAGAGCCACAGGTGGGTCCCCACCCCAAAAAGGTTATGGGAGAACTCCTGCTCCCGACGCTACAAGAATGCACTGCCCTCAGAGAGTCCCTTCCAAAGGTTTTTGGCCTAGGGGCTTGATCAGAAAGCAGTCCCCACCCTGCATGGAAACCCTCACACGCTCTATTCCCCAGGTTTTGCTGATGATTCTGACTTGCAGTGCAGCCTTCCTACGTCAGCCTGGCCTCCCAGCGGGGCAGTAGGGGGCGCGGCTGTCCTCCTGACCCTGACCTGGACAGGAAGTTGGATCCTCCCTAGCCTCCTGTGAGCCCACTCCCTGCCTGGAAGCCTTGAGTCTCCAAGTCCCCTTACAGCCGCTGTCCAACTCCTGGGGGTGGAGGTGCAGGTTGGGAGGAAGAGTGATGGAGCCTCTCCACTGCTTCTGAGCCCTGCTCACTGCTTACTGCCCCAATCATCCAGTCCACAAGCATTTATTGAGCACTTACTACACGTAAAGTACAGTGCTAACCACTGTCAGAGAGATGAAGTTGAAAGGCAGGGCCCCACCTCCTCACGTCTGGCAGCAGCAGCAGATGCATTACTGATGCCGCACAGCTCCGCAGTTACAAACACAGGCTTTGAAGTCACACAGCCCTGGGTTTGAGGCTTAATTTTGCCACCTCGGAGATGAGTGACTTTGAGCTCACTCCTCACCCCGACTGGCCTCAGTGTCTGCATCTGCAAAATGAGATATTAAGAGAAGCCACCTCATGGCTGGTGATAAACTACTGGATACCAAGAGTTTCACATAGCCTGGCAGGGAGGTGCTAAACCCCTGTGAGCCTCATTCCTTGCCTTGACCAGAGCAAGGGCAGAACCCCGAGGCATGCCAGTAGGGACCTCCCTCTAGGTTTCTACCACCTCATTAATCAGTGACGACTGTCTACCCGGCTGTGATGCCACCTGACGCTCCTGGCAGCCTGCCCATTCACCTCCATTTTGTCTGCAAGGACATCTGGGGACAAGAATGGGAGAAGGGGCATGGAGTTGGGCAGCAGGCCCCACTGCTATTAGCCCTGATGGGGTCACTGCTTATCCCCCCTTCCCATATACAGTAGGCTCACAATCATCATCCGAGGCTTGGCCTGGTAGTGAGGAACCCAGCTGAAGATAATAGGCTGCATCCTGGGATGAGGTGGGTGGTACAAGCTTTTGTGCCAACTGAAGGGTCTGAATTTGGTCCTCTTGGCAATAGGGAGGCAGTGAAGGTTGCTAGGCAACAGAGGACCCTCTGCCCACCTCTCCAGCCTCATGCCTCCACACTTTGGAGTGAGCTCAGTTTTTCTGTGGTTGTCCCTTACTCCCTCTCCCCTCATGTCAGCCAGTGTTCTGCCCTAGCCAGGGCTGAACTCCAATTGTTTCCCTACCTGGAATGCTATTCCTGCCAATTAGCTCACACTTATCCTTCCTTCCAGGCTGAGCTTAGAAGCCTCTCCCAGCCTTCCCAGTTTGAGCTCAAAGACTGTTCTCTGCTTCCTTTAAATTGGTCCTTTTTCCATTAGAGGACAAGTATTCCTTTCGAGCGCTGCCTCCCCGACTGGAGTCCTTGGAGGGCAGAGCCCAAGTCTGACTCCCCTCTGTGCTCTCAGCATTGCCTGACACAGGCAGGACCAGGGCTGGGTGGCCTCCCAGTGGGCACTGTGCAATGCTTCAGGCTTTGGTCTCTGAGACGCACAAAGGGAGGAGGGATGGGACTGGAAGGGGCAGAAAGGAGGGGCAACCAGGCATGGTGGTGCACACCTTGTAGTCTCAGCTACTTGGGAGGCTGAGGTGGGAGGGTTGTTTGAGCCCACGGGTTGAGGGCTACAGTGAGCCATGATCGCACCACTGCACTCCAGCCTGGGCAACAAAGCAAGATGCGGTCTTCAAAGAAAGAAAAAAGAGGGGCTGGGTACAAGGGGACATGGAAGAGAGAGGGGAGGGAAAGGGGACCATCTAAAAACTGCATGAGCGGTCTGTCTATTCCCTCTTCCGTTTTCCTTCCCTCTGCAAAAAGAGAAGAGTGAGAGAAGGGAATGAGGGAGAGAGGAGGGGCAGGCGCCTATCCCAGGATCACTTGATGGGGTGGGGAGGAGCACAGGGAAGTCCCACAGAGAATACCATTAGGTCTCAAGGTTTCCCTGAGGTTCCCATCAGTCTCACAGCCCCCTGCCTAGGCAGAAGGCTCAGGGCAGCAGTGCAGCCCCCACAACCCCAGGGCCATCCCCAGGGAGATGGCAGGGGCATGCAGAGATAGGGCAGTCAGGCAGACTGGCCTCAGTGAAATGTCAGTCCAGAGGGAGGACACACCCAGACAACCTTCACCATGGGCTAGCCCACCCCTCAACAAAGGGCCCAGACCCATCCCCAATCCCATCCCAGGAGGACAGGGGCTCATCTTGTTGGAGGCGCAGGGGTGGGTTTCAGGGAGGATGAGCGAGGAGGGAGAGGGGTCTTTGTTGCAGGCAGAGGTACCAGCTTCTAAAGACGAGGGGAGTAAGGCCGAGATGAGGCATCTGGGGTCTCTGCGAGGTCACATTCAACCCTCAAGAGCGCCTGGCACGTAATGTGCAACCACCATTATTATTGTTCGTGCAGAGCAGGGTGGCACTGGGTCAGTGGCAGCAGCGGTCCCGAAGGGCCTTGAATGCCAAGCCCAAGATGGCCGGGGGACGGCGCGGGGGAGCACGAAGCCGGCGCGGTTGAACGCCGGGGAGCGGGCGAGCGGATCTCCGCCGAGGCAGGGCGATAAATTAATGAAACGAACGCGCCGCGCCCCGAGGACGAGAGGGGCCGGACTGCGGCCTCGGCGGACGAGGCCCGGCCTCGCGGAGGCCCCGCTGCTCTCCTCTTCTCTCCCATCCCCTCCCCTCCCCGCCGGGCGTCGTTTTCCAGGTAATTAAGGCCGTCCCGGCCGGCGCGCAGCTGCTTCCGCGGCCGGCCGCGCCTCAGGCCCGGGCAGGTGCAATTAAACCCGCGCGTTCGCAGCCATTAAGCTTTAATGGGGCTCATTAGCATAAGAACGAGAAGACGCTTTGATGGCGGCCACCCCCGCAGGGGCTGCGCGCGAACGCCGAGGGGCGGCGGGGCGCGGCCGCTGGAGCCCCGAGCCGGGAGCCGCGCCTCCAGCTCGCGGCCCGAGTCCTGCCAAGGCAGTCCCGCCTGGGGCCGGGCGACAGGAGGCGGGCCGCGGAGCTTGACCTCGTCTCAGGGGTTCCAGGCTGCGTCCGAGAGCCAGAGGTTTCACAGGGCCCAGGCCCCAAGAATAGGTCTTTGAAGGACGAGGGAGGAGGCCCAACCTAGAGAGCAGATGTGCTTTCCCAAAGAAGCAGCTGAGGAAACTGAGGCCTAGAGGTGCCATGTGACACACAGCCCCGGTCTCAGCCTGCAAGTGGTTCATTTATTCAACAACGATAGCAGCCAAGGCTTATGTGAGTTTTAAGGATTTAGCATAAATTTTCTCACTTAATCTCCCCAAGAGCCCCAGGAGTAGTGGATACTTGCTCTTGTGATCCCATTTTACACAAGAGGAATCTGAGGCTTGGAGGGGGACACCCAAGGTCCCACAAGCCACAGTGAGCTTTGAACCTCGACAGTCTGGCTCCTGAGGCTGGGCTCATAACTAGGAAGCCACACTATCATGTGTGACATGACCAGGAGAGGCACAGGGTGGGGTGGAGTGGTGGGGGATGGGACCGTGACCAGCTGGTGGGCTGGGTGGGCCATCCTACCCGGCAGACAGTAGCCATCTCCACCAACTGTGGCCGGGGGAAGCAGGGTAGAATAATCCAGAAGAAATGTAAACTGGAAATTGGAAATGAAGTCACTCAACGATTACTCACTGGCAATTCATTTGATTCCCCCCCCCCCGGCCCCCCGACAATGGATGGGCTTTCAAAACAGGTCTGTGGTCAGGACGTGGCAGGAGGACCACCACTTTGCCATCTCAGTCCAACATGGAGTGCAGTGTGCCCAGCAATTACTAGGTGTTCAGGAAACACTAGTCAAGCAAATGAATGAGTGAATGCATGAATAAATGCTTTTCTCTGCAATTTTGGGGCAAAATAGGGGACTAATTCTTCAATTTAATGTTTTCCAGGCTTTCTTCGATCCAGGTGGCTCTGTGAGAGCAAAAGGGCCCAGAGGAACTGGCAGGTGGGGCCTGAGGCAGCGGTGCTGTGCTTGGCTCCAGGCGTCCCCTGGGGCAGTGCCTCCAGCATTCCAAAGTCAAGGATGTTGCCGACAGATGTCTTGAGGGCCCTGGCAGGGAGCGCAAAAAGCACTGAAGAGGAGACATATACTGCCTGAGTTCCACTCAGAGGTGACGGGAGCCAGAAGGAAGCCACCAGCCTCTAGGAGCCCAGAGAAGGTGGGCAGTTGCCTGAGGCCACACAGCAAGAATCTGGGTCTCCTGATTCCTTCAATCCCGGCTGAGCCTTTACCCAGTGCCTGGATCAGCCCCCAGTCTAAGCACAGGACTCCCTGTCTCCATCAGAGAAGCTCTGCCTGGCCTCTGTCTTGGCTTGTGATCAGCCGGCATTCCCATGCATGAATGCACGACTCAGATCACTTGATTCTTTGATTAATGTCTTTCTTCCTTTGGCCACACCTCCCTCAAGGGCAGGGATTTTGTGTGTCCATCCAGATCATGGCTGATCTCAGTGCCTGGCACACAGTAGGCCTCCAAACATAGATATCGACCAGGTGGAAGTATTATTACTACAGAGTCACAGCGCCAAAGAAAACTCAGTGCCTGGGGTGAGCTTTCCTACCTCCCCAAGCTCTCATGCCCACTCACAGCTGGCTCAGGGGCTGAGAGGGGCCTCAATGCCTCCACAGCTGAGCTGGCCTGGGGGTGCAGGCAGGGGAAGGGCTCAGCTCCCCTTCCTGTCCTGACCCTGAGGCTGGCCCACCCCCTCACCTCCGGTCTGCAAAGGTATCTGCCCCAGGGGGGCCCTCAGCAGCCTCATTAGGAAAGTAGTGACAGACACATTCAATATAAAGGGGTGTGGGGGGAGGGGGAGACCGAGGGCTGTTACAGGGTTGTCTGCCGCTTTCCTGACTACTGGGCCAGGGCTGGGCCTAGATGGGGGACAGAGACAACGCCCAGAATCCAGAGTTGGGCCCCAAAGCAGGGATTTTCCCATCATTCCTTGCTGTTCTTGAGTACTGGTGGGACTCAACTCTTGAGTGGCAGGAGACAAACCCCAGCCCAATGCCCTAAGCCTGCCATGAGCCACCCAGAAGCCCGTGTGTGAGAGCAGCCACAGGGACCTGGGCGCCTGCCCTCTGCAGCAGAAGAGGAAACTGAGGTCCAGGGAGGAGGAGCAGGGTCACCCCACAGCAGCGCACTGGAGTAGGAGCCATGCTTTGCATTAGGGCTATGGCTGTGGGCCTGGACCACCTTGACCACCGAACTCCCTCTAGTCTCTGGACTGCAGGGCAGGAAGGCCCAGTTCTACTGGAAGACAGTCAGGTGTTGTCAGTGCTCACCCAGGGCCGGATGGAAAAGCAGATGCCCCAGCAACTCAGTCAGTGCGCAATGCCCCACCACTGATGAAAAGTGGGTGAGAGAGATCCAGGTCTCACACCACAGGACATGCACACAAACAGCTACTCGGCCACACACAGAGGTGCCCCCAACACACAAAGAACGTGTGACCTGCTGTGGATACTGCCTGGTGTGTAAGCACCCATACCCTCAGCTCATTTCCCCAAATCAGACACACACACAACCACACGTTGGTCCCAGTGACAAACAGACACACAAGCCACCTAACAGCAACCCCCTGCCATGTACACAAACCCCAACTCACTTTTTACACACACACAATCCCCAAGCTCAGGAACACACGCAAACCCATCTTGTCATTTGGTTAAATTCCACACCCAGGTAACACCCAGACCACAAGAGCAAATCCAGATAAATAAATCATGTTCAGCACATCAATCTCGGCCCCAGCCTGGCTGCCTCCTGGATACAGGTAAAGTGAAACAGGTCTTAAATATTTTACAACTGAATAAACCTGTTAGAGCGGGCCGTTGGCTGCAGGCTGACAATGTCCCTCCCTAATCTTTTCCCTAATCTTTTCATTTCTGAGAGTACACAGCGGTGATGGCAGGTGGTGGCCAGGCAGGGCATGGCGTGCCCATGCCACACCCGCTGCCCCTCGGCCAGGACTGTTATTCCCGAGGAAAGGGGCATTCTGTGATTTTTCCATCCAGTAAATCCAGATGCTGTTCTGATACAGGGCCCTGCATCCTCTTGTCTCTTCAGCTTTTTCCCCAAAGCCTTGGATGCCTTTTAAATGCCAAACCGTCCCTGGCAACTGTGATTTCCCAAGGCCTGTTTCACGCAGGGCTTGGATGTGTTAGAATTGAACCGTTCTGGAATAGGGGAGAAGAGACAGGCCTGGCAGTAGGGATAGGTCAGGGCAAGGGCAGCTTGTAGCTAGGGCCAAGGGGCAGCTGGGCAGAGGGAGGCTGTGCTGGTGCCAAGCCTGCATGCCTCCAGAGAGAGGCTAGAGAAGAGGGGCTGAGGAGCCAAGGGCAGCAGAAACCAACTCCTAGGAAGTCAAAGCAGAAGGTGGGTCACAGGATCGACAAGGGGCCTCGGGTCTGAGTGTGCCCAGGCAAAGGAGGCCCCGAATGAGGATGAGGCCAAGGTCTGAGACCTCCCTGAAACCTGGCATATCTGGGCCAGAGTAAAGCCCCTTACTATTGGAGCCCAGATCTCAGCATCGGGCCATGAGTCTTGCATGTCCCTGTCCACACTAGGCAGCCTCCTGGGCCCCCAGCAAGCAGGACCCCCTGACCCAAGCTGCATATCATTGGTTACTGGCAATGGAGAAGGGCTCTGTCGGGGGGCTACAGGTAGGGAGAGGACAAACTCAGAAAGTGAACAGCCAGTCCAACAAATCACCCCCAGAAATGTCTGCCTCATCTCGGAAGTTCTCCCAAGAACGTGGTTCAGGAGCATCTTAAACAGCATTAAGTAAGAAAAGCGGAATATCAACTGCTATATACAGAAGTAATGATGGCATACCTAAACAGACAAAAAACACAAAGCGAAAAACCCCATGAACGGGTGGTGGGGGGGTTGAGGGAAGACAACTGTGGCTGCCTTTGGAGACTGAGAGTACGGGTGAATTTTTTTTTAATTTGTCATATTTTCCAAAAGTCTATAATAAGCCTGTCCTCCTTTTATAGTGAGAAAAAAGCTATTAAAACCACCAAGTGCCTTACAAAACCAAATATACAGCATGACTCCGTAGATGTATCATAAGTGGTTTATCATACATCTACAGAAAGTATGTTGACAGTAGTTATATACTGCTGGTGGAATTATAAAGTTTTTACTTTTTTCTTGTATTTTTGGATATCTCTACAACCAACATATCAATAATCTGACAATTTCACTAAGAACAAAATGCTTAGGACTGGGAAGTTCTTTCCGATGGCAACCCTGAGTCTCTTCTGCTGCAACTGTAGCCGATTCTCAGCCTCTTTGTGCATGTGCCCTGGGTGAGGAGGGAGAAAGGCGCGAGGACAGCCTCTCAACCAGCATACAGCCTCCCTTCGGAGACCCAAAGGCCGACATTCAATTTAGCTGCCTACTCAGTACAGGTAGGAGGTGACAAAGGGTAGCTGAATCGGTGCCTCTTAAGAGACTAGGGGAGGCCGGGCATAGTGGCTCACACCTGCAATCCCAGTACTTAGGGAGGCGAAGGTGGGAGGATTACTTGAGGTCAGGAGTTTGGAACCAGCCTGGCCAACGAGGTGAAACCTCGTCTCTACTAAAAATACAAAAAAATTAGCCGTGGTAAGTGCCTGTAATCTCAGCTACTCGGGAGGCTGAGGCAGGAGAATCGCTTGAACTTGGGAACCGGAGGTTGCAGTGAGCGGAGATTACGCCACTGCACTACAGCCTGGGCGACAAAGGGAGACTCTAGCTCAAAAAAAAAAAAAGAGAGAGAGAAAGACCAGGGGAAAGAAGGCGGCTGTGGAGTAGTAACTAGGGACTTAGGGCACGAGAAGGCCGGGTGGGGACAGGGCAGTGTTGGCAGCAAAGTTCTGGAAGAGGCTCCCCCAGGGCAGGCGGGGTGCCCGAGCTCAGGAGGTAGGAATGTGCCTCCCAGCCAGACAGTCCAACGACTGCCAACTAGGGGAGGCCTGTGCTCCTGGGCTGGAGGGAGGCCGGCCGAGGTTGCAGGGTCCAGGCCTGGACCGGGTGAGGTGTGCAGTCCCGGCCCCCTTCTTTCTCCTGCCCTAGGGCAAAGGGTAGGTCCTCACTGACCCATGGACAGTTCCGGGGAAGAGCTCGAGACCCAGAGACTGCAGCTGAGAGGCCGCCTGGCCTCCACTTTTAATAGCCCCCAAGCGGTAGGGGTCCAGTCTCCCCATTATCCTGGCCCTCGGAAGCGGCTTCCCGAGGCCCCTGCCGTGGGGTTGCCGGGCTCGGTAAGCAGAGCCCGTCCCGAGGCTAACCCGCACAGACTCTCTTTCATTATCCCCAAACATCCAGGGAGTGGGAGAACGAGGCCCAGAGATGCGCGCCGCCTGGCCCGGTAACCCGCAAGCGCCGGCCGCAACGCTGGGACTGGAAGCCCCCGCGTTCCCGGAAAAAGACCCGGGATCCGCCAGGGGGCGGGGCCTCAGCACCCCGCCCCGCCCCGCGGCCCCGCGAAGCATGCCGGGCCGGGCGCTGCCATGGCGACGCGAGCGGCCCGCCCCGCCTCGCCCCCCGCCTGGCCTCAGCGCCCCGAAGGTCCCGGGCCCCCTCCCGGCGTCGGCGTCGCGGGCCCCGACCGCGGCCTGTGGGACGCCACCGCGGAGGAGGCTCCGGCGCGGCCAAGATGGTGGGCGCCGCGGGCGGGGAGGGGCGGGACCGGCAGGAAGCGCGGGCATTTGCCCTCTCGCCGCCCCTTCTCGAGGTCGGGGAGAGAGGAAAGGAAATGGCCTCGGAGGCGAGCGTGGAGCTGCCCGGGCGTCTGGCCTGACAGCTCCTACCTATGCCTTTCCTCGAGGCCCGGGCCCTCCCAGCCCTCTGAGAGGTGGGCCAGGTTGGGGGCTGCCCTCGCTGGGATCCAGAATGTGACTCACACCCCAGAAAAGATGCCCCTCCCTCCCCACAGGAAGGCCCGTCTTCCTGGCTATGTTCCTCCCCGCACCTCGTGCGTCTCCACCGCGACGAGGAGGGGGCAGTTTGGTTCCTCAGGCCTGATGCCAGCCTCTGCCCACCTACACCCCAGGCATCCGTTATTGGGCAGAGAACCCGTTTCCCCTCAGCACGGCTGCCTCCCCGGTCAAAGACTCCAAAGTGCCCACAGATCTAAGCAGAAGTCGCTGCCCTCCCAGGAGACCCGGCAAGGCTAGCAGCTCCCAGGAGACCCTGAATCCCTTTGATTCTGTGTCCTGCCAGCAATGACGGGACAAGGGTAGGATGAGAGCAGACACTGACTGGGCCAGGACAGGTGACTCTCCTCCTAAGCCAGCGAGTCCTACGTGTGAATGACTGCCCAGATTAGGTGGGCAAACAAGCCCAGATCTGTTAAGGAGTGAAGTGGCAGAGCTGGGACTCGGCCAGGCTGTGACTCCAGATGCCTGTCCACACGTAGTGGCACTCGCTACTTCCCGGCCGCCCAGCCCGGGCTGGTCCAGCCGCCGATCTCTGGCCCAGAGCAATGGCCTGGTCTCCCGTTCCTTCCTCTCCCTTCCCCCTACCACAGGCCTGGCTTCCCTTCTGAGCCGCCAATCTGCAGCCACACAAAGCCCTGTTTGTTTGCTTTCTCTGCTGCTCCCCCTGGATCCGATGTCTTTCTCAGCTACCTGCCGCCTGGCTTCCTCTCCAAGCTGCCTGCCCAGCCAGCTGAAGGGAAGGAGGGGCGGCCATTGCAGCAAGCGCCGCCTCATGGCAACCCCATCACTCCTTGAATCCACCTCCCCAGTGCAAGGGGCTCCTAGCCTGGGTGGCCTGACCTTCGACAATGGCTTTGGAGCCCCCTCGCAGCATCTTAGAATGTAGGGTGCCAGTTGGGTGGAGCAAGAAAGATGCCTGGGGCACGGGGAGGGGAGCTGGAGAGGCCCAGCCAGTCTCCCCTCTCCTTTTGTGATCAAGCTTGTTTTGTTTGTCAATCAGGAAGGCTGCCCCTGCCTTCCCAGCAACCCACTGGCTGCCAGGAGATAAGGAGATGAATGGGACCAGGAGGGCCTGATCAGAGGAGGTGGAGGAATGATGCCCTGGTTTCATGGCCCTCACCCATCCTCACTCTTTCTGGGGACTCCCAGGTATCCCAGGCACTGTGATGAGAGCTTACAGGCTGCACGGGGGCGTCACATGGTGGATGCCCTCAGTGCCCACCCTGGGCAGATGCCTCTGCATGGCAGGCACCCCAGAGTGTGCAGATGTGCGCACCCATGGCAGTGTCGGGAAGCCCTACACAGCCTGAGCGAAAACAGGGCTTTCACAGGCAAAGAAAAATAAATACCCGCATTCCACACCACCTTCTCTACCTGCAGAGTGGAGTCTGCCCTCTCTCCCCTTTCAAATAAAGAAACCCAACACTGATAGGCACAGAGATATTGCAATCTTGCCTGGCTCCCTCTACCTAGGACTCTTTTATTGCACCCTGCCAAGCTGGGTGGCCCAAGGACCTCCTCCTTCCCCTTCCATCCCTTTCTGTGCTGAATTTAACCCTTACAGCAACTCCAGGATAAAGGCATGATTATGCCCACTTGATAGATGAGGAAAGAGGAGGTTCTGAGGGAGAAAACCATGAAAAGAAAAACTGCTTTGGTCAGAAGCCAAGCTCATGGCTGTCTGACTGCAAGCCTTCACTTCCCACAAGGTCACAATATTATTTCATAGCCAGGAATTAGCTCCCGAATGGATGAGTGACTAACATGGGGAAGGGGGTAAGCAGCAGGCAGGGCCTGGCTTTGGAGCCTGCGGATGTGATTTCTAATCCTAGCTCTGCCACTTGGTTGCTGTGTGACCTCAGGCAGATCACTTAACCTCTCTGTGCTTCAGTTTCCTTGATAATGGATATAGGGCAGTTAATAAGACTTAGCGAGGACCACCCAATGCCTGGCACAATAGTAGGCACTCAATGCTGGCTTTTCTCCATCCCTTTCAGCATCCAAAGAGACAGATATTCACATATTAGAGGAACCAGGCCTCTCCCACCAATGCTTTCACTCAGTTGGCCCTCCTGTCAGGAACCCCCCACCTTCCCAACCCCTGTAACCATTTCTGGCCCTCTCAGGCAGAGGCCAAGGGCTGTCAAGTTCAGCTCCCCAGGCTCCTGTCCTGCCTAGGAGACCAGGTCCTCTTTGTTTAATTAGCCAGGGCAGGGGCCCCAGGGGACAGTGTCACCCCAAGGGAACAAAGCCAGCTCCAGCCACATCCTGCTGGAGTCAAGAAGAGAGCCACTCAATTAAGTCTGATTTGGCAAAACGTCTGTTTTAGTGCTATTTCGGGCCACGGTGGGGATTTTCTGTGCTTGTCTCAAAGGTATCATAAACCAGATTACTTCCCGCCTCCCTCACCCCTATCTGTGTTTGAAATGAAAATATTGTTTTTCCTCTGCTCTTTTTTCCTGCTTCTCTTTCCCACCTATCAGAAAGCTGCAAATGAGAGAAAGGGAAAAGGCTTGGCCCCAGGCTGGAAGGTAGCACCTGGGGCTAGGGTGCTCCCACTGCCCACCTGGCCCTGCTGGATCCCCCAGAGAGCAACATGCTGGGGGCTGGAGTTCCCTCAAACAGACTAAAGGGTTTAGTCCTCTCTTTTGCCTTCTCCCCACCTCTGGAAGCCACTTCCTGGGCCCCCCGAGGCCAGGCCTTTTTCTGACTTCTCCCCGGGCACACACCAGGTGCCTGGTAGCCTCCCCACCCACAACACACTCCTGCACTTTCTGCCTCTGAGCCTTTGCCTGGGCTGTGCCCTCAGCTGGAAAGACCTCCCCAAAGGCCCTCCCTTAAAAGAGTAGAAGGGCTCGCATCCCTCTTTCTTCCCGCTACCTTTTCCTTCATAGCTCACATTACAAATAAATCCATATCTAGGCAATCATTTCTGTAACGTCTGCTCACCTACCACGCTCTATGCTTCAAACGGGCAGGGGCTCCATCTGCTTGGCCACTGCTGCTTCCCAAGACAGGGATCTCAACCCTCGGCACATGGACATCAGGGGCCAGCTGGTGTGTGGTTCCGGGGGCTGCCTTGTGCGGTAGGATGTTTAGCAGCATCCATGGCCTTTACCCACTAGATGCCAGCAGCACCTCCCCAGCTGAGACAACCAAAAATGTCTCCTGACATGGCCCAGTGTCCCCTGAGACACAAGATCGCCCCCGAATGAGACCCACTGCTCCACAGCCTGGCACAGAGCCCCCTTGAATGAGTGAATACCCGATGACTTTACCCTTCTAATAGAACATGTGATTTTATTTTACCTCTCATCATGATCATGTAGAAATTTCATTTTCCCTATCAGAACAGAAGCTTCCAGAAGACAGGCCCATATGACCTCAGCTGTGCATCAATGCTGTTTGCCCATAGCTATTTGCTGAAGGAATCACTATCAAAGCACCAGAGAGCACCAGACTGAAAGCCAGCTCTGATTCCCCATCCCTGCCCACCCCAAGCCAGAATGCTGGGTGACTTTGCTACAGGAGTTAAGCTTCTCTGGGTCTCCTGTCTCTCCAGCTGCTGTAACAATTCTTTGTCCACTTGGGCTCTGGGAGGTTTACAACTTCACATCTCTATGAAGCTGTAGCTCCTAAGAAATCTTTCAGGTGGTTTTTACTTTACATTGTCTGAGAATTCTGATTATCACTAATAGGCACAATATTTACTAAGCACACTATTCTGTGCCCAGGACTGGCTAAGTGCTTTAGAGGCCCTATCTCATTTGATCCTCTTAACAAAACTATGAAATAGGTACTATTACTTTCGCCTTTGATGAAGGAGGAAACGGGCTTAGGGAGCTTGAGGAACCTGCCTAAAGACACACAGAGGCAGGCAGTCCTGCTGCCTCCGGCTGGTGAGGAGTCCTCAATCAGGAAACACTTTCTGCTTTCATACTTGAGACTGAAATTCCTTTTTTTTTTTTTTTTGAGACAAGGTCTCGCTCTGTCACCCAGGCTGGAGTACAGTGGTACGATCATCTTGGCTCACTGCCACCTCTGCCTCCCAGGTTCAGGCAATTCTCCTGCCTCAGCCTCCTGAGTAGCTGGGATTACAGGCGCCCACCACCACGCCCAGCTATCTTTTTGTATTTTTAGTAGAGATGGGGTTTCACCATGTTTGGCCAGGCTGGTCTCGAACTCCCGGGCTCAGGTGATCCACTCACCTCGGCCTCCCAAAATGCTGGGATTGCAGGCGTGAGCCACGGTGCCCGGCTAGGAATGAAATTCCTTCTAAAATCAAGCACACCTGGCGCCAGACAAAGGCGGACTTTCCCAGGTCAATAAGGCCTCACAGGACCTCCCCAGCATCAGGCCCCAACAGTCAAGCAGAGAAGCAGCTTTAGATCACTATAGAAGGGTCTGATTCAAGGAGTTGGGGGGCTTTGGCACCCCTTTCTGGATGCCAACCGTCACTGAGAAGCCTGGCCAGGGTGACCTCCTCCAGCACCAAGCTGGTCCATGAGATCCTTCAGGGCAGAAATAAAAGCAACAATGGAGGAAGGGCCATGCTCTGGCACTTTCTATGTACCTGATGCTGGACTTGAACAAACGACCACCCTATGAGGTAGATTCTATCAGTTCCCCCATTTTACAGATGACAGAACCAAGTAAAGGAGATAAATAACTTGGCTAAGTTCGCAAGTGGTAGACCCTGGATCTGAACCCAGGCAAAGTCCAAAATACATATGCATACCCACTATGCTACATTAGAGCTGCATCTCATTCATGGCTGTTTTCTCAGTACCCTGGTGTTCTACACGTGATTTATAAATGAACGAATGAATGAGAGTTTGTGGTTATACTGCCACTAAAGTCACAAGTTGCTGGATGCTTTCCTGGGGTCCACCTACACCACTGGGGCAAAGTCCCTTTACATACAGAAACTCTGGCCAGAAAACTAGTAATTCTCACCCGCCCCATGTGTAAAAAGACCCACTCAATCCATCTGCCTTGACCTGGCTAGAAAAGAAATAAGCACCAAACTCCTCATTTTGGCCAATGTTATTACAGGTAAGGGTTAGATGTGACCTGGCATGAATGGAAGAAGAATAATTGGCCGGGCGTGGTGGCTCACCTCACGCCTATAATCCCTGCACTTTGGGAGGCTGAGGCGGGTGGATCACCTGAGGTCAGCAGTTTGAGACCCGCCTGGCCAACATGGTGAAACACCATCTCTACTAAAAATAAAAAAAAATTAGCCAGACATGGTAGTGCGTACCTGTAATCCCAGCTACTAGGGAGGCTGAGGCAGGAGAAATGCTTGAACCCAGGGGGCAGAGGTTGCAGTGAGCCGAGGTCGAGCCACTGCACTCCAGTCTGGGCGACAGAGCAACACTCCGGCTCAAAAAAAAAAAATAATAATCATAATGGTGATCTCTTCTACATACAAAGCACTTTAGCAATAAAAATAACTGCCCAAGGCTGGGCGCAGTGACTCACGCCTGTAATCCCAGCACTTTGGGAGGCCGAGGCAGGCGGATCATGAGGTCAGGAGTTTGAGACCAGCCTGACCAGCATGGTGAAACCCCGTCTCTACTAAAAATACAAACATTAGCCAGGCATGGTGGCGCACACCTGTAGTCCCAGCTACTCGGGAGGCTGAGGCAGGAGAATCAATCACTTGAACTCAGGAGACAAAGGTTGCAGTGAGCCGGGATCGCACCACTGAACTCCAGCCTGGGCGACAGAGCGAGACTCCATCTCAAAAAACAAACAAACAAAACAAAAAACAACTGCCTAACAGCCCAGCAATGATATCCCAGCTGAGGAACTGTGCAGCAGCAACCAGGAGGGGCCTGTTACTATCCTCATTTTGTTTATTTATTTATCATTGAGACTGAATCTTGCTCTGTCACCCAGGCTGGAGTGCAGAGGCACGATCTTGGCTCATTCCAACTTCCACCCCCCGGGGTTCAAGTGATCCTCCTGCCTCAGCCTCCCAAGTAGCTGGGATTACAGGCATGTGACACTACGCCTGACTAATTTTTGTATTTTTAGTAGAGATGGGTTTCATCATGTTGGCCAGGCTGGTCTCGAACTCCTGACCTCAAGTGATCCACCCGCCTTGGCCTCCCAAAGTGCTGGGATTATAGACGTAAGCCACCGCGCCCTGCCTATTATCCTCATTTTAAAGGGGAGGGAAATGGAGCCCCACAGTGAGCAGCTGGTACCTGGATTTGAACCCAGGCTGGTGTGACCCCAAAGCCTGTTTATGGCCCCAAGCTATAGGACCTCCTTGCTTTCCAGATGACAAAACACAGCAACACTCACTTTTTTTTTTTTTTTTTTTTTGAGACAGAGTCTCCTTCACCCAGGCTGGAGTGCAGTGGTGCTATCTTGGCTCGCTGCAACCTCCATTTCCTGGGTTCAAGTGATTCTCGTGCCTCAGCCTCCCAAGTAGCTGGAATTACAGGCATGGGCCACCACACCTGGCTAATTTTTGTATTTTTAGTGGAGATGGGGTTTTGCCATGTTGGTCAGGCTAGTCTCAAACTCCTGACCTCAAGTGATCCGCCTGCCTCGGCCTCCCAAAGTGCTGGGATTACAAGCGTGAGCCACGGCGCCCCAGCTCACCTTTAATGCTTACAACAAAGCCCGTTCACATTTTTGACAGAAGAGGAAACTGACCCTCACAGAGGGAAAGTGACTTGCCCGAGGGATGCTGCAGTTAAAACTCAACCACTTTTCCTGATTCCGAATCCAGTGCTCCTTCCCCTACCCCGACCCTATCTCGCCTTCCAGATGAGCACAGTCTCCAAGAAGGGAACTCTAGGAGGCGAACCCAAGCTCCACTGGATTCTGCATGTTCTCCCTCAAGCCCCCTGACCATGGGCCTGCAGACGCTCTGAGCATGCCTGCTGTCCCTGTTCTATCAGCTGTCTCCACGGGGTCCCTGGTTTCTCATGCCCAAGGAGTGGGTGACTTGGGTCCACAGACCATCAGTGCAAGAGCAGTCCACTCTTCCCCCATTTACAGATGAGACCGAGGCCAGAGAGGAAAGGAAGACTCCCCAGCAGTCCTGGCTCCCCACCATAGTGCCTAACACATGGCTTCCCTGCCCCCTACCCCATGCTCGCCTGCTCCACCCTCCTCTCCTGCCTCTGCACAGCATTCTGGGCACCTTCTCTCCCCCAGCCTGATCACTTTGTGCAGAAAGAGGTTGCTCAACTAGCCGGGCGTGGTGGTGGGCGCCTGTAATCCCAGCTACTTGGGAGGCTGAGCCAGAGAATTGCTTGAACCCGGGAGGCAGAGGTTGCAGTGAGCTGAGATCGCACCATTGCACTCCAGCCTGGGCGACAGAGCAAGACTCCATCTCAAAAAAAAGAAAGAAACCGGATGCTCATTGTTCACCTGGCCCCTAGACTTCAAGGGTGCGAAGCCTGGACCACAGGCTTGCTCCTGTCTGGGGCCATGCAAGCATGGAGCCAAGCAAGAGAACACTTAGGGTTGTCTGCTGGACAGACGAAGGAAGGCATGGCTGATGGTGGTGTGAGACGATGCGCCTGGCTGCTTTCCTTCCTGGCCCTAAGCACACTCTTCATACTCTCCAGCAGCAGCAGCAGGAACTTCTCCCTCACTCCTTGCCGTCCCCCCACTTCCATCTCTCCCTGTCCCTGCTCACCACTCCCCAGGTCCTCCACCCCCACTCCACCTCTCTGCCCTCATGTTTTTCTCTTCCCCATCTCTCCCCTCCCCGGCGCGCGCGTGCACACACACACACACACACACACACACACACACACACACACGGGTTCAAGAACCAGTGGAGCGAAATCTGTCCTTTGCCAGCCAAGCCCCAGCCTGTACCTCCAAGCCCTGCCTCCCACCCTGCCTCCCCTTCCCTGGTGTCACATTCCAATCTCAGATCCCCAGTGACCCACCAGGAACAGGGCACAGCTCTGCCTCAATCACTGGGGAACAGGATGAGCCAGTTTCTCCCAGCCCCCTCAGGAAGCAGCCTGGGGAAGCTGCCCGCCACCTCCCCCTGCCCCCCGACCCCACCAAGCCCCTCACCCCACTCATCTAAAGGCTGACAGCACAAGATCCACACAGACCTGAGCATGCCCTTGCTAAAGATCAAAGGGGCCCACGGGAGACAATGTTGGGGCTCTCACCCTCTCCACCTCACCTGGCCCTCCTGCCAGGAAGCATTTCTGAGCGTCCTGTGTTCTAGGCCTCGCCCTTGGCACTGGGCCGGAGAGAGCAAGGAGACGTGCTTTCAGGCCTCGATGCTTCAGCCTCATGGGGAGGACAGACACTGGCAGAATTGCCGATAATTCCGTGATAAACGCTATGCCACGAGTATAGACAAAGGGAGATGACTCATTCTGCCTCGGAGGTCAGAGGAGGAGGAGACAGGACGTCTGTTTTGGTCTGGGGCGGCAGGGAGGAAGGTGAGGGGCATCCCAGGTGGAAGGAACAGCCCAGCCCGATGCACAGAGGCAAGGATGCACATGGCTGCACCTTAACAAGGAGGTGCCAGCTGTGGCTGGAGGGGACAGGACTGAATGAGGACAGGGCAGGCAGAGGACACCAGAAATGGCCCTGGACAGCATGGGAAGAACTACAGATGGGACCTTTATTCATAAGGCAGCAGGAGCCACTGGAGGTTATCTGCTGGGTTTAGAACGATCGCTCTGACAGTGCTGCTGGCCAGCACCTGGGAGGGGACAGGATGGAGGCAGGGAGGCCAGTGAGGAGGTCCCAGCAACAGCCCAACCTCTTCCGCCACCATTCTTTCTGAGCCAAGTCCTCCCCTCTTGTTTGGCTACAGCACACAGGCCACATCCCTTCCAGCTTCCAAAGACTCGCTCTGCTCACTGTGTTCCCTCTGCCAGGAATGCTCCTCTCACTCTTACCTCGCCGTGCCTGAAGCACCTGCTCAAAGGCCCCTCCTCCAGGAAGCCTCCAGCTCTGGTCGAGGCCTTGGCTATGAGCTGGGTCCCAATCACCCACTGGGCTGTGACCTTCTTGTGGTCAAGTGCAGGGATGCTTCCTGCTTGGACCCCGACATTAAGCACAGAACTTTGGAAACAGTGGGTCCTTGGAAAATCCCTGTTCCCTTGGGCCCAGTGCCCAGGTGCCTCTCCCGCAGAGACGCTGCTCTGCGCACACCGTTGCTGTTGCACCTCCTCCCTCCCTGTGGAGCCACACGTTGGATAGGGGAGGAAAAAGACACCCATGCCATGGCCACAGGCAGCTGTGGAAAGCAATGCATTTCAAACATGGGCTGCCATGGAGATAGAACAGCAATAACAATACAACAATGACGGCAGCAATCAGCATTTATTGGCAAAAGCACTGCTCTAAACTTCATATGGATTAACTCACTGCATCTTTACTTCAGTACCGTGAGGTCTGTACTGTTATTCTCCTGATTGTAAAGATGGGGACACTGAGGCACAGAGAGGTAAATGGCCTGTTCAGTATGTGGTGGAGCCAGGAGTCAACCCAGAACTTGCCCTGAAGGACTTCGCCACACAACCAACCTCTCCAAGACAAACGGAGAGGAAAAAGGAAGCTGCCGAGGAAGAGCCCACAGTATGTCCTCACTTGGGGAAAAAGAAAACTATGCATGGATTGGTATATGTAATATACATACATACATACATATATATATATATATATATATATATATATATATATGCATTAAGTGAGTAACAAAAAGTCTGGAAGGATACGTTCAAACTATTAACTGGGGTTACCTGCAGGGAGGGTGCCAAGGGAACTTTTACTTTTACTACATATATTTCTGGCTTATTTGCATTTTTCACCCAAGTATCCAAGTGTTACTTGAGTAGTTTAACATGAGAGGAATTATTAGGGTTGCAATTAACATTTGTTGCATGAATAGATGGCAAATTCATTTCCTAGGCTTGTTTTTTTCAAATTCTGGGTATGACCCATCAGTGGATTGCAAAATTAATTTCGTGGGTAGCAATCAGTAATTAAAAAAAAAACAAATACACAAGAACAAAAAGGATTACAGACCAGCAGACACAGTAAGGGAGTTATTTCAGTAAACTTTTGTTTCAGCTATATACAGTGTGACCTGTGTAGTTACCTACGATGTATTTCTTACTATAGGTCACGGGCAAGAATTTGAAAGCAATTGGTCTAGGCTTGGGAGTCTAAAGAGGAGTAAGGCTGGGTGCAGTGACTCACTCCTGTAATCCCAGCACTTTGGGAGGCCAAAGAGGGAGGATCGCTTGAGCCCAGGACTTCAAGACCAGCCATGGCAAGACCCCTGTCTCTAGAAAAAAAAAAAAATTTAAAATTAGCTACGTGTGGTGTCGGGCGCCTGTGATCCCAGCTACTCAGGAGACTGATGCTGGAGGATCGCTTGAGCCCTGGAGGTTGAGGCTGAAGTGAGCTGTGTTTGTGCCAAGGCACTCCAGCCTGGGCCACACAGCAAGACCCTGTCTCAAAAATAAAACAAAGAGGAGTAAGACAGGGTCCCTGCCTATGAGAGCCCCACAGTCTAGTGGAAGAGAAAGGCAGCTCCAGTACCCCTGAGTTCCCTTTATCTCCACAGAAGCCAGAGGGATGCTAGGCTGGTGGGAAAGGTCCTATTTTGCCCACTCCACAGTTGGCTTCTGGGGCCTGGATCTCACCTTGATACATTCTCCTCCTCTCCAAGGCTTTTGCTTGTGAGAGCTTTTGCCAGAGTTATGGGGCTGAGCCTGCCCTGAGATCAGAATGATGTGTCCACTTCTGTGTCACGCAAAAGGCCACTTTTCCTTGCTCCTGGGCCCCGAATATACCGGCTTGCCTGTCAAGAGGGGGAGGGGTGGGAAACTAGAAGATTCCTTTCCAGTTTCTAGATCCCGAGGGCCACGTCCCAGGAAAGCCTCTGAAAACCCAGCTGTGTGGTCAGCAGGGAGGGGCCACCATTCAGTCTGCAGCGAGGGCTGCCCCCCACCTGGGGTGGGCCTGACCCTGAGCAGAGCGAGGACTGTATGGAGAATGGAGGGGGGCAGGGGCAGGAAGAGAAGCAGAGCCCCCAGCTCGGGGCTCCCATCACGCTGGCGCCTCCACATCAGAGCTAGCCTAACCCACCCCCGCCTCTCCTCCCAGGGCAGCAGACAACTAAAAAAAGATAAAATAAAAAGAAGTAATTCCCCTGCTCTGACGTCAGCGCGAGGTCTTAACAGCCCGGCAGCGGCATGAAACTGGATTGCAACCAGATGTAATGCCCTTGAATTCTCAACACACTACTGCATTGGAAAGACATAAAAGGGGGGCGGGGGACAGTATTGGTGGGAGGAACCGTGCAGATCCCGAGTGGGTCCCTGAATCCGGGCCCGCCGAAACCGCGGGGAAGGCGGCGCGGGAGAGTGTGCGGCGCGCGGAGCAGCGCCCGGCCGGCTCCGCCATTCAGGCGCGCGGCCTCCCCTCCCCCAGCCCCCACCGGCGCATTGTTACACTCGCTCCCATCCATTCAGAGCCCGAGGCCCGCCGCGCCCCCGCCAGCCCGGGCTCCGCGCAGGAGAGCACCGCGGCAGCCCGCACTCCGGCCCCTGCGTGGACTGGATAACGACCAAGAGCCCCAAGAAAGAAAACTGCTAGCCGGGAAAACGGGCGCCCCAGGAAGCTGGGGCCGCGACGGCCTAGGGCCTGGCTGGTGTTTCGCTTCCCCTCCGCCCCACCACGGAGGCCCCTGGCGCGACCAGGCTCCAAATGTCACCCTCGCGTCCTGCCACCCCTTGTCCCCGCCGCACTCGGCCCCCATGTCCTCCTCCCGGGTTCCCTGCCTTCAAGGCGCGTGAGAGGGGGGGCCGGCCTCGAAAAGGGCGGCGGGCTGCGCCGCCGTCTGTGGGGCGCAAGGCTCGCGTGTCCGGGGCCCCCGCCCGTGACGTCATCCCCGAAGGGCCCGTGCCTCCCGGGCCTGGCCGCTACAGAGCTCCCCAGGTCGCGGGGGCCGCTTCCTGCCCGGCCTCGGGGCCTGCGCACAGGCCCCGGGGCCGCTGCCCGGGTAGGGACACCGCAGAGAGCCCGAGCACCCATCTCGCCACGCACGGCCTTCGCCGGCCCTGACTCCCAAGCGATGGCCACGCCGGGCCCGGGTCACGCATGGGGAAGTCAGCTCCCCGTCCCCCACCTCGGACGCACTCACAAAGCTCACCTCCGCCCCCGGCGCCCCGCGAATGCACCCCACGTCCCCACCCCACGCTCCGCAAAGACTCCGCGCCTCGGCGCAAGCAGATCCCTTGCCACACTCGCCCCTCGCGCCCCCATGCCCCCACCCGACCTCAGCTGGCCGCACATCCCCCAGAAGACCCTCAGCCGCGGCGCAGGGCGCCCCCACCCTGCAGCTCCCCAGACGTCCATCCGGTGACCTCGCGCACCCCCCACACCACACAAAGCAAGGACCCCGCGGACCCCACATCTCCACCCAGCGCGCGCGCTCGGCGTCCGAACCCGCCTCGGCTCATCACCCGGCCTAGGATCCCGACGCCTCGCGCCGCCCCCGCCCCGGGGCAGGATACACTGCGCCCCCCGCGCCCCGGCGCTCGCTGCTCACCTCGGCGCCCGCGCTCACTCGGGGGCCTTGGGTCTGGCGCTGCGACTTCGCGGCCCGGAGGCCTGGGTGGCCATGGGGGTCGGGGCGCGGCGGCCCGGCCGGCCCGCGGCCAGGCAGGAAGGAGGGTGGGCCGCGGCGCCCCCTCCTCGCGCCGGCGCTAGGGCCGCGGGCAGGGCGGCCTGCTCGGCTCGCCTCTCGCCCTCGCTGCACTCGCTCTCCCACTCGTCTCTCGGAGCCCAGCCGCGGGCGGGGGCGGCGCCCGGGGACGCGGGGAGCGGGCCTTGGCCGCGCACCCGGCCGGGCCTGCCTGGTGTCCGCGGGTGCCGCGAGGAATGCGATCCCCTCCGCACAGGAAGAGCGGACGAGCGGACGGGCGGGCGGGCGACGCGCGGGGGGAGAAGGAGAGCAAGAGCGCGAGGAAAAAAGTTCCCGGGCGGCCTGGCTGCGCTCGCTCGCGGCCCCGGGCGCCAGGTGGGCCGTGCGCGCCCCGACAGCACCCCCTGGCGGTCCGCGCGCCCCACTGCGCGCCCCCCGCCCGCTGGCCGGCCTGCGGGAGGGGGCCTCTGCGGTGGGATCCCGGTGCGGCCTGGGAGGACACTAGCGCCCTGCGTACAGGAGCTTCCAGCGTCAGGCCAGGCCCCCACCCTCACCCCACCATTAGCCCTCACCTGTGCCCACTTCTTTGCAGTTTGAGAAACATTTTCGATTTCAAAACTCCATTGGCTTCATGTAAACTTCATTTACTGGGCACCTGGCACCTTGCTGAGTCTTGAGGAATCAGCAGAGACAATGCGGTCCCTGCTGTCGTGGAGCTGGCATCCTGGTGGGAAGAGACAGACAGCAAACAAATGCTTAGATACATGACGAAGATAATTTTAGAGCAGTAAGTGCTAGGACGAAAATTAGCAGGTGAAGTGACGGCTAGGGCTCCTTGGCTGGGGGAGAGAGAAGGAGGCCTGTCTGTGCAAAGATCTAAATAGCAAGAGGAACCGCCATGGGTAGAGTCTGGGAAGAGCATTTTGTTCTTTTAGAGGCAGGGTCTTGCTGTGTTGCCCAGGCCGAACTTGAATTCCTGGCCTCAAACAGTCCTCCCACCTCAGCCTTCTGAGTAGCTGGGACTACAGGGGCCTGCCCTCCTGGGAAGAGCATCATTGGCAGAAAGAACATCAAGTGCAAAGGTCCTGAGGCAGGAGAGAACTTGGTGAGTAAGTGGAATTGTGAGGAGGCCGTCAGCAAGGGGACAAGTAATGGGCACATTGAAGTCAGAGCCATATCGGGAGGGCCAGAGCCTGCAGGGCTGCAGAGAGCTCAGTGAGGAATTTGTTTGCAATTCTAGTGCAAGGAAGGTAGCCACTGGCAGACTTTAAACAGAGGCATGTTGAATGAGAGAGTCCTTGCATGAAACTTAAGGTACAGACCTCGGAGCAATTTCATGCCTAGGTCTCTACTTGCCATAGCTCAGGTGGGAGCTCACTGCCACCTGCTTGGGAAGCCTCTCAGCCCCACCCAGGCTCTAGGGTCTGTGGGATATGACCCCATTAACAGCCCCATCGAAGCCTCCCTCATTTGTCCTTTGGTAGGGCAGAGGGGAGCTGGTCAAGGCATCAGAGCTTGTGGGTGACCTGGGACAAGTGAATCCTGCATCTGCAAAATAAGGTATTGTGATAGATGGGGGGCCCTCACTCTGTCCCAGGCCTGCTGTGCCCCTTCTGTGCATGGTCTCATTAGATCCTGGTGCCCCCTCTGTGAGGTCGGCTCATCACATTTTGTGGATGAGGAAACAGGCGCAGAGTGGTGAAGTCCCCTGTCCAGGTTCTCAAGCTACAGGACAGAATCAACACAGGTCCCCACAGTCCTTCCTACTGGACTTGGCTACCCGTCTCCCAGGGTGAATGTCAAGAGCAAGACAGAGCTGGATCCCAGTGCGAACTGTGTTGTTTTAAGCTTGTTTTAAGTGCGGTTTCTGGATGACAGATCTGGTTTATTTTTATTTATTTATTTATGTATTTTTTTTTTGAGACGGAGTTTTGCCCCTGTTGCCCTGCCTGGAGTGCAATGGTGCGATCTTGGCTCACCACAACCTCTGCCTCCCAGATTCAAGCAATTCTCCTGCCTCAGCCTCCCGAGTAGCTGGGATTACAGACATGCACCGCCACACCCACCTAATTTTGTATTTTTAGTAGAGACAGGGTTTCTCCATGTTGGTCAAGCTGATCTTGAACTCCTGACCTCAGGTGATCCACCTGCCTCGGACTCCCAAAGTGCTGAGATTTCAGACATGAGCTACCGCGCCTGGCAAATCTGGTTTCTAAACGTGGCTCCTCTATGCCCAGCTGGGTGGCTTTGGGCAAACTACTTAACTTGCTGAGCCTCCGTTTCCTCATCTGTAGAATGGGGATAATAGTACCTACCTCATGGGTCTGTTGAGAGGATTGAATGAGGTACGTGTGGAAAGCATTTAGCTCACAGCCTGGCATGCAGTAAGTGCTATTACTGCTTTAAGATGCTAGATTAATGGGAACAGTCCCTATCATCCATCCAGGGCTCCCAATCTCCACCCCGAGCTGGTCTCCTGCCCTCCCTGCCTTACCTTAACCTGCTCCTGAGTGGAGCCTAAGGGAAGGCTGGTTCTAGGGACCCCAGTGGGAGGCAAGACAAGGAGGTCTTGCTGGGAGATTTCTGGTTCCCACACAAGGGTCCCCAAGACTAGCTTCTCCACCTGGAGAGGGTGGGAGACCAGCTGGAACCCCAAGGAGAGTCAATTTTCTGGCCTTGGAATTAGGTATTTTTTGTTTTGAAAATTCCTTGGTATCAAGTTTACATGACTGGGGCCACTGGACCCTGTAGGCAGGGCTGGGGGTACAAAGAGGATCACAAGCCTGGCCTCTTTGGGAGCCATAGCTCAGGCACCACTCAAGGAAGCACATTTGTTCAAGGGATTAGCATTTCTGGATGTCAGTTCAGCGAAGGGTTGGAGGAGGTGGCGATTGAGGCAGACCTCAGAGGATGGGCAGGAAGGGAGCCCTGGGTTGCAAAGGGGATGGGTGTCCCAGAGAGTGAGAGGAGGAAGGAATATGCAGGCAGATGGAAGAGGGTGTGCGGTCAAGGTACTAACAACTGCTTTTGTGTGTGAGTGTGAATGTGTGTATATGTGTGTGTAAGACAGAGTCTCACTCTGTTGCCCAGGCTGGAGTGCAATGGTGTGATCATAGCTGACTGCAGCCTCAAACTCCTGAACTCAAGCAGTTCTCCCACCTCAGCCCCCTGAGTAACTGGGACCACAGGCATACACCACTATGCCTAGCCAATTTATTTTTTATAGAGATGGCATCTTGCTATGTTGCCCAGGCTGGTCTTGAATTCTGGGCTCAAGTGATCCTCCTGCCTTGGCCTCCCAAAGTGCTGGAATTACAAGTGTGAGCCACCACGCCTGACCAGAACTGCCACTTTTGAGTACCTACTGTGTGCCAGGTGCCTAGGGATGTTGTAACAAATTCCACAAGTGGCTTAAAATAACACAAATTAATTAATTAATTAATTTATTTATTTATTTATTTATTTATTTATGACAGAGTCTTGCTCTGTTGCCCAGGCTTGAGTGCAGTGGCGCAATCTTGGCTCACTGTAACCTCTGCCTCTCGGGTTCAAGTGATTCTCGTGCCTCTGCCTTCCAAGTAGCTGAGACCACAGGCACATACCACACCACCAAGCCTAGCTAATTTTTGTATTTTTTGTGGAGAGTGGGTTTCACCATGTTGCCCAGCCTAGACAGATTTATTCTTTACAGTTCTGGAGGTCAGAACTCCAAAATCAGTTTCACTGGGCTAAAGCCAAGGTGTGGGCTGGGCTAGCTCTCCTGGTGCCTCCAGGAGAGAATCTCTTCCTTGCCTTTTCCAATTTCTGGAGGTTGCCTGTGTTTCTCAGCTTGTGACCCCTTGGTGACCTCCAGAAGCTAGAACAGGCAAGAAAACAATTG
Source organism: Homo sapiens (assembly GCF_000001405.40). NCBI lineage: Eukaryota > Metazoa > Chordata > Mammalia > Primates > Hominidae > Homo > Homo sapiens. Next base: position 17,677,817 of record NC_000017.11, on the reverse strand, counting down.
CTTCCATTGTCCCAGCTTCTACTTCCTCCCTTGACCTTCCTGCCTCTGCTCATGAGGACCCTTGTGATTCCATTCCGGTCCACCTGGATAATCCAGGCTAATCCCTCCATCTCAAGAAGACTCTTAATTTATTTAATCACATCTGCAAGGACCCTCTGAATGCTGTCTTGCCTCAACTCATTTTACAGATAAGAAAATCAAGGCTCAGAGAGGTGAAGTCACTGATCCAAAGTCACACAGCAGGTGAGTTTAGTCACCCATTTCATGCATGGAGAGCCCACTGTGGGTCAGACACTGGGTTAGACCCTGGGTTGCAATGTGAAAGTTACCCATGAAGAGTGCTGTGGTGCCCAGGCATGCAGAGTAATGACCTAGTCCTGTCAAGGAATTCAGGGAAGGCTTCCTGGAGGAGGTGATTAGTGAGTTGAGCTTTCAAGAGTGATTTTCCTCTGCCTGCTTTAACCAGGGAGGCTTCTGAACAAACGAGGGCCCTTCCAGAGGAGGACAGCCATAGGCCTAACCATCCTGAGACTGCTCTGAATGATGCTGGTTGAGAGGGCTCAGTCTTCTCAGAAGAGAACTAGGAACTGATCAGGGATCACTGTCAGCAGAGCTAGCCCCAAGACACTTCTGCTGCTGACCCTGCTTGTCATCCTTAGTTGCACACAGGTAGAAGGGTGAGCAGGGGTGTGCACGCTATGCAATGCAGAGGCTCAATAAAGTCAGTGTTGGGGCAGAGTCTCAAACTTGCAGCTCAAAGGCCGAACTCAGGCTGCTAGGTTTGTTTTGATTGGAAAGCAGAGCAAAAAGTGAAAATTTTGAAGTTGACATACGTTGCCAGGTGCAGTGGCTCATGCCTGTAATTCCAGCACTTTGGGAGGCCAAGGCGGGAGGATCACTTGAGCCCAGAGTTCAAGGCTAGCCTGGGCAACATAGTGAGACTCATCGCTACAAAAAAAAAAGTTTTGTTTTGTTTTGTTTTGTTTTTAATTAGCCAGGTATAGTGGTGCATATCTGTAGTCCCAGCTACTTGGAAGGCTGAGGTGGGAGAATCGCTTGAGCCAGGGAGGTCGAGGCTGCAGTGAGCCATGACAGTGCTACTGCACTCCAGCCTGGGGGACAGAGTGAGACCCCATCTCAAAAAAAAAAAATAAGAGAGAGAAAAGCAAGAAAAGAAAGGAAAGAAAGAGAAAGAGAAAGAGAAAGAAAATAAATATCTTTAAGGAATCTAAGTTCTTCGGGGCCCCACCACTACCTATTGTTCTATACCCGCATTTAAATCACCTGGCTGACCAACCCCTCAGCACACCCCGACACACACACACACACATACACACACACACACACACACACACACACACAGCCTTGGGTTTCAGACACCTTCCCCCCAGGGTTCTTAACACTCACATCTGTGTGGCCTTGAACTTCCTGTCTGTTTTCTCATAGGTCAAAAGGAGATCATGTTTCCTGCCTGGAGGAGAGGCCCCGGTGGACTGGAATAGGAGAAAGTGGAGGGGGTGTATTTCAGGATAGAATCCTGCACCCTGCCAGGGACCACGCTTATCCTTGGCTCACTCAATAGGATGCAAGGGCGTTTACTGTGGCCAGGTGATTCCCGCAGCCGCTGTCTCACTAGGTCTCACCTGCATTTCAATAGCCTCCTTGTTCAGATGAGGAAACACACTTAGGGAATGAAGTCACTTGCCCAAGATCACACAGTCATACTTAGAGTAGGGATTCTCCTGGCCTGAGCTCCTGCCCACGCTGCCGCCCCGCCTCCTCTGCGATGAAAACTGGATGGAGGCTCCGGGCTGTTCTTACAGAGCCCAGGCAGAGTGTGAGTGTGCAGGAGGACTCCCATTAGCAAGCATGTAGCTAGTACTTATTTGGCACCTACTATGTGCATTTCAGTCTTATTATCTCCATTTTGCAGAGAACATAGAGGCCTAGAGAGGGGAGGAAACTCTCCCAGAATACCTTCTTCTGTGTAGGTAGCTGTCACCCAGGCTCTCTGCTTAGACAGTAACAGAGGAATGAGATGGAAAATCAGAACTCCTGCCCCAGCTCTGCCACCGTGCCACCAACAGCACGGCCTTGGGTACCTCCTCACCCTCTTTGAGACTCTGGTTTCTAACGAGGAGTGTAGCAATCCGTGCCTCCTGGGCTTATGACGATTTAAAACAGTTCAACATTGTAGAACTCTGGACCACCAACTGTTGCTGCTCCCCCTCACCCCATCAGCCTCCAGCACTTCTACAGAGAAGACAAATGTGAATGTGAACCTTTCTTTTGTAGGTCTTGTGAGTGCCCAGAGCCCTGTGGCAAGAAGCCTCTGCCAGGGAAAGGGATGCGGGGAAGTGGAGGCAGTGATGGGGAAGCAGAGCCAGGAGAGACCCTTGGGCTTCCTTCCTTCAAGGCCTCTGGTCTCTAGCAGAGAGAAGAGAGGGAGCAGGTGAGAGCCCCACTTAGCTCTAGGCAATATTTTTTTTTCAGACAGGATCCCACTCTGTCACCCAGGCTGGAGTGCAGTGGCACAATCATGACTCACTGCAGCCTCAACCTCCCAAGCTCAAGCAACGCTCCCATCTCAGCCTCCCAAGCTCAAGCACCGCTCCCATCTCAGCCTCCCAAGTTGCTTGGACTACAGGTGCACGCTATCACGCCCAGCTAATTTTTGTATTTTTTGTAGAGATGGGTTTTTGCCATGTTGTTCAGGCTGCTCTTGAACTCCTGAGTTAAGTGATCTGCCTTGCCTACCTTGGCCTCCCAAAGTGCTGGGATTACAGGCATGAGCCACTGCGTGCAGCCGAGCCAAACCTCATTCTAGATTCCATCTCCAGGAATAATGATGTGGGACCCACCACACAGCCCCCATAGTCTGGCAAGTGAGACAGACATTGAACCCACTCTAAAGAAGGGTCTCATTATCCCAAGAAAAAGACCACTTTGACCACAAGTCAAAGCTCTGGGAACCAACATTTCTTAGTAATTGGGAAAAAAATGTTTAATTGGAATTTTGTTTTGAAAAATGAAATTTAAACTATGAAAATATACACATTTTATCTTCCACAAACAACATTTAGGTTAATATGCTAATTCTTAGATTAATGTGCTAATACTTAGTGTTATGGTTTGACTGTCCCCTCCAAAACTTATGATGAAATTTATTTATTTATTTTATTTTTTTTTTTTTTAGATGGAGTTTTGTTCTTGTCACCCAGGCTGGAGTGCAATGGCATGATCTCGGCTAAGTGCAACTCCTGCCTCCTGGGTTCAAGCAATTCTCCTGCCTTAGCCTTTTGAGTAGCTGGGATTACAAGTGGCCACCCCTATACCCAGCTAATTTTTATATTTTTAGTAGAGACAAGGTTTCACCATTTTGGCCACGATGGTCTTGAACTCCTGACCTCAAGTGATCTGCCTTCTTTGGCCTCCCAAAGTGCTGGGATTACAGTGGTGAGCCATCATGCCCGGCTGATTTATGATGAAATTTAATTGCCATTGTGAAGGTATTAAGAGGTGGGACTATTAAGAAGTGATTAGGTCATAAGGGCAAAACCCTCATGAATGGATTAATCTCTTTATTGAAGGAGTGAGCTCATGATCAAGACACTGGATTTATTGTAAAAATGAGTTCAGCTCTCTCTTGCTCACTGTCTAGTGCTCTCTTGCCCTTCTGCCTTCCACCATGGGATGATACAGCATGAAGACCCCCACCAGATGCTGGTGCCATACTCTTGGACTTCCCAGTCTTCAGAAGCATGAGCCAAATAAATTTCTATTGTTTACAAATTACCCAGAGTGGTATTCTGTTTTAGCATCAGAAAATGGAGTAAGACAATTAGAGTACAAAAAGTTCATTGGAGTAGGCATAGTTCTTCCCACAAAATTGCCTGATGGTCCTTACTAGAACCTTCTGGGTCCTAACAACCAGAATGCTTCATCACATCCCCCTGAGTTCTTTGGGCCACTCTGAGTTCTATGACATTCAAATCATTTTCTTCCAAAGCACAGGTTCATCTTTCTTCACGTTGGGGGTTTTCATTATTTAGACAGGGCTGACCCAGCCAGATAGATAGATCCTTGGTTTGTCAGCCACTGTGTGCAGAACCCAGGAGCTCTCCAACGTAACTCTCATCAACTTCAAGAAATTCTACAACTTTGAAGTTTTCCTTTGCTACCAGCTTGCATAAGCAGACCTGACAGACAGAAGAGATGCAGATGGGGGGTGGACAGATGCTGGTGCTAGGTAGGGTGAGATGCTTGACTGGGAACGAAGTAAGTGGCCAGGACAGTACTAAATATATTCATGTTTTAACAACTCTTAACTTCCAACTCAGATAATGAATGCTCAGCTATGGGGCACCCTAATCATACAATTAACTGTATCAGCCCAAGATCTCTTGCATCTGGAGTTAGCGAGGGATAAAATTCCATCTTGTTTAAGCCGGTGTTATTGTGGATCTCTGTTATAAAGCCTCTGTCCTACCTAATACATCTAGTCTTTTGGTGGTAATTACAATCAATTTTCCTGTGGGCACCATTCTTTCCCACTTATGGCCCATGTGGTTCAGGCTGGGCGGTCCCTACCTCTAGGATGCAGAGATTGTCACGTGACTCAGGTTTGACCAAACTGCCCCATTTGCCTGGCCACAGGGATTGGTTCAGGAATGGTTCGAATGACCTAAGCCCTCCAGGAGTTTTGCTGGAAGCACTGAGCTTTGCTGGAGCCTCCAGGGGTAGTTGTTGAGACTGTGGGTCTGAAAACAGAGCCAATGGGGAAGAATGAGGAGTTGAGAGACATGGAGACACCTTCTGGGCACCTGGATTCAGCTGCGCCTGAAGCTCAGCAACCCCAGGACTTTAAGTCACTTGAGCCAATACATTCACCTTTTATCATAAACCAGTTTGAGCTGGTTTTCTGTCACTTGCCTGAAAAAGAACTGAGACTTTACACAGAGAAGAAAAATTTGGAATGGGGAGAAAAGGAGAATGAGCACTGTCTTCAAAGATCTAAAGGGCCGCCTGGGCTTTGTGTGATCACACACAGACTGTGTGGTTCCAGTGGGCAGAGGGACTGGACCAGGCTTCTGGCTCTTTATGAGGAACTTTCCCACAATTAGAGCTGTTCAAAGAGGGCCCCAGGCAATTTCAAGAGAGAGAGAGGAAGCTTCCCGTTTCTGGGGGTATGCAAACAGAGCCAGGATGTGGTGAAAGAAACTCAGGCTGACTAGGAGGACAGAGATCCTGTAATTTGTGAATGTGACTTAGTACCTCCAACCAGCTTTCATGTAGAGCCGGAGAATATCAGTCACACCCAATCTTTAATTATAAAATATTTAAGATATTCAAGAAGGTATGGAAGATAATTCACTGATCACTCCTGCATTCACCACTGTCAGCTCAAGAAATAAAACCACCAGGACAGCCGAGCTGCTGACCACAGACCCCTCCACCCTCCTGATCCCCCGCTGGTCATTAAGCTTTGACTACCCATGCACAGTCCTAAGGGATATGTACTTCAGAGGTCTTTTTTAAATAGAGGGGTTAGAATTGCCATGCTTTCAGGCCCTACAGATTTTTTGTTATTAAATAAAAGTGCTTAGCTACTAATAAAACATGTGTTTTCTTTCTTTTTTAATAATAGAAAAGTATGACAAGAGCAGTCCCTGAACAGTTTTTCATCTTGTTTATATGAAAGCCATTTCCTCACCTCCCCTCCCCACCCCCGCCACCCAGCCTCCCACACCTCGCTGTTCCCAGCTCTGGATTCCATCTCTGGGCTCTATTCCCTGCTGATAATCACAATTCCAGGATTGAGACTGAGATAAGGCGTATCAAGCACTTTGCACATTCCCTGGCATATAGTAAGCACTAATTTTAGCACTAGTTGTCATTATCACTGTCATTGCCATCTCGGGAATTGCTCCACCCCCATCCCTTCCCCTTGGCAGGAAGTTGCCAACCCTCCACTGCCTCTGCTCACCCACCTTCTTCAGGTTGTCCTGAAATTCCACTGATTTTACCCTTCACTACCTGCCAGACCACAATCTCTGCAACTGGTTTCCTTGCCTTCGGTCTCAAACCCCCATTCACCCTCCTCACGGTGGCCCAAGCAATTGTTCCTTTCCAGTATGTGGCTCCCTGGCTTGCCCCCACCTCCGTGATGCCCCCAAGGCCCCATCCCTGCAGACTGACTTGCAGGTTCCTCAACTACCTCTTCCCTTACTCCTCTGAGCAGCCCCACGTGCTGTTCCCTCTGCCCAAGATGCCCTTCCCCTCTTGCTCTGTCTGGCTCCTCCCTCCATATCCTTCCAGGCTTAGCTCAAGAGTGGGCTCCTCCAGGATGCCCTCCCAGGCCCCCCGGTCAAATCAGGCTCCCGCTCCCTGGGCAGTGTGCCCAGGCCTACTCTACAAGCCTCTAACAGCCTCTGGGATCATGATTCTTTGTGAGTCTCCCTTGCTCCAGGTGGCGAATTTCTTGAAGGCAGGAGGAATGCTGTCTTCCTCAGCAAATCGCTGTGGCATAGCAATTTAAAAAATAGTATCCCTGACTTTTCTAAGCTTTTTGCTCCTTCCAACTCGCTTATGCTTCCCAAGAACCCGGGGGGGAGGTCCTGAACCAGCCCCATTTTACAGATGAGGAGAGGAGGCAGCGTGTGTGTGTGCTTCCTGCGGCTGCTGGAACAAATGACCACAAACCCAGTGGCTTAAAACAATGCACATCTATTCTCTTACAGTTCTGCACGCCGGAAGTCCAAAGTCAAGGTGTGGGCAGGGCTGGCTCTTCCTCGAGGCTCTGGGGGAGAATCCTTGCTTCCATCCTCATATCACAGCAACCTCCGCTTCTATCGGCGTAGCTCCTCCTCTCAGTCGAAGCTCCCTCTGCCTCTTTCTTATATACAAGGACACTTGTGATTACATTTGGGGCCCATCCAGATAGCCTGCAACAATCTTAAGATCCGTAATCTAATTACGTCTGCAAAGACCCTTTTGCCACCTGAGGGAGCACTGGTAGGCTCCGGGGATGAGGGTGTGGGGTCCTGGGAGGCCTCTGTGCAGCTGCCTCAGAGGGTAGCAGTGGCACAGCTGCAATGTGGACCCGGGGGGTCTGGCTCCAGATCTCGGTGCCATAGCACTTCCCTTGAAGATGGTTCCCTGATTGTGGGGCTGGCCGTATGGCAAGGCATTCCAGGCAGAAGGAAGAGAGCAGCCCCGGCCTCCAGGCAGGAAGGCAAGGGTAACATGGGAGGAAAATCTGGCCTCCGCCAAAGTGAGGCACAACCAATATAGCTTTGTGGGCAGAGAGAGGGCACAGGTTACTTGGACCCTGATGGGGCATTGTTCTCCTTGGCCTGCATGCTGCAGGCCAAGGCTATGGAGCCTCCATGGAGGGCGGGGATGCACCTGTTCCTCCCACCTCCTCCCCATACCTAAACACCTTCAAAGAACAAAGGAAGAAAGGAGGCTAAGGAAGAAGGGAGGCTGTGTGTCCCTTCATGGATGTAGTGTTTAGAACGTGCCAGGCCGTGAGCTAAACTATTTGTGTCTGTCTCTCATTTAATCTTTACAACCATAATACCTTTTATACCTATTTAATAAATGCACAAATTGAGGCTTATTAACAATGGCTAGTATATCTTGAGCATCAGCCACAGGCCAAACTCAACATAGGTTTGTGCTTATGTAATGCTCACAGCTCCCAGCAGCCCTGTATGGAGGGGTGCCATCTGTCTGTATGGAGGGGGAAACAACTCATTGATATAAGTGAGCAGTTACAGAATGCTGAGGACGGTGTGGGCAGGTGGGAGGCCTCAATCGGGCACTGGAGCTGTAGTTTGGCATGAAAGTGGGGGACTGGCAAGGTCGAGACCAGGAGCAGATGGGGCTTGGGTGGGTGCAAGGAGCCCCCCAGGCCCCTCCCTGTCAGCCATGAGCAGCCGGGAGGTGTGCAGGCCCTGTAGGGAACCAGCATTGATCCCAGGCTGTGGGATGGGGGTGGGGAGGGAGTAGGAGAGGGGCTGGGGCAGGGAGTGGGGAAGGGAGGATGGGATGGGGAGGGAGTGGGAGTGGGGGAGGGGAAGGGAGGATGGAGGGAGGAGGGAGTGGGGATGGGGGTGAATGGGAGGGAGTCAGTGAGGTCCTTGAGGGTCACCATAGTAACAGGAGCCAGCTCTGCTCTGAGGCCTGAGTCTGAGCCACCACGGGGAAGGAGATAAAAGGTTTTCTATCGATCTCTGTTGGGAAAGTCATCAGTGATAAGCTGGGCTGGAGGGGCCGGCTGGCGGGAGTGTGCATACTGGCTGCACACGCATGGCTCAAGGGTGCCCAGGGAGCCCCCACAGACTGCGGTCAGACTGTTTGGGAGGTGACCGCTTGAGCCAGGGAGGGGCTGGGCTGGAAGCCACGTCTATCTGCTTCTCCTTTAACGGGGGCAGCTGGCTGGCTCAGCCTCCTGCCTCAGCCTTCCCTTCTGCTCAGTGGGGCAGTTGGGCCTAGGCTGCCTCCCTGGGGTGGGGGATGAGTCAGGGATGCAGAGGCGGGAGGGAGAGAGGAGCTCAGATGCCGTGGCTGCTCTGTGGTCTGCACTGGAGGTTTGGCTGCAGGAAACTGGTCCTTTCTCTTCAGAAGTGCAGGCCCATCTGGGGCATCAGCAGCCACAGCTGGGGTGGGCTGGCAGTCTTGGGTGAGGACAAAGACTCCAGCTGCCCAAGAGCCAGGGCCAGACTGTCGTCCAAGGCCCCACTGAGCCAAGGGCATTCAGCTCAGGGCCCGTGTGTGTGTGTGTGCGCGCGCGCGTGTGCGTGTGTGTGCGCAGGTGTGGGCATGTGCAGCTGTGCCAGTGCCCCGCTAGGCCTTGAGTGTGTACAGGTCACCTGCCCCTGCCTGTCTCTGTCTGCACTCTTTCCCTCCACAGGTGTTAGAGCCTGCAATGCCCCGGATGCTGGGCTGGGTAGGGGTGCAACAGTGACTGAAGCAGACACAAATCCATGTCCTCATGGAGCCAACATTCTAGTGGGTATCTGGGGCAGGAGAGAGACAGACAAAATAGAAAGGTAAATATAGGAGCTATGGATGATGAGTGTCCCAGGGGGTGCGGGAGGGGGTGGGAGGGGGAAGCAGCTTGTTAGTTAGGTGAGAGAAGGTGGTCTTAGAGCCTCTAGAGACCTGAGGGAGGCAGGGGACAGATGTGTGGGGAGCTGGGAAGAGGAGACAGCAGGTGTAAAGGTCCTGAGGCAGGAGTGTGCCGGGAGCAGTGGGGAGGCCTGTGGGGCTGAAGAGCAATGCATGGGGGCAGAGAGCAGGAGGCAAGGACAGAGAGGGTCAGGACCAGCTTGGGTGGCCACAGTGTACAGTGGGGCCTCTGGCTCAGACCCTGAGTGACGGGGTCCTTCAGGGAGAGCTGGGATCTCCCCTAGGTCCTCACAGTGCACCCTGGCTGCTGAGAGGGGCCAGGGCAGGAGCAGGAGGCCTGGGAATCCAGGGGGCCCTGGCCAGGGTGGGGCTGTGGGCAATGAAAAGATTCCAATTCCAAATATACCTTGAAGGTAGAATAGACAAGAATTTCTGACGTGGGGTGAGGAGAGGAGCCCAGGACACTCCAGAGTTTTCCACCTGAGCAAGAGCAGGGTGTGGCCTGAACAACAGATGGCGTGCCCAGGCCCTCTGTGGCATCTAACTGTTGTTAGAGGCCCAGGTGTAAGGAGGGAGGGGTGTGCATCTGTCCACACACGTGGGTGGGGTGTGTGCAACTCTGTGTGCAGCCCTAGAGGGCCAGGCTGGGGTCTCAGGGCTGCTGGTTGGAGCCTTACCCCATTCCTGATGGGGCCAGCTCCCAGCCACCGCTGGAGGCAAGAATGGCCCCTTCCTGGCTTGCTCCTGGGGGGCACTCAGCTCTTTCTGCTCTCCTGAGTCCCTAGAAATGAGGGTGCACTCAGCCATGCCACAACCCCTGCCCTTCTCCTTCCTGCTGCCCTCCAGGGCCTGTGGGATGGGGGCAGCAGACAAAAGGGAGAAAAAACCAAGGAGGGAGGGGCCATGGCAGGCCCCTGAGAGTCATCTGTGGGGTGAACACAGCCCTTTAGACATAACCCTCCCAAGACCCCCACCTGTTGCTGGGATGGACGTTGTTGGAGTCTGTTCTGGGGCCCCTGAGAGGAGGAACCTGCCCAATAGCAGAGACACTGACCCCCACGCTGAGGTCACCTCCCTCCAAAGCCAGAAAAAAATCCCATTGATCCACTCAGCTCTCAAAGTTCATCTACCCTCCTTCTCCATTTCCCCAAATCCTGGTCATTCTCCAAAACCAGCTCACCCTCTGGCTTCTGGGAACCTGGTGAGGCACCAAGAAGGTGGGTGCTTGAGTCAGCCAGAGGGCTCATGCTTCTGCCCTGCCACCTGTTGCTGTGTGACCTTGGGCAAGTCACATCACCTCTGAGCAGGCACTTCCTCCCCCTGTAACTTGGAGCTGCTAACAGCTTCTCTGTGGGGCCGTTCAGAGGTAAGCTGCACAGAGGACTTAGCTGTTGCTTCTGTGAGCCTTGGTTTCCTAATCTGTCAAGGGCTGTGGGAAGATGAAGTGAGACACTGTGGAGGCCCAGCTTGGAGGCCACGGTGTGCCTCCCCTGAATTCATACCTTCCTGCTCCCAGGACCTACCCATCCGTCTCTCTGTGCTCCTCACTCTACTTCTCTGAGAGCCCCACTGTTCTGGGGAGCTCTCACCAGCCATGGTCACAGGCTCTTGGGGCCTATGGTGTCAGCGCTGATGGGGTCTCAGGTCTGTCACTGTACCCGGCCCCACAGCCAGAGCTAAGTTTGGGAGCTGGCCACGGAGTGTCTGCGGCTCATGATGGTAGGCTGAAAAATGGCCCCTAAAGATATCCAGGTCCTCATCCCTGGAACGTGTGGGTGTCCCCTTTACAGCCAAAAAATGGGCTCCTGCAGATGTGCAAAGTTAAAGGTCTTGAGATAAGGAGATGATCCTGGGCTATCTAGGGGTTCCTTAAATGCTGTCCCTAGTGTCCACAACAGAGAGAGGCTGAGGGAGACTCGACAACACAAGCACGGAGGAGGAGACTGCGCGGCCACCGAGGCAGAGACCAGAGTGATGCAAACACAGCCAGGGATCACCAGGGCAGCTGGCTGAGGCTGCAAGGGGCCCTGCACAGGTTCTCCCCTGGCGCCTCCGAGGGGGCACAGCCCCACAGACGCCATGACTCGAGACCAGTGATACTGATTTTGGACACCCAGTCTCCAGAACTGCAAGAGAATCATTTCTGCTGTTCTAAGCCCCGACATGTGTAGTAACTCTTTACAGCAGCAACAGGGAACGAACACTCACAGCTTAGGATTTCCTGGCTACCGCCCAGACCTCGCCCTGCCTCATGTCCATCCAGAGCTGGGCGTGAGTGTGTAGGGTGTGCAGGTGGCCATTTACTCCTGTAGGCCAGCAGGGGCCCGGGGATCCTGGGCAGGTAGAGGGGATGGAGGATGGACAGGCTCTGGAAGCCCAGACCACGTGGATGTTCTGTGAACTGCTGGACCCTCAGCCCAGGCCCAGGAGCATGGGAGGAGTAAGCCACAGAGCATGTGTTGGCTGCTTGTGTCCACACACAGCTGGGGGGTGTGTTTGGTGCATGTCCACGTGGTGGGTTGTGCGGGTATAGAGGTGGGGAGTAGGCACTTGTGCACCTGGTATAGACCCAGTGGAAAACCCAGGTGTGCCAGAAACAGCCAGCTTCCTTTTTTCTTTTTCTTTTTTTTTTTTTTTGAGATGGATCTCACTCTGTCACCCAGGCTGGAGTTCAGTGGTGTGATCTCGGCTCACTACAACCTCCACTTCCCGGGTTCAAGCGATTCCCCTGCCTCAGCCTCCCAAGTAGCTAGGATTACAGGCGCCGGCTGCCACGCCCGGCTAATTATTTTGTATTTTTAGTAGAGATGGGGTTTCAGCATGTTGGCCAAGCTGGTTTCGAACTCCTGACCTCAAGTGATCCACCCTCCTCGGCCTCCCAAAATTCTGGGATTACAGGCATGAGCCACCACGCCCAGCCCCTTTTTTTCTTTAAATCATCTTACATCCTGTTCTAAGCCCCTATCCTGCTGGCTGGTGGGCAACTGAATCTCAGCCATTATTGGGAGCTTCTTTCTTCTCCAGAGCCACACAAAGGTCCCAAGGCCATGATGAGTCTGGCCACCGGGTCTGGCAAAGGAGGCCAGCAAAGCTCTCTGAGACAAGCTAGGGACCAGGCTGCCTGCACTGGAGCATGGGGTGGGGTTAGTAAAACAGAACAAAACCAAAATTAATATCTGCTGTTTGTCTAGAACCCTGGAGCTTTGCTGCTCAATATGGTTGTCATTAGCCACGTGTAGCTAGGTACATTTCAATCAATTTAAAAGAAATAAAACTTAAAATTGTGTGTGTGTGTGTGTGTGTTTCTTTTAGAGTCTCACTCTATCACCCAAGCTGGAGTACAAATGGTGCGGTCTCAGCTCACTGCAACCTCCACCTCCCGGGTTCAAGCGATTCTTCCGCTTCAGCCTCCCTAGTAGCTGGAACTATAGGCACATGCCACCACACCCGGGTAATTTTTGTATTTTTGGTAGAGACAGGGTTTCACTCTGTTGGCCAGGCTGGTCTTGAACTCCTGACCTTGTGATCCGCCTACCTTGGCCTCCCAAAGTGCTGGGATTACAGGCATGAGCCACCGCGCCCGGCCTTTAAAATTGTTATTATTATACTAGTCACTTTCTGGTGTTCAGGAGCGGTGTGTGGCCACCCTGTGGGACCTGGTATAGGAAGTTCTATTGGGCTGTACTGCCAGAAGCGTTCAACCACTGACATGAGTTCTGCCCCTCTGAGTGGGGTGACCTGCCCATTTACAGATGGGGATGCAAGGATCAAGCACAAAATGACTTACCCAAGGTCACTGGCAGCAGTTGGCACCTCCAAGCTCCATGGGCAGTGGCACCCCGGGCCACGGGGTAGAGTGGGTGCTTGCCAATGTTGGCTGCTGAGTGAACGTGCCAGTGCCGTCCTCTGCCTCCTTGGAGGAAAGCTGCCTGTGAAGAACAGTCCTGCCCTCGTTCAGAGGTACGGCCTCCTGATCTCAGCCTGGTAAGGCACTGTGTGGCTCTAGCCCTACCTCAGGTACCACACTTTGCCTCTTTGGGACCCTGTGTCCCCGTCCATGAGATGGAGATTGTGACCACTGCATAGGGCTGCCTGGGATTTCCATGAGTTAATGTCTGTGAAGTGCATAGTACAATCTAACTCAATCATACGACGTTTGAGAGATGATGGGATTTGGCACACAGGAATGAGCACTGCGCCTCCTCAGAGTGACTCCCAGAGGTCAAGTTGGGATTTACTTAGACTGAGACCCGCAACCTTATCATGCTTCTAGCATTCATCTGACAAACATCTATTAAGCTTGCTTTTGGGGGCCACGACCGATGTAAGCCTGCAGCTGTGAGGTCTACCCTAGGCTAGGGAAGGTTATTCTGAGAAGAAAGTGAACCCCAAGGAAGGGGAAATCCAGAAGAAGATTCCTGATGACATCTGACAGCTGGATCCAGCTGTTCCTGAAGCTTTTATATTCCTGTTTTGTTTGCCAATAATTTTTTTTGTCATTTACAACTCAAAGCCAGGCCGTCTGGTCCAACCCCTTGTCCCCTGATACTTGATGCTTCTCCATAGCAGCTATGACAGTCTCTGCTTGGATGCTGCTCATGATGGGGATCTCACTACCTACCAAGGGAGCTCTACAAGGGCAGAACCAACTCTGGTGCAAGTGAGAGCTGATAATCTATTGCTCTTGTCTGGAAATGGTGTGCACAGCTGGGAGCTCCCCTGGATTGGATTCAGGGCAGTGGAAAGAGGACCCTTCATGGTTCAGTAGACCTGAATTCAAATTTCAGGCCTGGTGGTGACTCACTGTGTGACCTGAGTGAGGCAAGGGACTTCCCCTACCTGAACCTCAGTTTCAACATCTGTAAAATGGTCTCCCTGGCCACACTGATTTGGTGAGGACACCACGAGGATTAAGCAAGAAAATGTGTGTGAAGCTCTGGGCGCACGCCAGTGTGTGGCACACAGGGGACACCTGAGGGCCACATCCCTCCTGTGGGTAATGCTAATGGACACTGCACACCCATCTGAGAGGGTCCACTCTGCGTCCATAAGAGGTTGGCACTGGGGAGTCCGCACTGGGCCAGGCTGCTCCTGCTCTGCGGAGCGTCTGCTGCAGCTGTGACTCACAGCCCGACCACACTCACAGCCCAAGACTCGGAGCCGTCTGTTGTTATGGCGACGCAAGCCCACTGGAGTCCTGGGCTGTCAGTCATCAAGGTCTGACGCTGGGGGTGTGTTTTGGCGTGTGGGTGTGGCCTGTGTGTTTGTGTAGGGGGATGGGCGTGTGAATGCTATTCCTGCGTGTTCAAGGCAGTGTGCTGGTGTTTGTGTGTGGACTTCCTGTGTGTGCAAGGCTGGGCATGTCTGCATTGAGGGCGTTTGTCTGTGTGTGGTGTTGAGCTGTGTGTGCGGTCTGGGTGTCTGTGGGCTGTGTGTGTGTGTAATGTGCCTTAGGAACGCTGGCCCTGAGGCAGGGTGGACAGGAGGGTGGCCCAGGGAGGGGTGTAGGCCTGGGTGTCTATCGCTCTGACCTGGTGGCCCTGGGTTGGTCACTGCACCTTTCTCAGCCTGTTTCCCCCTCAATAAGCACAGCAGGTTGCAAAGGGCACTCACACTCGCTATTTCATTTAATCCTCCTGTGATCCTGTACCAGCAGCTGCTCACTCAACTCATATTTAGAGTCCACTCTGTGTCAGGCCCTGGGGATACAGCCATGAACAGAGACTTCCTCCGCTGAGGGTCTCCAGTCTCCAGTCTGGTGGGAGATGGACAATACACAAACAAGCAAACAAAACCAGAGACTCCAGTGGGTGCTGGGAGAAGGAACAGCAGGAGGAGGGCACAGAGAGTGATGGGGTGGAAACTGAGGACAGGGTGGTCAGAGAGGTGACTTATGAGCAGAGGTTCTGAGGAAGGAGGCCAGAGTCATGGGAAGAGCATCGCAAGCATCGCAACAGTAAGTGCAGAGGCCCTGAGGCAGGTGGAGGTTCATGTATCTGTGGCCCAACGAGCAGGCCGCGCACTGCAGCGGTGTGGGTGGGATGGGCAAGGCCACTGCCATTTGCAGTTTGTGGATTCCAAGGCAAGTGCACTGGTGAAAACAGCCCATTGTTCATCCACTGATGAATGGAGAGGCAACATGCGGTATGTCCAGACAAGGAAATAGTATTTGTCAATAAAAAGGAACAAATGGCCAGGCGCGGTGGCTCATGCCTGTAATCCCAGCACTTTGGGAGGCCAAGGCGGGCAGATCACTGAGATCAGGAGTTTGAGACCAGCCTGACCAACATGGAGAAACCCTGTCTCTACTAAAAATACAAAATTAGCCAGGCTTGGTGGTGCATGCCTGTAATCCCAGCTGCTTGGGAGGTTGAGGCAGGAGAATCGCTTAAACGCAGGAAGCGGAGGTTGCAGTGAGCTGAGATCGTGCCATTGCACTCCAGCCTGGGCCACAAGAGTGAAACTCCGTCTCAAAAAAAAGGAACAAGCTACTGGTACGTACAAAAATATCAGTGAATCTTAAGTGGATTATGCTGAGCAAAAGTAGCCAGCCTTGAAAGGCTGTAGGCTGCAGGATTCTATTATGTGACATTCCGGGAGTGACAAAATGATAGGGACAGAAAACTAATCAGCGGTTGCCAGGAACTGGGGATGGGGAAAAGGCTGACCTGACCACAAGGGGGCTTGAGGCAGTTATGTGATTTGACACATTTGTCAAAATCCATAGAATTGTATGCTAAAAATTGATGAGTTTAATTGTATGTAAATTATACGTAAATATACCTGGCCACACACCAACACCCAACATCTCACAAAGCTTGGGGCTGAGTGACCCTCCCACCTCCCGGAGAGCTCGTGAGAGCAGCTCTGGGAAACACACTTTTCTTCAGGTCCTGTCATTTCATTTTCAACTGCCTTGTCCTTAATCTGTCTTTGCCGTGAATATAGTAGTTTATTTTCTTTTTTGTTTATGTTTTTGTTTTTGTTTTGTTTTGAGATGGAGTTTTGCTCTTGTAGCCCAGGCTGGAGTGCAATGGCGCGATCTCAGCTCACTGCAACCTCCGCCTCCTGGGTTCAAATGATTCTCCTGCCTCAGCCTCCTGAGTAGCTGGGATTATAGGCGCATGCCACCACGCCCAGCAAATGTTTGTATTTTTAGTAGAGATAGGGTTTCACCATGTTGGCCAGGCTGGTCTTGAACTCCAGACCTCAGATGATCCACTTGCCTCGGCCTTCCAAAGTGCTGGGATTACAGGCATGAGCCACTGTGCCCAGCTGGTAATTTCTCAGTAAATATTTGATCAACCGATCTGGAAATGCTTCGCATCCAAAACTGAGGGCCCTTGTTCTCAGCTGCTGAGGAAAGACCAGGCAAAAGCGTCAGGGGCTTGACCAGGAGGGGTGTGTGCGTATGCTCGTGTGTGTGTGTGTGTGTGTGTGTGTGCACGTGCGCATGTGTGTGAGGCAGGGCTCAGTGCACACCATGCTGAGTGTTTTTAGCAGAATGTGGTGGTCCATGGAGGGCATGAGCACCCCAGTTCTCCTTCCTGGCACCAGCCAAGGTGAAGTGCGCTTCTTCACGCGCTTCAAGGTCAAGGCTGTCTGTAACTTGCTTTGGCCAATGAAATGTGAGCAGAAATGAGGATGTCACTTCCCGGAAGCAGCTTCCGGAGTTGGTGTGCAATTCTTCACTTTCCTTTCCCTGAGCTGGTGAGACCCCATCAAAACAGAATCTCAGTCAGCCTGGACCCAGACTGGCTGCACCATGTAGTGTCTTCCTGCTCCCTGGTCAGACGTAGCATGAGCAAGAAATCAACTTTTGCTCTTTATGTATGTATGTATTTTTTTTAATAGACTTTCTTTCTTGTTGGAGCAGTTTTAGATTCACAGCCAAACTGAGTGGAAGTTGCAGAGATTTCCCATGTCCTTGCTGCCCCCACATGTGCACAGCTCCCCACCCCCATTGTCAGCACCCCCCGCCAGATGGTACATTTGTTCCAGTCCTGAACCTACATCGACACATCATTATCACTGGAAGTCCGTGGCTTAGGTTAGGGTCCCTCTTGGTGTTGTTCATCTGTAGTTATAATGCCATGGGTCATACTGACTTGTTCCACGGCCTTGCAATTTCTCTGTGCTCTGCCTATTCATCTTCCCCATAAACCCTGACTTTTTTTTTTTTTTTTTTTTTTTTTGAGACAGAGTCTTGCTCTGTCTCCCAGGCTGGAGTGCAGCGGCACAATCTCGGCTCACTGAAACCTCCACCTTCCAGGTTCAAGTAATTCTCCTGCCTCAGCCTCCCGAGTAGCTGGGACTACAGGTATGCACCACCACGCCCGGCTAATTTTTGTATTTTTAGTAGTATGGAGTTTCACCATATTGGTCAGGCTGATCTTGAACTTGTGACCTCGTGATCTGCTCACCTCGGCCTCCCAAAGTTTTGGGATTACAGGCGTGAGCCACTGTGCCCTGGCCACAAACCCTGACCTTTTTACTGTCTCCATAGTTTTGCCTTTTCCAGAATGTAACATATTTAGAATCACACAGTATGTGGCCTTTTCAGATTGGCTTCTTTTACTTAGTAAAATTCATTTAATATTCCTCCATGTCTTTTCGTGGCTTACTAGCTCATTTCTTTTTAGCGCTGAATAATATTTCATTGTCTGGGTGTGCCACGGTTTATTTATCCATCCACCTACTGAAGGACATCTTGGTTGCTTCTAAATTTTGGCAACTATGAAAAAAGCTGCTATAAACATCTGTGTGCTGGGTTTTTTGTGGATATATGTTTTCAACTTATTTGGGTAAATACCAAGAGGCATGACTGTTGGATCACATGGTAAGAATCTGTTTCATTTGTAAGAAAATTGCGTGTCTTAACTCAGGCTGCCATAACAAAATACCACAGGCTTTGTGGCTTAAACAACAGAAATTTATTTCTCACAGTTCCGGAGGCTGGAAGTCCAAGATCAAAGTGTGGGCAAGGTAGGTTTAATCCCGCAGCTCTTCTCTGGGCTCAGAGATGGCTGCCTTCTCGCTTTGTCCTCACAAGGTGGGGTGGGGAAGAGAGAGAGGCAGCCAGCTCAGAGCTTGCTCTCATGTCTCTTCTTATAAAGACACTCATCCTATTGGATTGGGGCCCCATCCCTATGATCTCATTTAGCCTTAATCACCTCCATAAAGGCCCTGTCTCCAAATAAATACAGTCACAAAGTGGGCTGGGGCTTCAGCATACGAAATTTGAGAGAACAAAAACATTCAGTCCATAACACTGCCAGACTGTCTTCCAAAGTGGCTGTATCATTTTGCATTCCCACCAGCATGAGTGAGAGTTCCTGTGGCTCCACATCCTCACCAGCATTTGATGTTGTCAGCATTCTGGATCTTGGCCATTCTGATAGGTGTGTAGAGGCTCTCACTGTTGTGTTAATTTGCATTAACCTGATGATGTATGATGTTGAGCCTCTTTTCATATGCCTTTTTGCTTTCTGTGTATCTTGGGTGAGGTGTCTGTTTAGATCTTTTGTTTTTTAGAGATGGGGTCTTGCTATGCTGCCCAGGCTGAACTTGAACTCCTGGGATCAAGCAATCCTCCTGCCCTACCCTCCTTAGTATCTGGGACTACAGCAGTATGCCACCACATCCATCCCTATTTTTTAACTGGATTGTTCATTTTCTTACTGTTGAGTTTTAAGAGTTCTTCATAAATTTTGGATAACAGCCCTTTATCAGATATGTCTGTGGCAAATATTTTCACCCAGTCTCTGGCTTGGCTTTTCATTCTCTTGACAGCCTTTTGTAGAGCAGAGCAGAAGTTCTTTATTTTAATGAGGTCCAACTTACTAATTCTTTCTTTCACAGATTGTCCCTTTGGTGTCGTATCTAAAAAGACATTGTGCGACCTTGATTGATTGATTGATTTATGGAGACAGGGTCTTGCTCTGTCACCCAGGCTGGAGTGCAGTGTGGGCAATCACAACTTGCTGCAGTCTTAAACTTCTGGGCTTAAGTGATCCCCCTGCCTCAGCCTCCCCAGTAGCTGGGACTGCCAGTGTGTGCCACCATGCCTGGCTAATTTTTAATTTTTTTGTAGAGACGTGGTACTTCACTATATTGTCCAGGCTGATCTTGAGCTCCTGGCCTCAACTGATCCTCCTGCCTCTGCCTCCCAAAGTGCTGGGATTACAGGCATGAGCCATGCACTGCCCAGGTGCAAACTTTGTTCTTAAAAGCTGGCCAGGCACAGAGGCTCAATGCCTATAATCCCAGCACTTTGGGAGGCCGAGATGGGCAGATCACTTGAGGTCAGGAGTTCAAGACCAGCCTGGCCAACATGGTGATACCCCATCTCTACCAAAAAATACAAAAATTAGCAGAGCATGGTGGCAGGTGTCCGTAGTCCTAGCTACTCAGGAAGCTGAAGCAGGAGAATTGCTTGAACCTGGGAGGCGGAGGTTGCAGTGAGCCGAGATCATGCCAGCCTGGGCAACAGAGTGAGACCCTCTCACCACTCACAAAGCTGCAGCTGGAGCCAGTGACACTGCTGTAGGGACACGTGCCTTTGCAGCAGGGAGGAGCTTCTCCCACACTTTCCCACCAGAAAGCATTCTGGTCACACATGTCAGTGAATCTAATGGTCAGAGCCAAGTTCACATCTAGAACCGAGCTGCAAGGGAGTCTGGGACTATGATTTCAGGTTTCCAGACTCACTATTCAGGAAAGCATATGAAAAGGAGGTAGGGACAGGGGCTGTAGGCCACTTGACTTTGGTCAATGCAGGGGGGCAGTGGGAATTGAGGGGGGGTCACCACTGCAAATGAGAAGAGGCAGAGCATGAGACATGGGAAGGATACCAGGAGGGGTGAGCAGGCTCAGACTGGGTAGAGGGTTGAAAGGAAGAGGGTGCCCCAAGGAAAGAGCAGAGGCCAGAGGTTGGCACTGGCCAGGTGGAAAAGGCTGGGGATGAGATGAGAGAGGGAGGGGGTAGATTACAGTGTGACCCTGGATGTAATGGGTTGAATAGTGTCAAAATTCATGTCCAACCTGACTGTTAGGATTCGACCTTACTTAGAAACAGGGTCTCTGTAGATATAATTAGTTACAGATCTCAAGGTGAAATCATTCTGGATTTAGCTTGTAATCTTAGTGCTTTGGGAGACCACTGAGGAAGGAGGATCACTTGAGGCCAGGAGTTCAAGGCTGATCTATCATCGCACCACTGCACTCCAGCTTGGATACAGCACTGCACTCCAGCTTGGATGACAGAGCAAGACCCTGTCTCAAAAAAAAAAAAAAAAAAAGAGAAAAAAAAAAAAAAAACAGGGGAGGACACAGAGACACACATCTTCCCATGTGAAGACTAAGGCAGAGATTGAAGTGATGCAGCCACAAGCCAAGGAATGCTGGGAGGCAGGAAAAGATCCTTCCCTAGAGCCTCTGGAGGGAATGCAGCCCTTTCAGATACCCTGATTTTGGACCTCCAGCTCCAGAACTTCAAGAGAATAAATTTGTTGTAAGCCACCTTGTTTGTATTGCTTTGTTACAGCAGCCACTGAAAATGAATACACTGGCCGAGTGAGAAAGTTTTGATGTTTGTCCCCTCCACATTTCATGTTGAAATGTGATCCCCAATATTAGATATGGGGGCTGGGCATTGTGGCTCACACCTGTAATCCCAACAATTTGGGAGGCCAAGACAGGTGGATTGCTTGAGTTCAGGAGTTCGAGACCAGCCTGGACAACATAGTGGGACCCCATCTCTAAAAAAAAGATCCAAAAGTAGCCACATGTGGTGGCACATGTCTGTAGTCCCAGCTACTTGGAAGGCTGAGGTAAGATGATTGCTTGAGCCCAGGAGGTTGAGGTTGCAGTGAACTGTGGTCGCACCATTGCACTCTAGCCTGGGAGACAGAGCAAGACCCTGTCTCCAAAAAAAAAAAAAAAAAAATATATATATATATATATATATATATGTGTGTGTGTGTGTGTGTGTATATATATGTGTATATATACACACACATATACACACACACATATATAATGTGTGTGTGTATATATATATATATATATATATATATATATATATACCTATTTTATTTTATTTTATTTTATTTTGAGACGGAGTCTTGCTCTGTGGCCCAGGCTGGAGTGCAGTGGCGTGATCTCTGCTCACTGCAAGCTCCGCCTCCCAGGTTCACGCCATTCTCCTGCCTCAGCCTCCTGAGTAGCTGGGACTACAGGCACCTGGCACCACGCCTGGCTAATTTTTTGTATTTTTAGTAGAGACGGGGTTTCACTGTGTTAGCCAGGATGGTCTCGATCTCCTGACCTCGTGATCCGCCCGCCTCGGCCTCCCAAAGTGCTGGGATTACAGGCGTGAGCCACCACGCCCAGCCTATATACCTATTTTACACACACACACACACACACGTGTGTGTGTGTGTGTGTGTGCATATATATATGAGTATATGAGGTGGGGGCTGGTGGGAGGTGTTGGGGTCATGGGGGGTGGATCGCTCATGAATGGCTTGGTCCCTCCCTACAGCAATGAATTCACACGAGATTTGGCACCTCCTTTGCTTTCTCTCCTGCTCCCTCTCAC
The DNA here is from genome assembly GCF_000001405.40 of Homo sapiens. Lineage (NCBI taxonomy): Eukaryota > Metazoa > Chordata > Mammalia > Primates > Hominidae > Homo > Homo sapiens. The sequence continues at coordinate 17,656,081 of NC_000017.11, read as the reverse complement.
CATGTGACACACCTGCTCTCTCTTCACTTCCCACCATGATCAGAGGCTTCTTGAGGCCCTCACCAGAAGCAGATGCAAGCCCTGTGCTTTCTGACCAGCCTGCAGAGCCGTGAGCCAAATAAACCTCCCTCCCCTCCCTTCTCTCCCTCCCTCCCTCCCTCTTTCTTTCTTTCCTTTCTCTCTCCCTCCCTTTCTTTCTCTTTCTTTCTTTCTTTCTTTCTTTCTTTCTTTCTTTCTTTCTTTCTTTCTCTCTCTTTCTCTCTCTTTCTGTGTTTCGCTCTTGTCGCTCTCTCTCTCTCTCTCTTTCTCTCTTTCTGAGTTTCGCTCTTGTTGCCCAGGCTGGAGTGCAATGGCATGATCTCGGCTCACCGCAATCTCCACCTCCCAGGTTCAAGCAATTCTCCTGCCTCAGCCTCCTGAGTAGCTGGGATTACTGGCATGTGCCACCACGCCCAGCTAATTTTGTATTCTTTGTAGAGATGGGGTTTCTCCATGTTGATCAGGTTGGTCTCGGAGTCCCGACCTCAGGTGATCCACCTGCCTTGGCCTCCCAAAGTGCTGGGATTACAGGCGTGAGCCACCGCGCCTGGCCAAACCTTGTTTCTTTATAAATTACCCAGCCTCAGATATTCCTTTATAGCAACAGAAATGGACTAATACAGAATTGGTACCAAGGAGTGAAGTGTTGCTATAAACATACATGAAGATGTGGAAGCAGATTTGGAACTGGGTAATGGCTAGAGGTTGGAAGAGTTTGGAGGGCTCAGAAGAAGACAGGAAGATGAGGGGAGGTTTGGAACTTTTTAGAGAACTGTTAACTAGTGTGACCAAAATGCTGACAGAAATATGGACAGTGAGGGCCAAGCTGATGAGGTCTCAGATGGAAATGAGGACTTTATTAGAAACTGGAGCAAAGGTCACTCTTGCTATGCTGTAGCAAAGAACTTGGTTGCACTGTGTCCATGCCCAAGGGATTGGTGGAAGATTGTACTTCAGAGTGGTGATCTAGCGTATTTGGTGGAAAAAAATTCTTTTTCTTTTTTATTTTTTTTGAGATGGAGTCTCTCTCTGTCACCCAGGCTGGAGTGCAGTGGCACGATCTCAGCTCACTGCAACCTTCACCTCCCAGGCTCAAGCAATCCTCCCACCTCAGCCTCCTGAGTGGCTGGGACCACAGATGTGTGACACCATGCATGGCTAATTTGTATTTTTTGTAGAGATGGGGTTTGCCATGTTGCCCAGGCTGGTCCCAAACTCCTGAGCTTAAGCGATCTGCCCGCCTTGGCCTCCCAAACTGTTGGGATTATAGGCATGAGCCACTGTGCCCAGCCTGGTGGAACAAATTTCTAAGCAGCAAAACATTCAAGATGTGGCCTGGCTGCTTCTAACAACCTGTGATCAGATATGGGAGCAAAGAAATTACTTAAAATTGGAATTTATATTTAAAAGGGAAGCAGAGCATAAAACTGTGGAAAATTTGCAGCCCGCCTATATGGTAGAGAGGGAAAGAACATTTACAGGAGAGGAATACTAACTGGCTGTGGAGCAAGCCCTTTCTAGAGAAATTAGCTTGACTAAAAGAGAGCCAGGTGCTAATAGGCAAGACTATGAGAAAATGGTCTCAAAGGCATTTCAGAAGTCTTCAGGGCCAGGCGCACCTGTAATCCCAGCACTCTGGGAGGCCAAGGCAGGAAGATCGCTTGAGGTCAGGAGCTTGAGACCAGACTGGCCAACATGGTGAAACCCCATCTCTACTAAAAATACAAAAATTAGCTGGACGTGGTGGCAGGCACCTGTAATCCCAGCTACTCGGGAGGCTGAGGCAGAAGAATCACTTGAACCCAGGAGGAGGAGGTTGCAGTGAGCTGAGGTCGCACCACTGCACTCCAGCCTGGGCAACAGAGTGAGACTCTGTCTCAAAAAAATAATAATAAAAATAAAAAATAAAAAGAAGTCTTCAGGACAGTATTTCCCATCACAGGATCAGAGGCCTAGGAGGAAAGACTGGTTTTGGGAGCCAGGCCCAGGGCCCCGTTTCCCTGTGCAGCCTTGGGACACTGCTCCCCACACCCCAGCTGCTCCAGCTCCAGCGTCAGTTCAAAGGGCTCTGGGTATAGCTCTGACTGCTGCTCCAGAGGGTGTAAGCCATAAGCCTTGGCAGCTTCCATGTGGTGTTAAGCCTTCAGGTGCACAGAGTGCAAGAGTGAAGGAGGTTTGGCAGCTCCGCCTGGATTTCAGAAGATGTATCATAAAGCCTGGGTACCCAGAAAGAAGCCTGCCACAGATGTGGAGCCCTTGCAGAGAACCTCTGTGGGGCAGTGTGGAGGGGAAATGTGGGGATGGAGGCCCCATACAGTCCTCACCAGGGCATTGGCTAGTGGAGCTGTGGGGAAGGGTCATTGCCCTCCAGACCTGAAAATGGTAGGCTCACCAGCAGCTTGCATCCTGAGCCTGGAAAATCCACAGGCTCTCAACTCCAGCCCATGAGAGCAGCCATGGGAGCCGCATCTTGCAAATACACGGGGGTGGAACTGCCCAGGGCCTTGGAAGCCCCACCCCTTGTGCCAGTGTGCTCTGCATGCCGGACATAGACTCAAGCATTATGTTGGAGCTTTAAAATTTAACATCTGCCCTGCTGGGTTTCAGACTTTCATGGGGCCTGTTGCCCCTTTTTTTGACCAATTTCTCTCTTTTGGAATGGGAATGTTTACCCAATCCCTGTACCACCATTGTATCTTGGAAGTAAATAACTCAGCCTCCCAAAGTGTTGAGATTACAGGGATGAGCCACTGTGCTCAGCCAACCCGGTTGTTTTAAAGAGCCTGGCACCTCCACCTCTCTCTCTTGCTTCCTCTCTTGCCATGTGATATGCCTTCTCCCATTTTGCCTTCCACCATGAGTGGAAACTTCTTGAGGCCCTCACTGGAAGAAGATGCCAGTATTATGTTTTTGTACAGTCTGCAGGACCAGAAGCCAAATAAGCCTCTTTTCTTCATGAATTACCCAGCCTCAGGTATTCCTTTATAGCAACACATGTGGAGAAATACACCAAATAACTGCTTCCTTAACCAGGGAAGCCCCCAACCAGGGACCGAGCACAGTGGGGTCCTGGAGCTGTCTTTGTCTAGCATGGGACTCCTAGAATGGGCAGTCTTGGCTTTGGAGCTCCTGACTGGGGAGATTTACATCATGGTCTGAGGCTCCCCCCTGCCAAGGCCTGCTTTCTCCCCTTTTATTTATTTTTATTTTTATTTTTTGAGACGGAGTTTTGCTCTTGTTGCCCAGGCTGGAGTGCAATGGTGCGATCTCAGCTCACTGCAACCTCTGCCTCCCAGGTTCAAGCAATTCTCCTGCCTCAGCCTCCCTAGTAGCTGGGATTACAGGCATGCATCACCACACCTGGCTAATTTTTTGTATTTTTAGTAGAGACAGAGTTTCACCATGTTGGTCAGGCTGGTTTCGAACTCCTGACCTCAGGCAATCTACCCACCTCGGCCTCCCAAAGTGCTGGGATTACAGTGAGCCACAGCGCCCGGCCTCTCACCTTTTATTGTTCACAGGTGTTCCTCACCAATATGCTTCTTACACTCTTGAATACAGCTCAGGAACTGAGTCCTGGGTGATCTGAACCAACACAACCAATATCCAGTGTGCAATTTATCATGCCCAAGTAAATGCCCCTGGCAGCTGAGCCACACAGGGTACAGAGAGGAAATGTCCTTTCCTGCACTACTCTGTGTCCTCCCTGGAGCTAGAAGTGATTGCGTTTGGTTTGGTTTGGTTTGGTTTGGTTGTACTTGTCCCAAATTCAAACCCAAGCCTTCTGCCAGTAGTTTGAATCTACTCTCACATCTTTTTTACATATTGTGTGTTCTATAAATTTCATCTTGATGAAATCACTTGAGGGACCTTCTGCCCAGCTCCAATCTGGTTTGACTGCCCTTTCTGCCCAGGGCACAGATTAGATCATTCGGCTATTCCTTCAAGCAACACCTTCGGATCACTTCTTGTCTCTCTCCAGAGGTGGATTTCCTGCTTTTTTTGTCCTGGGATTTCCCTTTCTTGAGAAGGGTGGAAGATGTGCTCTACCAAAATGAGAAAGAGAATAGGGAAGAAAGGAAGGGAAGTAGATTTATTGAAACTTTTCATGTTTGAAAATGCCTTTAGTCTATCTACCTTCCTACTTGATTTGTAGTTTGGCTGGGCATAAAATGAAGATTGGAAATACAGTCACACATTGCTTAATAATAGGGATACATTGGCCGGGCGCGGTGGCTCACGCCTGTAATCCCAGCACTTTGGGAGGCCGAGGCGGGCGGATCACGAGGTCAGGAGATCGAGACCATCCTGGCTAACACGGTGAAACCCCGTCTCTACTAAAAATACAAAAAATTAGCCGGGCGTGGTAGCGGGCGCCTGTAGTCCCAGCTACTCGGGAGGCTGAGGCAGGAGAATGGCGTGAACCCAGGAGGCGGAGCTTGCAGTGAGCCGAGATCGCGCCACTGCACTCCAGCCTGGGCGACAGAGCGAGACTCCATCTCAAAAAAAAAAAAAAAAAATAATAATAATAATAATAATAGGGATACATTAGGAGAAATGCATCATTAGTTAACCTTGTCATTGTGCGAACATCATAGAGTGACTTACACAAACCTATATGGTACAGCCTACTACACCCCTATGCTGTATGGTCTAGCCTGGTGCTCCTAGGCTACAAACCTGTACAGCATGTTACTGTAGTGAATACTGTAGGCAATTATAACACAATGGTAAGTATTTGTGTACCTACACATATTTAAACATAGGAAAGGTACAGTAAAAATATGGTATCTTATGGGACCACCACTGTATATGCAGTCAATGGTTGACTGAAATGTTGCTATGCATTGAATGCCTGTAGTTTATTTCAAGGGCACAGTTCCATCATTCTCTAGCTTCCAGTGTTGCTGCTGAGAAGTACGAAGTCAGTCTGATTCCCATTCCTTTGTATAAGATCTTTCCCACATACCTGCCCTTTTATATTTTCCATTTTTGGGAACTTGTAGAACCTTCTCTTTGTTGCTGATCTTCACAATGATATGCTTTGATAGGAATCTGTTTTCATCCATTATTCTGGCTTCCTGGTAAGCCCTTTCAACCTGTAAAGTCTTGTCCTTCAGTTCTGAGACATTTTCTTGGATTATATAATTGATGATTTCTTCGGCTCCATTTTCTTTTTTTTTTTTTTTTTTTTGAGACAGAGGCTCACTCTGTTGCCCAGGCTGGAGTGCAGTGGCACGGTCTCGGCTCACTGCAAGCTCCACCTTCCAGTTTCATGCCATTCTCCTGCCTCAGACTCCTGGGTAGCTGGGACTACAGGCGTCTGCCACCATGCCTGGCTAATTTTTTTGTATTTTTAGTAGAGACGGGGTTTCACCGTGTTAGCCAGGATGGTCTCAATCTCCTGACCTCGTGATCTGCCTGCCTCGGCCTCCCAAAGTGCTGGGATTATAGGCGTGAGCCACCACGCCCAGCCCCACTTCCGCTCCATTTTCTGTGTTCTCACTTTCTGGAACTCCTATAACTCAGATATTCTCCTATAACTCAGATCCTTCTGTCTGGATCTGTGACATTTCCTTATCTTTTTTATTTTCCATGTCATTTCTTCAATTTTATCTTCTTCTTCTTTTTTTTTTTTTGAGATGGAGTCTCACCCTGTGGCCCAGGCTGAAGAGCAATGGTGCAATCTCAGCTCACTGCAACCTCTGCCTCCCAGGTTCAAGCAATTCTCCTGCCTCAGCCTCAGAAGCTAGGATTACAGGCATGTGCCACCACACCTGATAATTTTTTGTATCTTTAGTAGAGACAGGGTTTCACCATGTTGGCCAGGCTGGTCTTGAACTCCTGACCTTGTGATCCACCCACCTTGGCCTCCCAAAGTGCTGGGATTACAGGTGTGAGCCACCTCACCCAGCCTTCAATTTTATCTTCTAATCCTTATGTTGAGGTTTTAATTTCTATATGTATGTGTGTAAGTGTAAATATATATTACATATCCACTCATATATTGTCCATAAATATGATATATAAATAACATAATTTAGATAATATTAATAATATATTAATAATATGTAGATAATTTTCATGGGCTCTTTTCTGTTCTCTGAATATTCCTTTTTTCTTACATCCTGTTCTTGTTTTGTGGTTGCAATTCTCTTATCTCGCTGAGGATATTGATGAGATTGTCACTCATTTTTGAAGTTTTCTTCTTCCAATAGGGTCTCGCTCTGTCACGCAGGATGGAGTACATGATCCTAGCTCACTGTAGGCATGATCATAGCTCACTGTAACCTCAAACACTTGGGCTTAAGCCATCCTCCCCGCTCAGCCTCCCCAGTATCTCCCAGGACTACAGATGCACACCACCAAGCCCAGCTAGTTTTAAATTCTTTTTGTAGAGATGAGGCCTTGCTATATTGCCCAGGTTAGTCTTGAACTCCTGGCCTCAAGTGATCCTCCTACCACAGCCTCCCAAAGTGCTGGGATTACAGGCATGAGCCACCACACCTGGCCCTCTTTAGGATCCTTGAGCACTGATTATACACTCCATATGCTCTGCTGAACGTTTACAATTCTGCTGTAAGATATATTATCTCCATCTTACAGATTCATAAAAGATAATTGGTTGGGCGAGGTAGCTCACTCCTGTAATCCCAGCACTTTGGGAGGCCAAGGTGGGTAGATCACCTGAGGTCAGGAGTTCGAGACCAGCCTGGCCAACATGGTGAAATCCTGTCTCTACTAAAAATATAAAAATTAGCCAGGTATGGTGGCAGGCACCTGTAATTCAAGATACTGGGGAGGATGAGGCAGGAGAATCTCTTGAACCCAGGAGGCAGAGGGTACAGTGAGCCAAGATCATGCTAGTACACTCCAGCCTGGGCAACAAGAGCTAAACTCTGTCTAAAAAAAAAAAAAAAGAAGATAATCAAAGTTCACCAAGTTGCTTTTTTCTGTTTGTTGACTTTGGTCTTTCTTGTCAGGGGCTTCGCCCAGATTTTGGGTGGCATCTGGACTCTGTCAGAGCATTGCTGACTCACTGCCTTACTCGTGAGTCTGTCGGGCTGCTGTAGCAGAGCACCAAAGACTGGGCGCTCCAACAACAGAAGCTAATTTTCTCACAATTCTGGAGGCTGGAAATGTGAGACCGCAGTGTCAGCACGGTTGATGCCTTCTGAGGCCTCTCTCCTTGGATTGTAGACGGTGTCTTCTCTGTGTGTCTTTACATAGTATTCCCTTTCTATGTGTCTGTCCAAATTCCTGCTTCTTATTAGGGTGTCAGCCGTACTGGATTAAGGCCATCTGTGTGACCTCATTTTACCTTAATCCCCTCTTCAGAGGCCCTATCTCCACATACAGCCACATTCGGAGGTACCGGGGGTTAGGACTTCAACATGGGGGTTTGGGGAGACACAGTGCAGTCCGTAGCACCCCACATAGTCCTGAAGCCATGGCTCTCTGGCCCTGGTTCCACCACTTCTCAGAAATAGCTCCTCCCAGAGTCACCAGCCACCTTCTTATTGTCAATTTCCCCGGAGAGAGGCTCCTCTGTCCTCTCTAGCTGGGTCTTTCAGCAGCATGCGACCCCGTGGCTCCCCCACTTCTCCCGAGAGCCCACCCTCTGTCATTTGTTGGGTCTCCTTTCTCACCAGTTTTCCTCCCACATCTCTGCGTTGTCCTGTGTCCTGGGCTTCTCAGCCTGTCCCTCAAAATTTGGGCAGCTTGGAACCCTGTAGTCTACTCCTTCCACTCCACTAAGGCTGTGAGGTCCAGTGACCACCTGCCTCACAATGACATAGGGTAGGTTGGGGGATGCCTGTTAAAAGCCAGATTCCAGATGAGCACGGTGGCTCCTGCCTATAATTCCGGTACTTTGGGAGGCAGAGGTGGACGGATCGCTTGAGCCCGGGAGTCTGAGAACAGCTTGGGCAACATGGTGAAACCCCATCTCTACAAAAAATACAAAAATTAACCGGGTACAGTGGCGCATGCCTGTAATCCCAGCTACTCTGGAGGCTGAGGCAGGAAAGTCACCTGAGCCCGGGAAGTTGACGCTGCAGTGAGCTGAGATCACGCCGCTGCACTCCAACCTGGGTAACAGAGTAAAACACTGTCTCCAAAAAAAAAAAACCAAAGTCAGATTCCCAGGCCACATCTGACTCTGTCTCAGCCAGCATCTCTGGGGGTGGGGCCCAGGACTCTTTCTCTTTAATAAGATCCCTAAATGATTCTTGAATAAGAATCATTAGTTAGCTACTAAATAGTAGCTAACATTTGCTAAGCAGTCACCAGGCACTGACCTAAGCCCTGGGCAAATATTAACTAACTGAATCTTCCCAGCAACTCTGTGAGATAGGAATGGATTCCTTCCACTTTAGAAACAGGGGAAGGAGACTCAGAGAGATTCAGTAATTCGCCCAACATCATGCAGCTTGTAAATGGCAGTGCTCGGATTCGAGCCCAGGCCACTGGCTTCAGAGCCCATGAAACCACCGCTGTTGGTGTCACAAGGTTTCAGATCTGTCGTTCTGGGAGATCTCAATCATCTGGCACCTGTACTCTCCAAGCCCTCAGATTTGAGCCCAGGGTCTTGTCACCAGCCCAGACCCTCCCCTTAGGCTGACCCTCCTGTCCCTACCTGGATGTCTCTCAGGCACCTCCGACTCATATTCTGGACCTATTCTTCATCTTCTTCCCAGAGCGCTCCTGCCCTAGGGCTTTCCACCCTGGTGAGCCCCAGTATTGAGCCACTAACCTGTCTCCCTCCTTTCTCTCCCTCACCTCCCACGTCCCCTCTCTTCAATCTTGGGTTTCCTAGTGCCTCACTTCTCCTCACTTCCCCTTCCTAACTCCTTGGCCCCATCCCTTCCCCCTGCAGCCCCGAACCCACCTCAAATCCCCTCCCCTGCACATCCCCTTCCCCCTCACAGTCCCCGAACCCACCTCCAATCCCCACCCTCACATCCCCTTCCCCCTCACAGTCCCCGAACCCACCTCCAATTATCCCTACCCCCACATCACCCTTCCCCCTCTCAGCCCCTGAACCCACCTCCAATTCCCTCCCCGCACATCCCCCTTCTCCTTCGAAGCCCTAGAAGCCTTCCCAGTGTGCAAATCTGACCACTCCATTTCCCTGCTGAAGAGCCACCGTGGGCTGCCTGTTGGCGCAGAGGAAATTCTAAATCCCTTTCCTGGCACTCAGGGCCGTGTCCAGCCTTCTCTCTTGCCAGTGCTCTGGGCAGTCTGCAGCTCCCAGAAGCCATCCCGCGCTGCTGGCTTCTGTGCCGGCCCTTTCCCTTGCCTGGGACTCTCTTCTCCCTTCTTTGCCGATGAATTGTTTTTCTTTCTTTCTTTTTTTTTTTTTTTTTTTTTTTTTTTTTTTGAGACGGAGTCTCGCTCTGTCGCCCAGGCTGGACAGTGCAATGGCACGATCTCGGCTCACTGCAACCTCCATCAGGTTCAAGAGTTCTCCTGTCTCAGCCTCCCGAGTAGCTAGGATTACAGGCACGTGCCACCACGTCCCGCTAAGTTTTGTATTTTTTTTTTTTAAGTAGAGGCGCAGTTTCACCATGTTGACCATGCTGCTCTCGAACTCCTGACCTCAGGTGACCTGCCTGCCTTGACCTCCCAAAGTGCTGGGATTACAGGCGTGAACCACTGCACCCGGCCTCTTTCTGAAATTTTTAATTGAGGTAAAATTCACATAAAATTCACCATTGTAGCCATTTTAGAGTACAATTCAGTAGTTTGGGGGATATTCACGATGTTGTGCAACTGCCACTATCTAGTTCCAGAACCTTTTCATCACCCCAGAAGGAAACCTGAACCTCCCCATTTCCCCTGCCCAGCCCCTGGCAACCATGCATGTGCTCTCTGTCTTTGTGGGTTTGCCCATCCTGGACATTCCATATGAATGGACTCATATGTGCTGTTGTGTCTGCTGCTTTTGCTTAGGCAAATGTTTTTGAGATTCATCCATGTTGTAGCATGGATCAGGACATCATTCCTTTTTTGTTTGTTTTTGAGATGGAGTTTTGCTCTTGTTGCCCAGGCTAGAGTGCAGTGATGCGATCTTGGCTCACTGCAACCTCTGCCTCTTGGGTTCAAGTGATTCTCGTGCCTCAGCCTCCCAAGTAGCTGGGATTACAGATGCCACCACCATGCCTGGCTAATTTTTTGTATTTTTAGTAGAGACGGGGTTTCACCATGTTGGCCAGGCTGATCTCGAACTCCTGACAGCTCAGGTGATCCACCAGCCTCGGCCTCCTAAAGTGCTGGGATTACAAGCGTGAGCCACCAGGCCCGACCAACCTTGTTCCTTTTTTAAAAAACTGGCCAGGCGTGGTGGCTCATACCTGTAATCCCGGCCCTTTGGGATGTGAGGTGGGTGGATCACCTGAGGTCAGGAGTTCGAGACCAGCCTGGCCAACATGGTGAAACCCCCTCCCTACTAAAAATACAAAAAAATTAGCCAGGCCTGGTGGCACATGGCTGTAGTCCCAGCTACTTGGCTGGCTGAGGCAGGAGAACTGCTTGAATCTGGGAGGCGGAGGTTGCAGTGAGCTGAGATGGCATCATTGCACTCCAGCCTGGGCAACAAGAGCAAAACTCCATCTCAAAAATAAATAAATAAATAAGTAAAATAAAATGAACTTTATTCCTTTTCAAGGCTCAATAATATTCCACTGTATGGACATACCACATTCTATCTGCCTGTTCATCCGTTGATAGACACCTGGGTCGTTTCCATCTTTGGCTGTTAGGAATAATACTGCTATGGACACTCATGTACAAGTCTTCACGTGGATGTGTCCATTCTCCTGAGTATACACCTAGGAGTGGGATTGCTGGGTCATGTGGTCAGCCTATGTTTAGCTTTTTGAGGGATCAACACACTATCTTCCATAGTGGCTGCTATTTTACACATCCACCAGCAGCGCACGGGGGTTCTAGGTCCCCACATCTCTTCAACACATATTTCCCATTTGTTGGTAGTGACCATCAAGTGGTGTCTCACTGTGGCAGTTAATGCTTCCTTGTCTCTCAAAACTTCATGCCAGGGCCACCTCCTCCAGGGAGATTTCCCTGACACTCTGTTCTGGTTAGGGCACCCCCGGATTCCCACAGGCTCTGAGGCGTTGACCTGTCCCAGGAATAAGCATTCTTCTGCGGCTGTCTGCATACACACGTCCTCCATAAGATGCTGAGCTCACTGAGGGCACGGGGGCCCTGGGGCTGAGCTCAGCGTGAGCTGAATCAGCGATTGCATCCCTGGGCAGTGTTCATCAGCTGCCGTTCTGGTCAGACCTTCATTTGGGGTTTGGTGCCTGGGCACATCTGGGTTGGTGATTTTTGGTGGTGGGTGTTGTCTTGGAAGCCCACCTTGCTCCCATGTGTCCCAAAGGCCCCCACTTCCTCCCTGCCCCACATCCACTTCCCAGTGAGGCCTGAGCGGGGTGTGTGCATGTGCATCTTTGTCCCCAGGCCTACCCGAGCGAGGCTGGGCTTTCCAATGCTTACCCTTGGTCAGGGGCCCATCGTCAGGCCACTGGGGTTATGTTGGGGAGTGGGGTGGGCTTGGGATTGGGGGCTTGATCCTCCTGTCTTGAGTTCAGAGACCTGGGTCTGTGGCCTGCCTGGTTCTGAGTGACCAGGGACAAGTCACCTCCCTCCCCTGGCTCAGCCTTCTCACCTGTAAAGGGATCCACGGCCCTGTCTGTGCAGGTGCAGTGGGTGCCTGTGTTAGTCTGCCAGGGCTGCTGTAACAAAGCATCACAGACTGGGGGCCTCAACAGAACGTCACTCTCTCATGGTCTGGAGGCCGTGAGGCCAAGATCAAGGTGTTGGCAAGGAAGGGCCCTTCCTAGGAGTGTGCGGGAAGGCTCTATTCCAGGCCTCTCTCCTCAGCGTATCAGTGCCGTCTTCTCCCTGTGTCTCTTCACCTCATCAGAATTCCCTCTATGTGTGTGTGTGTCCAAATTTCCCCTTTTGATAAGGACATGGCTCGTACTGGATTAGGACCCATCCTACTGACATCATTTTAACTTAATGACCTTTGTAAAGACCCTATCACCAAATAAGGTTACAGTTGGCTCTCTGGTATCCAGGGATCAAACCAACCATGGATTGAAAATATTCGAGAAAAAAAAATTAATTTAAAATAACAACACAACAACAAAAATACAAATAAAATATAGTATACCAACTATTTATGTAGTATTTACATTGTATTAGACATTATAAGTAATCTAGAGATGATTTAAAGTACATGGGAGGATGCACTTAGGTTATATGCAAATACTATGTCATTTTATTTATTTATTTATTTATTTTCTTTGAGATGGCGCTTTGCTTTTGTTGCCCAGGCTGGAGTGCAATGGTGCGATCTTGGCTCACTGCAACTGCTGCCTCCCAGGTTCAAGCATTTCTCCTGCCTCAGCCTCCCGAGTAGCTGGGATTACAGGTGTGTGCCACTACACCCGGCTAATTTCTGTATTTTTAGTAGAGACGGGGTTTCACCATGTTGACCAGGCTGGCCTCAAAGTCCTGGCCTTAGGTGATCCACCCACCTCGGCCTCCCAAAGTGCTGGGATTACAGGCGTGAGCCACTGCGCCTGGCCACTATGCCATTTTATACACGGGACTTGAGCATCCTTGGATTTTTGGTATCTACTGTGAGGGTCCTGGAACAAATCCCTCGTGGATATCAAGGGACAACTACACTCTTGAGGTTCTGGGGGTTAGGACTTCAACATTAGAATTTTGGGGGATACCCAAGCATGGTAGCTCATACCTGAATTCTCAGTGTTTTGGGTGGCTGAGGCAGCAGGATCTCTTGATCCCAGGAATTTGAGACCAGCCTGGGCAATAAAGCAAGACCTTGTCTTTACCAAAAATAATTTTAAAAATTAGGTGGACACGGTGGTGCACGTCTGTAGACCCAGCTACTTGGGAGGCTGAGGAATGTCGCTTGAGCCCAGGAGTTCAAGGCTGCAGTGAGCTATGATCATGTCATTACACTCCAGCCTGGATAACAGAGGAAGACTCTGTCTCTTAAAAAAAAAAAAAGAAAAGAAAAAAGAAAAGAAAAAAGAATTTTAGGGGGATATCTCCCAAATTAACTATTTGCCCTTATCCCAGGCTCTGCTTCTGGAGGAGCCCAGTGGAGCCACTGCCCTACCTTGCTCTTCATCCCGGTGAGGATCAAGCCAGCAGATGCTGGCCACTGCTCCACGGCCATGGACTCAATACCCAACACAACAGACAAATCCCTGTCCTGTGGAGCTCATGGCCAGGTTGGGGGTGGGGGTGGGGCAGGCTGCAAACGTGCCATTGGTTTGGCTGAGGGTGGGCCTGGGGAGGCTACTTGAGCCCAGGGTGGTCAGAGAAGGCCTTACCAAGGAGGTAATATTTGAGCTGAGACCTGAATGGTGAGAAGATTCCAGCCATGGCAGGTGTCGGGAGAAGAGCACTTCCACTATCGGATACAGCAAAATGAAGCTGTCTCTGCCCCTCCCATCCTACTTCCCAACCACAAGCACTCAAGCCAGGAAGACCTGAGGAGCATGACTTCAGGGAGAAGAGCCAGATTCCTGTCCTGAGAGCAGTGATGGAGGCTGCTTAGTCTGGAGGAGAAAGTGGAGCTCCCTGGATCCTCCAAAGGGCTGTCAGAGGGCAGAAAGGTTGATGAGCTCTTCGTGGAAGTAGAGCAAGAGCCAAGAGTAGATGTTACACGGAGATAGCAAGAACTTTGTGATGAAGACACATGGAGAGTGAGACCCCCACCCTGGACGTATTTAAGCCCAAGCTGGATGATCTCTTGGCAGGATACCATAGAGGGGACCCAGAAAGTCTGGGTTCGCTGTCAGAAGCACCCAGACAGGGCCAGCCCTCTGATTTTCAGCTGTGGTAACAGTGGGCCTCCTCTCCTGCCCCTCTTATGAAGTCAAAGAAAACAACTCTGCCCTTGGCCTAGAATCACAACTGCCTGGGGACAGTTTCCCAAGGGCACATGGTAATTCCTGTACTGTCCTTGTCATCCGCCAGGTGGCACTGTTTGCCTGGTGTTGGGGCAGAATTGAACTCCCTTAAGCATTTTTAAACGACTGGTGAACTGGGGAGATACCAGTGTTGCAAGGACCCAGGAATGGCCAGAAGGTGCACTGCCCGAGTGTGGAAAATCCTTACAGACCCCGAGACATGCGCTAAGATGGTAGTGGGTATATGTGGCCTCATGAGAAGGGTCAGTGCAGACCAGAGGCCCCTCTCACCTCTGCCACCTTCCAGCTGTGTGACATTGAGCAAACCACCTCTCAGAGTCTCGGTTTTCTCCTCCATAAATCAAAGACTGGCCCCACCTTGAGATTTTGCCGAGATGATTAAAAACAATCCACGTGCCTGGCCCGGAGCAGGTCGCCAATAAAACATGGCAGCAGCCATCAGTGGTGTAGGAACTGTGGTGTAGGAACTAAGCTCTCAACGTCTAAATGGCCCCCCAAAGTCTCCAAGAGCCCCTTCTCTTATCTGAGGAAAGACAGGTGGACGTTCCTGCCCCTCTTAGTCCAATGATGGGAACTTTGATTGCCCTTGAGGGCCCTGGTGGCTCTCCAGGCTAGTGAGGCCTCTGCAAAGCATGGCTTTCTTCCTGTTGGCGACTTCCATTCAAGCAGATGCTCTCCAGACCCCAACTCCATAGAGAATCACCCTTTTGGAAAAAATGGTGCTCCTCTCCTCTTCATGGTTTGCCTTTTTTTTTTTTTTTTTTTTTGAGACAGGGTCCCGCTCTGTCACCCAGGATGGAGTGCAGTGGTGCGATCTCAGCTCACTGAGCTCACTCAGCTCACTCTGCCTCCTGGGTTCGAGTGATCCTCATGCCTCAGCCATTCACCTCCACGCCTGGCTAATTTTTTGTATTTTCAGTAGAGATGGGGTTTTGGGGTTTCGCCATGTTGGCGAGGCTGGTCTCGAACTCCTGAGCTCAAGTGATCTGTCTGCCTCAGCCTTCCAAAGTGCTGGGATTGCAGGGATGAGCCACCTCACCCGGCCTTATGGTTTGCTTTTCTTATTTGGTTTCTTGATAACAATTAATAGAGGTTCTTGAATCCCTCAAAAGTGTTCACTGTGGAATGTGAAGCTTTCTGTAGTTTCATTCCTGGTGCTAAGTGCTGGTAGAAATTTGTGTAGATTCCCTTGGGACTTTTTTTTGTTTGTTTTTTTGTTTTTTTGTTTTTGTTTTTTGAGATGGAGTCTCGCTCCGTCGCCCAGGCTGGAGTGCCGTGGTGCAATCTCGGCTCACTGCAAGCTCTGCCTCCTGAGTTCACGCCATTCTCCTGCCTCAGCCTCCCGAGTAACTGGGACTACAGGCACCCGCCACCACGCCTGGCTAACTTTTTGTATTTTTAGTAGAGACGGGGTTTCACCGTGTTAGCCAGGATGGTCTTGCTCTCCTGACCTCGTTATCTGCCTGCCTTGGCCTCCCAAAGTGCTGGGATTACAGGCATGAGCCACTGCACCCGGCCCCCTTGGGACTTTTTCTAAGCATATGCCTAAGCCCACATTCATGTAAAAGTTATTATTACTTTTGAAAAATGAAAAAATACTGGTTCCTCCATTCATTCATTCGTTGTGCATTCAACCTGTGTTTGGTGCTGTGAGCCCTAGGGTGCAGTGAAAAACAAGGCTCTTAAAACCCTGCCCTCAGTTGGCATTCCAGCTGGGAATGACATACACTCCATAAGCAGGAGCAGAGGAGGGCGCTGGTAAATTGGAGTAAAGGGTTAGCGAGTGTGTTTGTTTCCTGCTGTAATGAATTGCCACAAGTGAGAGAAATTTGCTCTCTCACAGTTCTGGAGGATAGAAGCCTGAAATCAGTGTCACTGTGCAGAAATCAAGGTGTCTGCAGGGCCGTGCTCCCTCTGCAGGGCTCTAGGGCAGACTTGTTCCTCGCCTCCTCCAGTTTCTGGCAGCTGCCGGCCTTCCTTGGCTTGTGGCCACATCACTGCCGTCTTCCAGGCCAGCATCTTTGGAGGTCTCTCCACTCCATCTGCACCCTGTCTTCTCTTCTGTGTGTGGTCATCACTCTGCCTCCTCATTCTTTTTTTTTTTTTTTTTTTGAGATGGAGTTCCACTCTTGTCACCCAGGCTGGAGTGCAGTGGTGCAATCTCAGCTCACTGCAACTTCTGCTTCCTGTGTTCAAGCGATTCTCCTGCCTCACCCTCCCCAGTGGCTGGGACCACAGGCACGTGCCACCACACCCGGCTAATTTTTTTTTTTTTTTTTTGAGATGAAGTCTCACTCTGTTGCCCAGGCTGGAGTGCAGTGGCGCCATCTCAGCTCACTGCAACCTCTGCCACTTGAGTTCAAGCAATTCTCCTGCCTCAGCCTCCCGAGTAGCTGGGACTACAGGTGTGTACCACCACGCCTGGCTAATTTTTGTATTTTTAGTAGAGATGGGGTTTCACCATATTGGCCAGGCTGGTCTCAAGCTCCTGACCTTGTGATCCACCCGCCTTGGCCTCCCAAAGTGCTGGGATTACAGGCGTGAGCCACCGTGCCCGGCCAATTTTTTGCATTTTTAGTAGAGACAGGGTTTCATCATGTTGGCCAGGCTGGTCTTGAACTCCTGACCTCAGGTGATCCTCCCACCTCAGCCTCCCAAAGTGCTGGGATTACAGGCGTGAGCCACCACCCATGGCCTGCTTCCCCATTCTTATAAAGACACTAGTGATGGCATTCAGGGCCCACCCCGATACCCCAGGACAATCTCCTCATCTCAGAATCCTCAGTCACACCTGATAGACCCACCCCGCTTTTTGCCATGTAAGAAAACTGTCTCAGTTTTTTGTTTCTATAAAACAAACTGGGTCATTTATAAACAATAGAGGTTTATATGCTTATGGTTCTGGAGGCTAGGGAGTCCAAGCGCATCACACTGGCATCTGGTGTGGGACTTCTCATGGCATCATTCCATGGCACAGGGCTTCACATGGGAGAGAGCAGAAGCTGTCAGCTCAGGTCTTTCGTCCTCTCCTTTTTTAAACAATTTGTTGGAGACAGGACTCACTCCATTGCTCAGGCTGGAGGGCAGCAATGTGATCACGGCTCACTGTAGCCTCCACCTCCCCAGGCTCAGGGAATCCTCTCACCTCATGCCTCCCGAGTAGCTGGGACTGCAGTACGTGTGGACGAAATCACCACACCCAGCTAATTTTTGTATTTTTTATAGAGATGAAGTTTCACTGCATTGCCCAGGCTGGTCTTAAAAACCTGGGCTCAAGCTATCCACCCACTCAGTCTCCCAAAGTGCTGGGATTACAGGCATGAGCCACCTCACCCAGCCTCTTCCTCTTCTTAGAAAGTCATCAGTCCCTTCCTGGGGGCCCTGCCCCAATGACCTCATCTAATCCCAACTACCTCCCAAAGGCACCACCTCCAATCAACATATGAATTTGGGGATTAAGTCTCCCACACATGAAATTTAGGAGACACATTCAAAACACAGTAGTCTGCCCTGGGCCCCAAAATGCATGTCCTCACATGCAAAATGTACTCATTCCATCCCCAAAGCCCCAAAGTCTTAACCTGCTCCAGCATCAACTCAAAAGTCTGCAGTCCAGAGTCTCATCTGAATGAGATATGGGTGAGACTGAAGGTACGATTCATCCTGCGATGAATTCCTTCCAGCTGTGACCCTGTGAGATCAAACAAGTTATCTCCTCCCAAAATACAGTGGTGGCACAGGCATTGGATAGACATTCCCATTCCAAAAAGCAGAAGTAGGCATGATGAAAGGGGCAGATGGTCCCAAAGAAGCCCAAACACAACAGGGTAGATATTGTATCTTTTTTGTTGTTGTCTGTCACCAGGCTAGAGTGCAGTGACATGATCTTGGCTCACTGCAACCTCCGCCTCCCGGGTTCAAGTGATTCTCCTGCCTCAGCCTCCCGAGTAGCTGGGACTACAGGTGTGCACCACCACGCCCAGCTAATTTTTGTATTTTTAGTAGAGACGGGGTTTCACCATGTTGGCCAGGATGGTCTCGATCTCTTGACCTTGTGATCTGCCAGCCTCGGCCTCCCCAAGTGCTGGGATTATAGGAGTGAGCCACCAAGCCTGGGCTAAACATCACACCTTAAGACTCCAGAATAATCCTTCACTCTGTGTTCCGCCTCCTGGACATACTGGGGTGGGGGGTGGGCCCCAAAGGCCTGGGGCAGCCTGGCTTCCATGGCTTTGCTGGGCCCAGCCCACACTTGAGCTCTCCCTGGCTGGCGTTGCACACTGGTAGCTGTACAGTTCTCGGGTCTTGGTGATGGTCTCACTGCCTCAGCTCCACCAGGCATTGCCTTCATGAGAGGCTTTTTGTGGTGTCTCCACCCCTGCAACAAATCCTGCTTGGGCTACAAGGCTGATACAGCCTTTGAACTAGGCAGAGGCTGCCATACTCACAGCTCTTGCTTTCTGTGAGCCTGTAGAATTAGCACCATGCAGATGCCACCAAGGCTATGGGCTTATATCTTCCAGAGCAGTGGGTCCAGCCACACCTGGGGCTGCTTGTGCCACAGCTGGGACAGTGGAGGAAACACTACATGAGAGCACGGACACTCTAGGGGGCCCTGGACAGCAAATCCATGAAGGGTGCCTGGCCTGTCCCCAAAACCATTCTTCCTTCCTAGGCCTCTGGGTCTGTGATGGGAGGGCCAGCTTGGAAGATCTTTGAAATGCTTCGGGGTCTTTCTTCCATTCTCTCATTTATTTATTTATTTATTTATTTATTTATTTTTTTGAGACAGAGTCTCACTCTTGTCGCCCAGGCCCGAGTGCAGTGGCATGATCTCAGCTCACTGCAACTTCCACCTCCCAGGTTCGAGCAATTCTCCTGCTTCAGCCTCCTGAGTAGCTAGGATTACAGGCGCACGCCACCATGTCTGGCTAATTTTTGTATTTTTAGTAAAGATGGGGTTTCACCATGTTGGCCAGGCTGGTCTCGAACTCCTGACCTCGTGATCCGCCCACGTCAGCCTCCCAAAGTGCTGGGATTACAGGCATGAACCACCGCACGCGACCTTTCTTCTATTCTCTTGCCGATCTTTCTCCCTGTACTAATTTCCTTAGCGAACAGTTGCTGGGCCACCCTTTTGGTTCCCTCTCCTGAACATGCCTCTTCTCTCTTTATGTGGCCAGGCTGAGAATTTTCCAAGACTTTCTGCTTTGCTTCCCTTTTGATTATAAATTTCATCTTTAAGTCATTTTCCCTCTTGCAGCTTAATGTAAGTAGCTGTGCAGCAGCCGGAACACTTTGCAGCTTAGATAGTTCTTTTGCCAGATATCCTAATGTATTGCTCTCAAATTCTGCATTCCATAGAGTCCCTGGCACAGACACAATCCAGCCAAGTTCTTGGCCAGTTTATAACAAGGACGGGCTTTACTCCAGTTTCCAATATCTTGTTCCTCCGTTCCATCTGAGACTTCATCAGAGTGGCCTTTATTCTCCACATTTCTATCTGCATTCTGGTCATGACCACTTAAGTAATCTCGCAGAGGTTCCAGACTTCCCCTAGTCTTCTTGTTTTCGAAGACCTCACCAGAATTGCCCTTAATGCTCTTTTTACAGCAATACAGGCTTTTCTAGCCTGCTTCTCCAAATTCTTCCAGCCCATTGGGTAATGCTACTCATTTCAAAGCTGCTTCTGTGTTTTTGGGTATTTGTTACTAGCAACACTTCTCAGTACCAATTTTCTGTCTAGTGTATTCTCTGTTGTTATAACAGAATATCACAGACTGGTAGTTTATAAGCAATAGAAGTTTATTTAGCTCATGGTTCTATAGGCTGGGGAGTCCAAGAGCATGGTGCCAACATCTGGTGAGGGCCTTCCTACAGCGTCAGGAAACGGCACAGTGTGTCACATGGCGAGAGGGCAAGAGTGTGCCAGCTCAAGTCTCTCTTCCTCTTCTTATAAAGCCACAAGTCCCATCATGGGGCCCCACCCTGACGCCCTCATCTAATCCTAATGACCTCCCAATGGCCCCACCTCCAATCAACATATGAATTTGGGGATTTTTTAAATCATTTTTTAGGGGGGCTAGAGATGGGGGGGTCTCACTATGTTGCCCAGGCTGGTCTTGAACTCTTGACCTCAAGCCATTCTCCCACCTCAGCCTCTCAAAGTGCTGGGATTATAGGCATAAGCCACCACACCCAGCTGGAATTAAGTATTTTTTTTTTTTTTTTTTGAGACACAGTCTCACTCTGTCGCCCAGGCTGGAGTGCAGTGGTACAAGCTCCGCCTCCTGGGCTCACGCCATTCTCCTGCCTCAGCCTCAGCCTTCTGAGTAGTTGGGACTACAGGCGCCCGCCACCACGCCCAGCTAATTTTTTGTATTTTTAGTAGAGACAGAGTTTCACTATGTTAGCCAGGATGGTCTTGATTTCCTGACCTCGTGATCCGCCTGCCTCGGCCTCCCACGATTAAGTTTTAACACGTGAAATCTGGGGAACATATTCAAACCATAGCAGAAACCTTCATGAGTTCCAGGATTAGGATATGAACATCTTTTGGGGAGCATTTTTCAGAGAGCATCCAAGGCAGGTGGAAATGCTATTTCAGGGACAGGGGCGCAGATACAGAAGCCTGGAGGAGGTGATGGAATGGCCGGGCAGGCCCCAGCCCCGTGCCTGACACATGGTGGGTGCTCACAGGCAAATGACATCACTGGTAAGTGAATGCATGAGCTGTTGGCAGATGGCTCTCTCTCTCAGCATGTGCCTGGCCAGGCGCAGTGGCTCATGCCTGTAGTTGCAGCACTTTGGGAGGCCAAGGTGGGAGGATCACTTGAGTTCAGGAGTTGAAACCAGCCTGGGCAAACTGGTAAAACCCTGTTTTTACAAAAAAATATAAAAAATTAGCCGGGCATGGTGGTGCCTGCCTGTAGTCCAAGCTACTCCGGAGGCTGAGGTGGAAGGATCACTTTGAGCCTGGGAAGCGGAGGTTGCAGTGAGCCAAGATTGTGCCACTGCACTCCAGCCTGGACAACAGAGTGAGATGCCGTCTCAAAAAAAAAAAAAAAGTGTGTGTGCCTCAGCTGGTGATCCAATACTGGCCAACGTCCCCAACAGCATGGCAAAGACAGTGGGGATGTGGTGCTGCTTTTGTTTTCCCAGCTGGAGCTGAGCATCTGATTGGGACCATCCCCAGCTCTGGGCAGACGCTAATGGTTGCTGGTGGCCTCACCGATCCTACACTGTCATCGGTGAATAAGGGTGGCCTTCAGCAAGTGTTCAGTGGCCAGGGCAGGAACATGAGACGTAGTATTGGCAGGGTCTGGTTTCTTACCTAGATCCCTGCCTCGTACTTGCTGTGTGACACCAGCAAAGACTGTTCTTTCTCTGGTCACTGAGGGCCAACCACCTCCGAGGCCAGGGGCTGGTCCTCGGGAGGATCTCAGCCTCTGCCTCCAGGCCTTTGCATCTGCTGTTCCCCTGCCTGACTTCTCTTCCCCGACAACTTTGCAAAGCGGGTGTCCTTGCCTCTAGATCTCAGTGTGACTGTCACCTCCTTAGAAAGGCCTTCCAAGGCCACCCTCCCTACAGTTGCTGCCTGGTATCTTTTTGTCCCACATTGCAGCTTAAAACACAAGGGCTCAGCTAGACGCAGTGGCTCACTCCTGTAATTTCAGCACTTTGGGAGGCTGAGGTAGGTAGATCACCTGAGGTCAGGGGTTTGATATCAGCCTGACCAACATGGTGAAACCCTCTCTCTACTAAACACAAAACATTAGCTGGGCATGGTGGTCCATGCCTGTAATCCCAGCTACTTAGGAGGCTGAGGCAGGAGAATCGCTTGAACCCGGGAGGTGGAGGTTGTAGTGAGCCGAGATTAACCCACTACACTCCAGCCTGGGCAATAAGAGCGAAACTCCATCTCAAACAAACAAACAAACAAACAAACAAACAAACCCAGAAGGGCTCGTTGCTCTCTGAGTGGTTTTGACTGTGTCTTGGCCCACATGTGGACCCTGCTCGCCTCATCCCCTGGGGAGTGCCTGGTGGCCGACACACAGTAGGCATTCAGACAGTATGTGTGGGGTCAGTGAAAGGAAGGAAGGGAAGATGGAGGAAGAGGGAGCAGGAGCGGGCAGGAATAGAGAGGGTTATACACACAGATGGGGGGGACAGAGCCAGGGCGCAGAATAGAAGATGTCTAAAAACACGCAGGGCAACTCAGGGCACCTGGGTTGAGATCTGAGGGGGACGTGCCCCTCGCAGGGAGGTCTGGCCTGTACTCGGGACCTACCGGGGATTGCTGAGGAAGTGAAGGGGCAGCCACTTCATCACTGGGCCCATCTTGGGGCTGGGACTGTGCCTGGGCATTGGGTCAGCACGGACAGAGGGGATGGTGGTCGTTTGGCTGAGGGCTCCTGGTGTGGAACTGACTGCCGGGGGCGGTCTGCAGGGGAAGATCCCAGGCAAGCAGAAGGTACAAGTCCAGGCTGGCCTGCTGGGGCATGTGGGCATGGCTACCCCATCAGTGAAATAGTCCATTCCTGTGGCTTCCTCCTAGGCTGTAAAGACATCCCCTACTGTGCTCCTTTCAGGCACTTTGAAGCTTGGCCCCATGACTACTGGGGTAGGGGAGAAACAGGCCTCTTCCCCTGCCAGAAGAGCCCTTCCTCCTCTGTTAGGGCCCTTCAGGGACCCAGGCAGGTCAAAGCGATGACGGGTCATAGGAAACTCGAAGGGGCCTGGCTGGAGCACCTCGTGCCAAAGAGCTGTCCTTTCACTTCTTCCTTGGGTGTTGGTGCAGGGGCTAAGTCCTGGCATGTTGCTATCACAGTGAGGCGTGAAGCTGGCTGGGCTTCTGGGTCGGGTGGGGACTTGGAGAACTTTTCTGTCTAGCTAAAGGATTGTAAATGCACCAATCAGCGCTCTGTGCCTAGCTAAAGGTTTGTAAACACACCAATCGGCACTCTGTAAAAACACACCAATGAGTGCTCTGTGTCTAGCTAACCAGGTGGGGACTTGGAGAACTTTCCTGTCTAAAGGATTGTAAATGTACCAATCAGTGCTCTGTGTCTAGCTAAAGGTTTGTAAACACACCAATCAGCACTCTGTAAAAATGCACCAATCAGCACACTGTAAAAATGCACTAATCAGCACTCTGTAAAATGGACCAATCAGCACTCTGTAAAATGGACCAATCAGCGTGCTGTAAAATGGACCAATCAGCAGGATGTGGGTGGGGCCAAATAAGGGAATAAAAGCTGGCCACCCGAGCCAGCAACGAAGATGCTCCCTGGTTCTGTTTTTTTGCTTTTGATGATGAATTTTGCTGCTGCTCAGTGTTTAGGTCCGCACTACCTTTTTGAGCTGTAACACTCACGACAAAGGTCTGTGGTTTCATTCCTGAAGCCAACAAGACCATGAACCCACTGCGAGGTAGGAACAACTCCGGACGTGCCATTTTTAAGAGCTGTAACACTCCAGTGGCAAAACTCTGCAGCTTCACTTCTGAAACCAGCAAGATCAGGAACCCACGGGGAGGAACAAAGAACTCCAGACGTGCCATCTTTAAGAGCTGTAACACTTAACTGCAAGGGTCTGCAGCTTCCCTCCTGAAGCCAGGGAGACCATGAATGCACGGGGAGGAACAAACAACACTGCACGTGCCACCTTTAAGCCATAACACCCACTGAGAAGGTCTGCGGCTTCACTCCTGAAGTCAGCAAGACCACGAACCCAGCAGCAGGCAGCAATTCTGGACACATCCAAACATCTGGAAGAACAAACTCTGGACACACCATTTTTAAGAACTGTGATACTCATGGGGAGGGTCCGTGGCTTCATTCTTGAAATCAGCAAGACCAAGAACCCACCGGAAGGAACCAATTCCAGACCCAACAGGTCCATGTGAGACAGTGCTCGTTTTATTTAATTGTAATGTGTTCTCCTGTATGTACTTCCTCCAGCCCTCTTCTCCTCTTCCTCCCCTGCCAAGGTTGCCGCCTTCTTTTTTCCTGAGATGGAGTCTTGCTGTGTCGCCCAGGCTGGAGTGTAGTGGTGAAATCTCAGATCACTGCAACCTCTGCTTCCCGAGTTCAAGTGATGCTCCTGCCTCAGCCTTCCCAGTAGCTGAGATTACAGGCATGCACCACCACACCTGGCAAAATTTTTTTTTTTAAGCTGGAGTCTTGCTCTGTCCTCCAGGCTGGAGTGCAGTGGCGTGACGTCGGCTCACTGCAAACTCCACCTCCCAGGTTCATGCCATTCTCATGCGTCAGACTCCTGAGTAGCTGGGACTACAGGTGCCCGCCACCACACCCAGCTAATTTTTTGTATTTTTAGTAGAGATGAGGTTTCTCCACGTTGATCAGGCTGGTCCGGAACTCCCAACCTCAGGTGATCTGCCTGCCTTTTGGCCTCCCAAAGTGCTGGGATTACAGGTGTGAGCCACCGCCCCCTGTTGTAATTTGTGTAGTTTTAGTAGAGACGGGGGTCTCACTGTGTTGGCCAGGCTGGTCTTGAACTTGTGACCTTGTGATCCACTTGTCTTGGTCTCCCAAAGTGCTGAGATAAAGGTGTGAGCCACTGTACCCAGCCCAAGGCTGCCTCTTAATGAGGCTGATATTTGTTCTTTAGCTGTGTGTCGAGCCTTACACAAGCACACATGTGGCTGCGTGGCTGTGGGCCAGTGTTATTCTGCAGCTCATGCTGTTTCTCATGACTCTGAGCATCATGATCTATCCCTGGAGCTGTGAGCACCCCGAATTCACTGCTTCTCACTGGCCTATGGAACCCCAAAAGGGGCACCCATCACATTCTCATTTACGTGGTGATGGGAATCTAGGTGGGCTCACAGCCTAGGGGGAAGGATGGTTTGGCTAAAGCCTGGTGATGGCTTACACGGTGGAACAGAAGGTGGACCCCGCCTCACATGATTGCGAATGTGGGTACTCAACCTGTATCAAGAGTAAAAAGGCAACCCACAGAATGGGAGAACATGTCTGTAAATTATGTCTTATAAGGGTCAGATATCCAGAATATATAAAGAACTCTTACAACTCAACAAAACGATAAACAACCCAATTCAAAAAGGGTCAAAGGACTTGAATATACATTTCTTCAGTAATACGTACAAGTGACTAACAAGTACATGAAAAGATGCTCACCACCATTAGTCATGAAGGAAATGTAAGGCCGGGGTTGGTGGCTCACACCTGTAATCCCAGCACTTTAGGAGGCCCAGGCGGGTGGATCACCTCAGATCAGGAGTTTGAGACAAGCCTGGCCAACATGGTGAAACCCCGTCTCTACTAAAAATACAAAAAGTTGCCAGGCATGGTGGTGTGCGCATGTAATCCCAGCTACTCGGGAGGCTGAGGCAGGAGAACTGCTTGAACCTGGGAGGTGGAGGTTGCAGTGAGCTGAGATTCACCAACTACACTCCAACCTGGGTGACAGTGAGACTGTCTCAAAAAAAAAAAAAAGGAAATGTAAGTCAAAGCCACACTAATATACCACTTTGTGCCCACTAGGATGGCTACAATAAAAGTAAAACGGAAAATGAGGAGTGTGGATGAGAATGTGGAGAAGAGGTTTTGGCTGGGCATAGTAGCTCATGCCTGTAATCCCAGCACTTTGGGAGGCCCAGGTGGGCAGATTACTTGAGCCCAGGAGTTTGAGACCAGCCTGGGCAACATGGCAAAACCCAGTCTCTACTAAAAATACAAAAATTACCTGGGCATGGTGGCTCACGCCTGTGGCCCCAGCTACTTGAGAGGCTGAGGTAGGAGAATCGCTGGAACCAGGGAAGTGAAGGTTGCAGTGAGCCGAGATTGTGCCACTGCACTCCAGCCTGGGCGACAGAATAAGACTCCATCTAAAAAAAAGAGAAAAAAAAAGAAAACAAGTAGTCAAACAAATAACCACAAATGGTATAGCAGCACTATTCACAATCGCCAAAAGATGGCGGAGCCCAAATACCTATCAACAGATGAATGGCTAAATAAAGCATGGTATAGCCACATAATGGAATATTATTCAGCCATATAAAGGAATAAAGTACTGGCACATGCTACAAAAAACATGTTAAGTAAAAAAAAAAAAAAAAAAAAACCAGGCTGTCAGGCGCGGTGGCTCACGCCTGTAATCTCAGCACTTTGGGAGGCCGAGGGGGAGTGGATCACCTGAGGTCAGGAGTTCAAGACCAGCCAGGCCAACATGGTGAAACTGCGTCTCTACTAAAAATGCAAAAATTTAGCAGGGTGTGGTGGTGCATGCCTGTAATCCCAGCTACTCTGGAGGCTGAGGCAGGAGAATCACTTGAACCCAGGAGGCAGAGGTTGCAGTGAGCCGAGATCGCGCCATTGCACTCCAGCCCGGGCAACAAGAGTGAAACTCTGTCTCAAAAAAAAAAAAAAAAAAAAAAAAAGCCAGGCACAAAAGGTCACTATGTTGTATGACTCCATTTATGTGAAATATGTGGAATAGGTAAGTCTATAGAGACAGAAAGCCAGTTGCTGGTTGCCAAGGAATTGGGGAAGAGGGGAATGCAAAGTGAAGAGATTGCTTAAGAAGGATGGGGTTTCTTTTTGGGATGATGAAGATGTTTTGGAAGAAGGTAGAGGTAATGATTGCATAACGTCGTGAATATACTAAATGCCACTAAACTATACACTTTAAAATGGTTAATCTGGCTGGGCACCGTGGCTGACACCTGTAATCCCAGCACTTTGGGAGGCTGAGGCAGGTAGATCGCTTGAGCCCAGGAGTTCCAGACCAGCTGAGACATCATAGCAAGACCCTGTCTGTACAGAAAATCAAAAAATTAGCTGGGCATGGTGGTGCAACGCCTGTAGACCCAGGTGCTCAGGAGGCTGAGGCTGGAGGATTGCTTGAGCCCAGGAGTTCGACCACTGCACTCCAGCCTGGGTGACAGAGCAAGATCCTGTCTCAAAAAAAAAAAAACAACAAAAAAAACCAGTTAATCTTATTTTATGTAAATGTCACAAACCAAACAACCAACAAAGAATTCATACCTAGCACATTCAAAGAACTCCTGCAGACCAACAAGGAACAAGCAGGAAACACAACAGAAAAATGGCAAAATATATGAGTGAGCAGGGTACAGAGGGGACCTGAGCTGGCTGGTGAGTGTGTGAGAGGATAACCAGAGACATCCAAACCAAAACTCCCACTGGGGCTTCCTTTCTTCCATCGGTCTGGGGCCACCTGGCATGGACGACAACGGCCATTGTGAATGGGGAACATGGGGAAAACAGGCATCACTGCCCGCCTCCCGCCGTGCACCATGCCGCCACCTGCCCCCGGGCAAAAGAGAAAGCGAAAGAAGCAGTAATGATGAGGTGTGGACAGTTTTACTTTGGGCTGAGGGAAATATGGCTGTTTATTATTCTTTCCATCTTTCTGCATTTTAAGATTTTTCTTTTCTTTTCTTTTTTTTTTTTTTGACGGAGTCTTGCTCTGTCGCCCAGGCTGGAGGGCAATGGCGGGATCTTGGCTCACTGCAATCTCTGCCTCCTGGGTTCAAGAGATTCTCCTGCCTCAGCGATCCTCCCGAGTAGCTGGGACTACAGGCACGTGCTACCACGCCTGGCTAATTTTTGTATTGTTTTTTTTTTTTAGTAGAGACGGGGTTTCACCATAATGGCCAGGCTGGTCTTGAACTCCTGACCTCATGATCCGCCTGCCTCTGCCTCCCAAAGTGCTGGGATTACAGGTGTGAGCCACCGCGCCCGGCCAGATTTTTTTCTTTTAAAGAAGAACAGGCCAGGCACAGTGACTCACACTTATAATCCCAGCATTTTGGGAGGCCGAGATGGGAGGATCACTTGAGGCTAAGAGTTCAAGACCAGCCTGGGCATCATAGTGAGACTCCATATCTACAAAAGATTTTTTAAAAATTAGCCAGGTGAGGCCAGGTGTGATGGCTCACAACTGTAATCCCAGCACTTTGGGAGGCTGAGGCGGGTGGATCACGAGGTCAGGAGTTCGAGACCAGCCTGGCCAATATGGTGAAACCCTGTTTCTACTAAAAGTAAAAAAATTAGCTGGGCGTGGTGGCGCACGTCTGTAGTCCCAGCTACTTGGGAGGCTGAGGCAGAAGAATCACTTGAACCTGGGAGTTGGAGGTTGCAGTGAGCCAAGATTGTGCCACTGCATTCCAGGCTGGGCGACAGAGTGAGACTCCATCTCAAAACAAACAAAAAATTAGCCAGGTGAGGCCAGGCATGGTGGCTCATGCCTGTAATCCCAGCATTTTGGGAGGCCGCAGCAGGCAGATCACCTGAGGTCAGGAGTTCGAGACCAGCCTGGCCAACATGGCGAAACCCTGTCTCTACTAAAAATACAAAAAAATTAGCCAGACGTGGTGGCGGGTGCCTGTAATCCCAGCTACTTGGGAGGCTGAGGCAGGAGAATCACTTGAACCCGGGAAGTGGAGGTTGTAGTGAGCCGGGACATCATGCCATTGCACTCCAGCCTGGGCAACAGAGCAAGATTCCGTCTCAAAAAATAATAACAATAATAATATTATAATAATTAGCCAGGTGCGGTGGTCACATCTGCAGCCCTAGCTACTTGAGAGGCTAAGGTAGGAGTATCTCTTGAGCCTATGAGTTGGAGGCTACAGTGAGCCATGATTGCACCACTGCACTCCAGCTTAGGAGACAGAACGAGACCTTGTCTCAAAAAAAAAAAAAAGAACAACAAAAGAGTCAGTTAGACTTTCTGGCTCAGGATGAGCATTTAGGGGACCGTGGAAGCGGTTAGGATTCCAGGTGTGCCTGTGTGTGCTCAGTTATTCAGTGCATTGAGTGAGGGCTCTGGCCTGGGCATGGTGCAAGAGTCAGAGCTTTCAGCATGAGAGAAGCTGACGCTGGTGAGAGCATCCCAGCCCTTGTTCCTGGACGGGGGTGGGGGTGAGAACAGGGCTTACTGCAGGGACCCAAGCCAGGATGTGCGGGGGGCGGGCTCAGCAGGGAGGAGCCTGAGGAAGGGACCCCAGGGCCCAGCAAAGACCAAGGCTGGGAGGGCAGGAACAGTGGGGACTTTTCAGAGAACAGCAACTGCCACGCCGCCGCCAGCTTCTCCGGCAATGCCCTGGGACTGTAGTGGGATTATCATTTATAACTGACAGATGAGGAGACTGAGACCCAGACTCACAGAGTTAAAGGGACAAAACCAAAGACATGCGTTACCTGGCAGCCACCGGCTGGGTGAGGTCCTCTCCCTGTCCGGACCTCAGTTTCCCCATTTGCACCACAGGGGACCTGGACTGGATTCCTGGGGTCCTTTCAACTCCAAGGCTGCCCAGCTCACCCAGCTCAATGCGTTACACCTGCGAGGGGACCACGATCTGGCTTGGGTGGGGCCTTTCCTCCCGGGAGCACAGGCAGTTGCAGGGGAACTTCCCAGCTCCCGAAGCCTCCTCGCAGCCAAATGGGAAGTTGTTTCCCATGTCTAAATACCCAGTAGATGTGTCACTCTTGAGGGTTCACCCGTACCCCAGCCCTGACTGGCAATCCCCCGAATGGGGCATCCCTGTCCAATAGGACTCCCAGCCCCCGCCCGATCCCAGGATGAGAGGCGAAACTTGAGGCAGCCCACAGCATTGCTGCCATTGATTTGGGAGAACAAAAGATCTGAGGCTCTGGCGGTGGAAATGCAGGCAGAGTGCAAGATCACCTGCAGGGCCTCTCTGCCCTGCCGGAGTGGCCTTCAAATCATCACAGCGGGTGGCTTGGCAAAGGCGGGTGAGGGAGGTGGTGCGAGGCCTACGGAAGTGCTGGGGCCTCTGTGAAGCTGGGTGCTCCAGGCTTCCTGTCCTGTCTGAGAGAACCGGGAGGATGGCTCCTCTGCCTCCTGCAGCCCTCAAATCCCTGTTTCCTCATCTGCGCCAGAAAAGCACCATGGGGTAAGCCAGAGTGAAGAGGGAGGCAGGGCAGGGGTGGCACTGCCTCCCACCATCAAAGGCCACCTGCTTGGCGGCTGGACTTCTCTGGGTGATGAAAATATGACTGTTTATTATTATATCCTTTTTTTTTTTTTGCATTTTAGATATTGTTCTTAAAAAAAAAAGGAATAAAAGAATCAGTGAGACATGGTGGCCTAGGATGGGTATTTAGAGAAGGATTTGAAACCTGATTAGGGCCAGTGCAGTGGCTCACACCTGTAATCCCAGCACTTTGGGAGGCTGAGGCAGGTGGATCACCTGAGGTCAGGAGTTTGAGACCAGCCTGGCTAACATGATGAAACCCCGTCTACTAAAAATACAAAAAATTAGCCGGATGTTGTGGCAAGTGCCTGTAATCCCAGCTACTCGGGAGGCTGAGGCAGGAGAATCACTTGAACCCGGGAAGTGGAGGTTGCACTGAGCTGAGATCATCGCGCCATTGCACTCCAGCCTGGGCAACAAGAGTGGAAACTCCATCTCAAAAAAAAAAAGAAAAAAAATGAAACTTTGTTTGGAGTGTGTATGTGTGTGTGTGTGTGTGTGAATATGTGAGTGGGTGTAAGTTTCTCCCCTCATCTCCCTAAGGATGGGCCAGGGACTCTATACATGCCCCTCTGTCCCTTCCAGCAGCCCTGAGAGGTCAGCCTTCTAGTTCCCACTTAGCAGAGGAAAAAGCAGAGGCTGAGAGAGGTAAAGTGACTTGCCCAAAGTCCTACAGTCAGCCAGCCAGTGGCACCGCTGAGATTCAAACCCAGGTCCGGGGCTCTTGAGACCTGCTCCGTGGAGCTGCTGGAGAGAGGTCCTGTTTGCACAATCCCAGAGGGAGTCGTGCCCACTGCCGATGCCTGGTGTGTAGTGCACTGCCCCTGGGGACCAAGGTGGCAGCCCTAGAAGGCCTGTCCACTGGCCCCAAGGCCAAATAAAGTAGGGTGGTCTGCCTGGCCTAAGAGGAGCCAGGCCTTTCCCATGTGCATGACAGGGGAGGCGGCAGTGAGGGGAGGGTGGTGGCCTTAATCCTGGAGAGACCTCCCAGTGCCTGGAATATGTGAAGACAGCACGACATGGGTGGCCGTCTTGCGGCGAACCAGCTGCGTGTACCTTGTTGCTGACATTTCCCTTGCCAAGCTTTTCTTCTCATAAAGAAAACACAGGATGTGTAGTGACTCTGGCCGCTGTGTTTAAATGCCAGAGTTCACTTGACCTTCAGAGGCCACGAAAGCTGACATATTTCTCACAAACTTCCCTATCTCTTCTCAAGGGAGCTCCTTTACTTAGAAACACAGCAACTTCATGATGACCCTGACTGCCCGGCACCAGGCACCACTGCACAGATTGTATACTGCCTGACTTCAGGGAAGATGTCAGTCATGTCCAAGTCTGTATAAATATACTCCTTTTGGGTTGTGCAGTGTCCAACCTGTGCAACTGTGCATTTTGGCCCTGTGGCCCTAGAAACATTTCCACTAATTAGGCAGGTGAATGGGTTCCTTAAAGTTTTTTGTTTTGTCTTTTTTTTTTTTTTTTTTGGAGATGGAGTCTTGCTCTGCCACCCAGGCTGGAGTGCCGTGGCATGATCTCGGCTCACTGCAACCTCTGCCTCCAGGTTCAAGTGATTCATTCAGCTTCCCAAGTAGCTGGGACTATAGGCGCATGCCACCACACCTGGCTAATTTTTGTATTTTTAGTAGAGATGGGGGTTTCATCATGTTGGCCAGGCTGGTCTCGAACTCCTGACCTCAGGTGATCCCCCCGACCTCGGCCTCCCAAAGTGCTGGGATTATAGGCGGCGTGAGCCACCGCATCCGGCCTGGTTCCTTAAAGTTTTGAGTGAGCTGGTGTGCTCATCTTCTTGCTGATATACATCCTACTGAGCAGAAGAAATTGACCTGTTGTTCCCACCAAAAGAACCTGGAGGTGTATGACCCATGGCCCACCATCCTTGATGAGCACTGTGCCTGTCACTTGCCCCACCACCCACTCCGATGCTCACATTCCAGTGGGTGCAGGCTTGGCTTGTGCTAAAAGTTTGTGCAGCAGCACCTCCCCCGTACTCTCAATTCTTGAGTGGACTTTTGACTGATCCCCTGCCATGGCGCTGCCCCGCTCACAGTCTCCACCACCTCACATTGGCACCCCCATTGTCCCACTTGCTCAGGCCTGAAACCCGAGTCCTCCCCACTCCTTGCAATCCCTCATCCCCCCCTGGCCCAGTCGCTGCAAATCCTGGGGGCGATGCCTCCATGATCCCTCCAGATCGCCTCTTCTCACCATCCCGCTCCTACGGCCTAGCCCCCCAGCACGTCCCACCTAATGGTGCCTTAACCATGCCCAACTACGGGCCCTTCTCTACGAGAGGCTTTAAGAAATTAAATCAGGCCAAGCACAGTGGCTCATGCCTGTAATCCCAACACTTTGGGAGGCCCAGGCGGCCAGATGGCCTGAGGTCAGGAATTTGAGACCAGCCTGCTCAACATGGTGAAACCCTGTCTCTACTAAAAATACAAAAATTAGCCGGGTGTGGTGTCAAGTGTCTATAATCCCAGCTACTCCAGAGGTTGAGGCAGGAGGATCACTTGAACGTGAGAGGCGGAGGTTGCAGTGAGCAAGATCTCACCACTGCACTCCAGCCTGGGCGACAGAGTGAGACTGTGTCTCAAAAAAAAAAAAAAAAAAAAAAGGCTGGGCGCTGTGGCTCATGCCTGTAATCCCAGCACTTTGGGAAGCCGATGAGGGTGAATCACCTGAGGTCAGGAGTTCGAAAGTGAAACCCCGTCTCTACTAAAAATACAAAAATTAGCTGGGTGTCATGGCACACACCTGTAATCCCTGCTACTCGGGAGGCTGAGGCAGGAGAATCACTTGAACCCAGGAGGCAGAGGTTGCAGTGAGCCAAGATAGTGCCATTGCACTTCAGCCTGGGCGACAGAGTAAGACTCTGTCTCAAATAAATAAATAAATAAATAAAAAGGGAATAAATTAAATCAAAATAAGCCAGACACAAAAGGCCACAGATTGGATGATTTCATTTGCATGAAATGTCCAGGCCAGGCACAGTGGCTCATGCCTGTAATCCCAGCACTTTGGGAAGCTGAGGCGGGTGGATTGCTTGGGCACAGGAGCTCGAGACTAGCCTGGGCAACATGGCAAAGCCCTACTCTATCAAAAATACAAAAAAAATTAGCTGGGCATGGTGTCCTACACCTGTGGTCCCAGCTCCACCAGGAGGCATCTCTTGAGCCCAGGAGGTTAAGGCTGCAGTCAGCCTTGATTGTGGCACTGCACACCAGCCTGGGTGACAGAGCAAAACCCTGTCTCAAAAAAAAAAAAAAAAGTGGCCAGGCATGGTGGCTCACGCTTGTAATCCCAACACTTTGGGGGACCGAGGCAGGCGGATCACTTAAGGCCAAGAGTTCGAGACCAACCTGGCCAACATGGTGAAACCCCGTCTCTACTAAAAATACAAAAGTTAGCCAGATGTGGTAACAGGCACCTGTAATCCCAGCTACTTGGGAGGCTGAGGCATGAGAATCGCTTGAACCCAGGAGGCAGAGGTTGCAGTGAGCCGAGATCACGCCGCTGCACTCCAGCCTGGTTGACAGAGCAAGACTCTGTCTCAAACAAACAAACAAAAAAAGAAACAACAAAGAAATGTCAGAAACAGACAAATTCACGGATGCAATGCAGGGGGAGGGGAAGTGGCCAGTGACTGCTTAATGTGTCTGGGGTTTCCTTTGGGGGTGGTTCTGGAGCTAGATAGAGGTGGCAGTTGCACGACATTGTGAAGGTACTCAATGACACTGAATGGTGCACTTTTAAGTGGTTACAATGGCAAATTTCATGTTATGTGTATTTTACCCCAATAAAAACAAGCAAAATTAAATCACACCATGTCTGATAAAAACCCTCACTGACTCCTCAAAGACCCTAACAATAAACCCACCTTCCTGGGCACGGCCCATTGACGCCAGCACCATCCAGCCCTGGTGGGCTTGGTCCTCATCTCCCTTCATTTGTCCTCTGTCCTTTGAATACTCCCCCACCATGCCCTGTCCCTCCTCTGCAGCTTTGCACTGGCTGTCCCTTCCCACAGACCCTCTGGGGCTGCCTCTCCCTCCCCCAGTATCCTCCCCGTCCACACCTCCCTCCTGCGCCGCTTCCCATCCATCTGCTCGATGTAATTCAGAGCACCTGACTCTACTTGAAATGATTGTGTTTATTAACTTTATTTGCCAATCATCTTTTTTGGGCTGGAAGGTGAGTCTAGGAGAGGAAGGGGCTTGGTTCACCGTCTCTGCAGCTGAGTCCCGGGTGCCTGGAACCCAGGGGGCCTTTCCCTGCTGACCAACTCGAACCCACCCAGGCTGCTGCAACCCACGCAGCTTTCCGGCTGGCTCAGAACGCTTGGCCACCCCCAGTTCCCCCATAGATCTACCGAGGATTGACACCTGAGCATGGTGGCTCCCCAGAACCAGGGCTCTCCAGATCCTTTCTCCTGTCCAAAGCAGTTCCATCCAGCAGTCTTGATTTCTGCCTCACGGCTGCCACCTCCTCTTCTTCTTCTCCTCCTCCTCCTCCTTGTTCTTCCCCTTCCCCTTCCCCTTCCCCTTCTCCTCCTCCTCCCCCTTCTTCTTCTCCTTCCTTCCTTCCTCTTCTTCCTTCTTCTTCCTCTTTCTTCTTCCTCCTTCTTCTTCCTCCTTCTTCTTTCTTCCTTTTTTTTTTTTTGAAACGGAGTCTCACTCTGTCACCCAGCCTAGAGTGCAGTGGCAAGATCTCGGCTAACTGCAACCTCCACCTCCCGGGTTCAAGCGATTCTCATGCCTCAGCCTCCCAAGTAGCTGGGATTACATGCACACACCACCATGCCTGGCAACTTTTTGTATTTTTAGTAGAGACGGGGTTTCACCATGTTGGCCAGGCTTGTCTCAAACTCCTGATCTGAGGTGATCCACCCACCTGGGCCTCCTAAAGTGCTGGGATTACAGGCGTGAGCCACCGTGCCCGGCCAAATATTTTAAAATTTATTTTAATTTTTTAATTTTGATTTAATTTTGATTTTTTTTCTTTGGTTACTTTGGATTTAATTTTGTAGTTTCCTGAAGTGGAAGCTTAGATGATTGATTTTAGATCTTCTTTTCTTCCCCTCTCCCCTCTCCCCTCTCCTCTCTCTCCTCTCCCCTCTCCTCTCCTTTCCTTTCCTTTCGGACAGGGTCTAGCTCTATTGCCCAGGCTGGAGTGCAGTGGCACAATCTCAGCTCGATGGAACCTCTACCTCACGGGTTCAAATGATTCTCATGCCTCAGCCTCCTGAGTAGCTGGGATTACAGGCATGCACCACCATGCTTGGCTAATTTTTGTATTTTAAGTAGAGACGACGTATCACCATGTTGGTCAGGCTGGTCTCGAACTCCTGGCCTCAAGTGATCTGCCCGTCTTGGCCTCCTAAAGTGCTGGGATTACAGGTGTGAGCCACCATGCCCAGCCAATTTCTTCTTCTTGAAAACATGCATTTGATGCTATACGTTTCCCTATAAGCATGGCTTTTGCTGCATCTACAATTTTTGATAAGTTGTGTTTTCTTTTCTTCCTTTTTTTTTTTTTTTTTTGAGACAGAGTCTTGCTCTATTGCCCAGGTTGGAGTGCAGTGGCGTGATCATGACTTACTGCAGTCTCAACCTCCTGGGCTCAGGTGATTTCCCACCTCAGTCTCCTGAGTAGCTGGGACTGTAAGCACACACCACCATGCCTGGTTAATTTTTGTAGGTTTTAGTAGTGACAGGATTTTGCCATGTTGGCCAGGCTGCTCTTGAACTCCTGAGTTTAAGCAATCTGCCCACCTCAGCCTCCCAAAGTGCTGGGATTACCAATGTGAGCCACCCATGCCCGGCCTTCATTTTGATTTAGTTAAAAATATTTTTAATTTTTTTTTTTTTGGAGATGGAGTTTTGCTCTCTTTGCTCAGGCTGGAGTGCAATGGCGCAATCTCAGCTCACTGCAACCTCCGCCTCCCGTGTTCAAGTGATTCTTCTGTCTCAGCCTCCCGAGTAGCCTGCCACCACGCCTGGCTAATTTTTGTATTTTTAGTAGAGACGGGGTTTCACCATGTTAGCCAGGATGGTCTCAATCTCCTGATCTCGTGATCCACCCACCTCGGGCTCCCAAAGTGTTGGTATTACAGGTGTGAGCCACCATGCCCAGCCGATTTCTATTCTTTTAAATTTGGTAAGGTACGTTTTATGGCCCAGAATGTGGTCTATCTTGGTGAATGTCTCGTGCAAGCTTGAGAAGAATAGGTAACCTGCTGTTGTTGGATAAAGTAGCTTATTTGTGTCCATTATATCCAGTTGATTGATGGTACTGTTGAGTTTAACAATATCCTTACTGCTTTTCTGTGGGATCTGTTAATTTCTGATAGAGGAGTGTTGAAGTCTCTAATACTATTGGTAGATTCCTTTATTTTTCCTTGCAGTCTGTTAGTTTTTTCTTCACATATTTTGGTGTTCTGTTGTTAGGCTCATACATGTTAAGGATTGTTATGTCTTGTTGGAGCATTGATGTCTTAATCATTATGTAATGCTCATCTTTATCCCTGAAAACTTTTCTTGCTCTGGAATTTGCTAAATTAATGTTTGAAATTAATATAGCTACTCTTGCTTTTTTTGATAAGTATTAGCATGGCCTACATTTATTTGTCCTTTTAACTTTAGTCTATATGTGTCTTTCTATTTAAAGTGGGATTTTTTAGTGGGTTTTTTTTTTGTATAACTGGGTCCTTTCTTTTCTTTTCTTTTTCTTTTTTTTTAATTTTTTTTTTTTTTTTTTTTTTTTTTTTTTTTTTTTTAGACAGAGTTTTGCTCTTGTTGCCCAGGCTGGAGTGCAATGGTGCGATCTCGGCTCACCGCAACCTCTGCTTCCCAGGTTCAAGCCATACTCCTGCCTCAGCCTCCCAAGTAGCTGGGATTACAGGCATGTGCCACTACGTCCGGCTAATTTTGTATTTTTAATAGAGACAGGGCTTCTCCATGTTGGTCAGGCTGGTCTTGAACTCCTGTCCTCAAGTGATCCTCCCATCCCAGCCTCCCAAAGTGCTGAGATTACAGGCGTGAGCCATCATACCTGGCTGGGTCTTGGTTTTTTAATCACTCTGAAGATCTCTGTCTTTTAATTGATGCATTTAGACCACTAACGTTCAAAGTGATTATTGAGCTGGGCAGGGTGGCTCATGCCTGTAATCCTACCACTTCGGGAAGTCAAGGTGGGCGGTTCACTTGTGGTCAGGAGTTCGAGACCAGCCTGGCCAACATGGTGAAACCCCATCTCTATTAAAAATACAAAAATTAGCCAGGCGTGGTGGAGTGCGCCTGTAATCCCAGTTACTCAGGAGGCTGAGGCAGGGGAATCGCTTGAACCTGGGAGGCAGAGGTTGCAGTGAGCCGCGATCACGCCGCTGCACTCCAGCCTGAGCAACAGAGCAAGACTCCATCTCAAAAACAAAAAGCAAAAACAAAAGAAACCCCAAAGTGATTATTGATATACTTGGATTAATATTTAGCATATTTGTTACTGCTTTCTATTTCTTGTCCATGTGCTTTGTTTTATTTTTGTCTCCCACTTTTTCCGCCTTTTGTGTTTTTAACTGAGCATTTTTTTTGAGATGGAGTCTCACTCTGTTGCCCAGACTGGAGTGCAGTGGCGTGATCTCGGCTCACTGCAACCTCAGCCTCCTGGGTTCAAGTGATTTTCCTGTCTCAGCCTCTTGAATAGCTGGGATTACAGGCACATGCCACCATGCCTGACTAATTTTTGTATTTTTAGTAGAGACGGGGTTTCACCACGTTGGTCAGGCTGGTCTTGAACTTCTGACCTCGTGATCTGCCCACCTTGGCTTCCCAAAGTGCTGGGATTACAGGCGTGAGCCACTGCACCCGGCCTTTAACTGATAATTTCTATTATTCCATTTTCTCTCCTTTCTTAGCTTATCAGTTCTATTTCTTCTTTTTCTTTCTAAAATGAATAGAGATGGGGGTCTCACTATGTTGCCCAGGCTGGTCTCAAACTCCTGAGCTCAAGCGATCCTCCTTTCCAAAGTGCTAGGATTACAGGCATGAGCCACCACACCCAGCCAGTTGTATTTTTTTTAAATGAATTTTTCAATGAATTCTCATTCGTTGCTATTGAGAATGCAAGATGATACAGCCACTTTGGAAGACAATTTGACAGTTTCTTACAAAACTAAACATAGTCTTACCATAAAATCCAGCAATTGTTTCCCTTGGTATTTACCCAAATGAGTTAAATACTTTTGTCCACAAGAAAACCTGCACACAGATATTTATAGCAGCTTTATTCATAATTGCCAAAACTTGGAAGCAACCAAGATGTTCTTCAGTAGGGTAATGGATAAATAAACTGTCATACATCCAGGCAATGCAGTATTATTCAATGCTAAAAAGAAATGAGCTGGGCTGGGCACAGTGGCTCATGCCTGTAATCCCAGGACTTTGGGAGGCTGAGGCGGGCGGACCAGCTGAGGTCAGGAGTTTGAGACCAGCCTGACCAACATAGAGAAACCCTGTCTCTACTAAAAATACAAAATTAGTTGGGCATGATGGCGTATGCCTGTAATCCCAGCTGCTCAGGAGGCTGAGGCAGGAGAATCGCTTAAACCCAGGAGGCAGAGGTTGTGGTGAGCCAAGATCACGCCATTGTACTCCAGCCTGGGCAACAAGAGTGAAACTCCATCTCAAACAAACAAACAAACAAACAAAAAACGATGGCTCACGCCTGTATCATGCCTGTAATCCCAGCACTTTGGGAGGCCAAGGCGGGCGGATCACCTGAGGTCAGGAGTTCGAGACCAGCCTGACCAACATGGAGAAACCCCGTCTCTACTAAAAATGCAAAATTACCCGGGCATGGTGGTTCATGCCTGTAATCCCAGCTACTTGGGAGGCTGAGGCAGGAGAATCACTTGAACCCGGGAGGCAGAGGTTGCGGTGAACAACTGCACTCCAGCCTGCTGGGCGACAGAGCGAGACTCTGCCTCAAAAAAAAAAAAAAAAAAAGAAATGAGCTATCCAGCCGTAACACATGGAGGAACCTTAAACGCACATTACTAAATGAAAGAAGCCAGTCTGAAAAGGCTACATACTGTATGATTCCAACTATATGGCATACTGAAAAGGTAAAACTATATAGACTGTAAAAGGATTGATGATAGCCAGGGGTTAGGGGAGAGGGAGGGATGAACAGGCAGAGCACAGGGGACTCTCAGGGCCATGAAACGACTCTGTATGATGTTACAGTGGTGGATGCATGTCATTATACATTTGTCCAAACCTATAGAATGTACAACACCAAGAGTGAACCCTAATGTAAAACTGTAGACTCTGGGAGATAATGATGTGTCAATGTAGCTTCATCAATTATAACAAATGTACCATCTGGTGGAGTTTGCTGTTAATGGGGGAGGATGTACATGTGTGTTTGCGGGGGAGGGGGTGTATGGGAACTCTCTGTATTTTCCTCTCAATTTTGCTGTGAACCTACAGCTGCCGTAAAAAAAAAAAAAGTCTTAATGGCCAAGAAACACATGAAAAAATGCTCAACATCACTCATCATCTGGGAAATGCAAATTAAAACCACAACGAGAGACCACCTTACCCCAGCCAGAATGGTCATTATTAAGAAGTCAAAAACAATAGGTGCTGGCATGGATGTGGGGAAAAGGGAATGCTAATACACTGCTGGTGGGAATGCAAATTAATACAACCTCTATGGAAATGAGTATGGAGAGTCCTTAAAGAACTAAAAGTAAGGCCAGGCACGGTGGCTCACACCTGTAATCCCAGCACTTTGGGAGGCCTGGGCGGGCAGATCACCTGAAGTCTTGAGTTTCAGACCAGCCTGACCACCATGGAGAAACCCCTTCTCTACTAAAAATACAAAAAATTAGCCGGGTGTGGTGGCGCATGCCTGTAATCCCAGCTACTCGGGAGGCTGAGGTAGGATAATTACCTGAACATGGGAAGCGGAGGTTGCGGTGAGCCGAGATCACACCATGGCACTCCAGCCTGGGCAACAAGAGCGAAACTCCGTCTCAAAAAAAAAAAAAAAAAAGAACTAAAAGTAGATCTACTATTCAATCCAGCAACCCCATTACTGGGTACCTACCCAAAGGAAAAGCAGTCATTATATCAAAAAGATACCTGGGGCTGGGCACGGTGGTTCATGTCTATAATCCCAACACTTTGGGAGGCTGAGGTGGGCACATCATTTGAGGTCAAGAGTTCGAGACCAGCTTGGACAACATGGTGAAACCCATCTCTACTAAATATACAAAACTTAGCCAGCGTGGTGGCATGTGCCTGTAGTCCCAGCTACTCAGGAGGCTGAGGCAGGAGAATTACTTTAACCTGGGAGGAGGAGG
Organism: Homo sapiens; assembly: GCF_000001405.40. Lineage (NCBI taxonomy): Eukaryota > Metazoa > Chordata > Mammalia > Primates > Hominidae > Homo > Homo sapiens. The sequence goes on along the minus strand of NC_000017.11, from coordinate 17,615,646 downwards.
TTGCAGTGAGCCAAAATCACACCACTACATTCCAGCCTAGGTGACAGAGCGAGACCCTATCTCCAAAAAATTAAAAAAAAAAAAAAAAAAAGACGCCTGCACAGGTATGTTTATCTCAGCGCAATTCACAATTGCAAAGATATGAAGCCAACCTAAGTGCTCATCGACCAATCAATGGAAAAAGAAAATGTGGTATATATACACCATGGAATACTACTCAGCCATAAAAAAGAATGAAATAATGTCCTTTACAGCAACTTGAATGGAACTGGAGGCCATTATTCTAAGTGAAGTAACTCCGGAATGGAAAATCAAATAACATGTGTTCTTGCTTATGAGTGGGAGCTAAGGTATAAGTGTCCAAAGGCATACGGAATGGTATAATGGCCTTTGGAGACTCAGAAGGTGGAATGGGGAGGAAGGTGAGGGATAAATAAACTATGTATTGGGTACAATGTACACTAATGCGGTGACAGGTGCACTAAAATCCCAGACTCCACCACTATACAGTCTATCCATGTAACCAAGCTATTGAAATACAAATAAATAAATAAATAATCTTTTTCTTTTCTCTTTTTTTTTTTTTTTTGAGATGGAGTTTCACTGTCATTGCCCAGTCTGGAGTGCAGTGGCGTGATCTTGGCTCAACCTTTACCTCCCAGGTTCAAGCGATTCTCCAGCCTCAGCCTCCTGAGTAGCTGGGATTACAGGCGCCTGCCACCATGCCCAGTTAATTTTTTGTATTTTTAGTAGAGATGGGGTTTCACCATGTTGGCCAGGCTGTTCTCAAACACCTGACCTAAGGTGGTCCGCCTGCCTCGGCCTCCAAAAGTGCTGGGATTACAGGCATGAGCCACCACGCCCGGCCTTTTTTTCTTTTCAGAGACAGGGTCTCACTCTGTCACCCAGGCTGGAGTGTAGTGGCATGACTGTGGCTCACTGCAACCCCAAACTCCTGAGGTCAAGTGATCCTCCTGCTTCAACCTCCCAAAGTGCTGGGATTAGATTACAGGTGTAATCCACCATGCCTGACCTTTTTTTTATTTTTTTTATTTTTTTTTAAAGTAACTATAAGCTGGGCACAGTGGATCATGCCTGTAATCCCAACACTCTGGGAGGCCGAGGCAGGTGGGTTGCTTGAGCCCAGGAGTTTGAGACCAGCCTGGGCATGTGATGAAACCCTGTCTTTACAAAAAATGCAAAAATTCACCAGGCACGGTGGCATACACCTGTGGTCCCAGCACTTGGGAGGCTGAAGTGGGAGGATCCCTTGCACCTGGGAGGCAGAGGTTGCAGTGAGCCCAAATTACACTCCAGCCTGGGTGACAGAGCCAGGCCCTGTCTCAAGTAAATAGATAAATAAAGTAACTATAGTTCTTTAAGATCATCAAATAGCTCACTGGAGAATCACATTGTTCCAAATGGCATGTGTGTGTGTACATAATATATAGACATGTATATAATATGCAATACATACAGTTGAATTGGGATCCAGATAAGGCCCAGCACTGTAATTGATTGATATTTATATTTCTCATTTAGTCTATAGGCTCCTGGTTCCTTTCTCATTGATGCATTGCCATTTATTTGTTGAGGAAGCCAGCTGTTCTCCCTGGAGGGTCTCTGGCAGTCTGGATTTGTGCTGATTGCACCTCTGTGGTGGTGTTTCATGTGCTCCTCTGTCTCCTGTATTTTCTGCACTTTGCTGATTGGGTCTAGTTCTTACTCAGATTCAGGTTCCATTAGCTTTGATGTGAATAGCTCAGAGGCAATACTGTGCTTGTCCACTGGGAGGCTTTTCTGTCTGTGATGTTAGTAGCTGGACGCCTTAATTCAGTGCGGTCTCCATCTCTGCCTGCTCCTGGTTTGTTACAGGCAGACCTAGGCTGCTTGCCTGTGAGACGTTTCTGGACCTCTACAGGGTGGGGGTGGTGTGCAGGTTCTCAAAGGCTGTGCTTATTCTCCCCAATGTTATGAGTTCCCAAGACTGATGAACGGGACCACAGGAGGGCTCTGCAGCCAGGACTCTATCACTCAGAAGTCAGAGATGGGGGCTTCTCTCCCAGCGCTCAAGAATGGGTGGTATGTTGACAGGTCAAGGTGAGAGACAGGGCACTCGGGGCAAGGGAAACTCCTCATTGGCTTTGCCTGTGGTCCTCAAGGGGACCCACTGGACTGCCTGGTGTGTATAGAACCTGTTCTCCTGCCCATTAACCCAGTGGCCTGTGCCACTTGGAGTCACGCTGACTGGTGGGTGGTTTATAGTAGTAGAGGGACCTGGCTTTGAGTCCCAGCTCTACCTTTTTTTTTTTTTTTTTTTTTTTGAGACGGAGTTTCACTCTTGTCGCCCAGACTGGAGTGCGATCTCAGCTCACTGCAACCTCAGCCTCTTGGGTTCAAGCAATTCTCCTGCCTCAGCCTCCTGAGTAGCTGGGATTACAGGCATGTGCCACCAAGCCTGGCTAATTTTTGTATTTTTAGTAGAGACGGGGTTTCACCATGTTGGCCAGGCTGGTCTCAAACTTCTGACCTCAGGTGATCCACCTGCCTTGGCCTCCCAAAGTGCTGGGATGACCTCAGGTGATCCACCTGCCTTGGCCTCCGAAAGTGCTGGGATTACAGGAGTGAGCCACCGCGCCCGGCCAGCTCTACCTTTTACTGGTTTTGTGACCTTGGGCAAATGCATAGTTATCTGCAATTTTTCATTCCCTCATCTATAAAATGGGTATGATATTTGCACACATACATCCAGGGCTTATTTCGTGCCAGATCTGGTTTTGAGTACTTTACATATATGACTCATATTGAGTTTTCCCAGTGAGCCTATGAAGTAGCTACTACTATCTTACCCATTTTATAGATGAGGAAACTGAGGCCTAAACACATTACACCTAGGGAATGACTAAACTGAGAAACAAACCCTATCTGACCAGAGCTCACGTTCTGGATGCTACTCTAGGCATTACCCCTCTAAGCCTGTTTCACTCTCTGCAGAATGAGAGTGGTAACAGTACTTACCTCTTCTGGCTGACTTGAGGGACCCATAATACAATGCCTGCCAGGCACTCCATTCAGTACCTGCCACACAGTAGTCACTTGGCACATGTTGGCTACTATTATCCTGTTCCCAGGCCCCAGGCTCATCCTTTGTTTCCATGTTTGGCTAAACGTCATCTGCCTGGGGCACGTCCTTCTTCCTCTGGCTATTTTTAATTCCATTTCCTCGGAATTCTGGATTCTATATGTGAGTATCAGTGGTTATTTTCAGATCATGTGGGAAGGCCAGGGGTTTAGGGAGATGTGGCAGCTTCTCAGATGAGAGTAACTAGGAATACTGTGTTTATTCTGCAGAACACACTGACCCTGTGCCTCTGCTGGGAGAGTGGCTCACTTTCCATCTCCTGGGGACAGAGTCCAGCTTCATCAGAGTGGCTGGGATGGTGTCTACTGGGAAAGGGCATGGGGACAAGGTGTGGTGGGTACCCCGAAGGCTTCCTGAGAAGCACCAGGACAGGGCAGCAGGCAAGGTGGGAGGGTGGGCAACAGACCCTTGGATGCTCTGCTGTTTTATCCTCACATACTCTCAGGTATGGGGAAAACCAGGTGTGGTAGCCTCGAGAAGACGGGCCTGGGCCCTCTTGGCCCTAGGAGAAAGGACTTTTGGCAGAAGCCCCAGATACAGGACTGGAAATCAAGGCAGACACTATTGGTTGCTTTCCTAATACCTATTCCCTTTGTGCTTAAAAAAAAAAAAAAGATTCATGTGGGGAAAAGCAAGAGAGATCAGATTGTTACTGTGTCTGTGTAGAAAGAAGTAGACATGGGAGACTCCATTTTGTTATGTACTAAGAAAAATTCTTCTGCCTTGAGATTCTATGACCTTACCCCCAACCCCGTGCTCTCTGAAACATGTGCTGTGTCAAACTCAGGGTTAAATGGATTAAGGGCGGTGCAAGATGTGCTTTGTTAAACAAATGCTTGAAGGCAGCATGCTCCTTAAGAGTCATCACCACTCCCTAATCTCAAGTACCCAGGGACACAAAAACTGCGGAAGGCCGCAGGGACCTCTGCCTAGGAAAGCCAGGTATTGTCCAAGGTTTCTCCCCATGTGACAGTCTGAAATATGGCCTCGTGGGAAGAGAAAGACCTGACCGTCCCCCAGCCCGACAGCAAGGGTCTGTGCTGAGGAGGATTAGTATAAGAGGAAGGCATGCCTCTTGCAGTTGAGACAAGAGGAAGGCATCTGTCTCCTGCCCGTCCCTGGGCAATGGAATGTCTCGGTATAAAACCCGATTGTATGCTCCATCTACTGAGATAGGGAAAAACCGCCTTAGGGCTGGAGGTGGGACCTGCGGGCAGCAATACTGCTTTGTAAAGCATTGAGATGTTTATGTGTATGCACATCTAAAAGCACAGCACTTAATCCTTTACCTTGTCTATGATGCAAAGACCTTTGTTCACGTGTTTGTCTGCTGACCCTCTCCCCACTATTGTTTTGTGACCCTGACACATCCCCCTCTCGGAGAAACACCCACGAATGATCAATAAATACTAAGGGAACTCAGAGGCTGGCGGGATCCTCCATATGCTGAACGCTGGTTCCCCGGGTCCCCTTATTTCTTTCTCTACACTTTGTCTCTGTGTCTTTTTCTTTCCTAAGTCTCTCGTTCCACCTTACGAGAAACACCCACAGGTGTGGAGGGGCAACCCACCCCTACAGATTCATTTGTGAATCAGTGTTCTAAGCCAATCATGACTGTTTTAACTTCCTAGCCTCTTGTACTAGACATTTGACCCAATTCAGGCCAATCACTCTTAAAGTGGAAGTCTGCTGGGGGGATTTCTGGAAAAGCTTTTGCTGCCCTGATGAAGAGACAGATACAGTTAGCATGGCCCTAGACATTTCTCTCACCTTTGCTTGCCTCGAGCCCCAGTGTGATGATTAGAGCTATGGCAGCCATCTTGTGCCTATGAGGCCGAAGCATCAGAATAAAAAGGTCAGTATAGGGATGGCAAAGTCAAGTTCCCTCATGCTTGCAACTGCCTGCTTCGAGCTTGTGTTCCATGAAAAACAAAAAAAAACAAAAAAACACACACACAACGAAACACCTATTTGTTTACGTCTCTGTTGATCGGATTTTCTGGGGGTTTTTTTTGTTATTTTTTGCAAGTGAATGTATTCGTAATCAACACAAACAAAGGAAGACAGGGCGCGGTGGCTCATGCCTGTAATTCCAGCACTTTGGGAGGTCAGATCACTTGAGCTCGGGAGTTCGAGACCAGCCTGGGCATCATAGCGAGACTCCCATCTCTATAAAAAAAAATAAGAATATTAGCTGTGCATGGTGGTGCATGCCTGTAGTCCCAGATGAGTTGGGAGAAGTGCTTGAGCCTAGGAGGTGGAGGCTATAGAGAGCTGTGACTGCACCACTGTATTCCAAGATGAGTTGGGAGAAGTGCTTGAGCCTAGGAGGTGGAGGCTATAGAGAGCTGTGACTGCACCACTGTATTCCAGCCTGGGCAACAGAGTGAGACCCGGGTCTCAAAAAAAAAAAACAACCATACCAAACACCATAAAGGCAGAATGATCTGGCCAATCAGGGGCATCACATGCTCAGAGATTTCCACAAATAGTTCCTCAAGATTGCTGCCTACCCAGCCCACTACTGGGCCTTTGTGACATCCGCAAATCAGGCCCAGGCCTTCCCCTCAAGGGGCTCACAGTCCATCAAGAAAAAGAACACAAATTTTGTAACTGGTACAAACTATCACACAACTCTCAGGGTGGAAGAAATCCCTTTACTTTTAAGGATCAAATTAAGGCCTACTCAAGGCCCCACTTGCCAAGGTTGGCAAAAACTACAAGAGTCTAATGGAGAATGGGGTGGGCGAGGAGGGTGGAATAATTAAGGATCAGCCCTGGATCTTAGGAGTTAAACAGCCCTGAAAAACTGAAGGGGAATTTTGTCTTTCACCTTGGACGTTCCTGCTGACCCACCAGTATTAGTTAAATAAAATTAGTTGCTGTAACAAGTAAAGCTCGAAGGCCCACGGCTCTACACGATGAAGATCTATTTCACATCTGTTTCATGTCACAGTCCAACCAGACGGGATGGCAGGCCGGGGAGGCTGCATAGTCACTCAAGCACCCAGGCTCCTTCCGTCTGTGGCTCTGCTGCCCTGTAGGCCTTCAGCGTCCTCTGGCTCAGCTAGGATACTACTGGGAAGGAGAGAGCCTGGGTGGTGCGAGAATTCCATGGCCAGGCCTGGAGTGGTGACATTACTTCCTATCACACTCCATTGGCTGGAACCTGTCATGTGGCCACACCTACCTGCAAGGGGCCCTGGGAAATGGAGTCTCCACATGTGCCCAGGAAGAAGCCAAAACATGGATATCCTGGGCACCACTTGGCCCTTCAGAGGTGGAAGGCAGCGAGGTGCCCACTTACCCTCCTGGGAGGCACCACCATCTCCCAGCTTGGATTCAAGGGAGGGCAGGTCTCCTCCCCTTGAGGAGCCCACAGGCCCCATGATCCATCCAGGGATTCAGCCAGACCGAGGGCTCCCTTCTTCATCTCTGCAAGCACCTGCCTACAGCTCCTCCTCACAGCCCAGCTGGCCAATGTCCTCCATGCACCTGCACCTTCCCGGCATAAAAACCTGAGCATGGGCCATCTCCAGAGCCCACCTAGGCCCGGGAATGCCCTCTAATGCCGAAACACACACACACAACTATATTTCCACCTATAATTTGGACAGTTTCTCAGCCTTGGCACTGTTCTATTTTGGGTTGGATAATTGTTGGTTGTGAGGGCTGTCCTGCACATTGTAGAATTTTTTTTTTTTTTTTTTTTTTTTTTTGAGATGGAGTCTTGCTCTGTCACCCAGGCTGGAGTACAGTGGTGTGATCTCAGCTCACTGCAGGCTCCACCCCCCAGGTTCATGTCATTCTCCTGCCTCAGCCTCCCGAGTAGCTGTGACTACAGGCGCCCACCACCTCACCCAGCTAATTTTTTGTATTTTCAGTAGAGACGGAGTTTCACTGTGTTAGCCAGGATGGTCTCGATCTCCTGACCTCGTGATCCACCCGCCTTGGCCACCCAAAGTGCTGGGATTACAGGCGTGAGCCACCGCGACCGGCCCCTGCACATTGTAGACTTTTAGCAGCTTCCTTGGCCTCTACCCACTAGATGTCCATAGCACCCCCATCCCCACCCAGCTGTGACAATCAAAAGTGTGTCCAGACTTTGAAGAATGTCCCTAGGGTGTGTGTGTGTGTGTGTGTGTGTGTGTGTGTGCCAAAATCAGCCCCACGCAGTGGCTCACACCTGTAATCCCAGCACTTTGGGAGGCCGAGGCAGGCAGATCAGGGGGTCAGGAGTTTGACACCAGCCTGGTCAACATGGTGAAACCCCATCTCTACCACAGATACAAAAAATTAGCCGGGCGTGGTGGCGTGCACCTGTAACCCCAGCTACTTGGGAGGCTAAAGCAGGAGAATCGCTTAAACCCAGGAGGCGGAGGTTGCAGTGAGCCGAAATCACGCCACTGCACTCCAGCCTGGGAGACAGAGTGAGACTCCATCTCAAAAGAAAAAAAAAAATCAGCCCTGCTTGAGAACCAGAGTTAGCACATGCCAGAAGTTTAGATGGGAAAAATTGCTTTCTCCTTGGTGGAGGTGGGAGGTGCAGGGAGTTGGGGGAGAGGCACTTGTGGTTCCCTGATGTGTCTGTACCATCAGAAAGTAAAACCAACACGGCATTTCATTTTCCATAAAGATCATCATAGTTAAAACAATAACTGAATGAGCCAGGTGTGGTGGCTCACACCTGTAATCCTAGCACTTTGGGAGGCCGAAGCAGATGGATTACTTGAGGTCAGGAGTTTGAGACCAGCCTGGCCACCATGGTGAAACCCCATCTCTACTAAAAATACAAAAATTAGCCAGGTGTGGTGGTGCATGCCTGTAATCCCAGCTATTTGGGAGGCTGAGGCAGGAGAATTGCTTGAACCCAGGAGACAGAGGTTGGAATGAGCCAAGATCACGCCATTGCACTCCAGCCTGAGTGACAGAGCAAGACTCTGTCTCAAACAAACAAAACCAAAAAAACAGTAACTGGATGAGATCAACATTGTAATGAGGTCTCTGCTAGGCTGTGGGGGCTCAAAGGCAGGACTGACAGAATCAACTCTGCATTGGGGGGAGGCTTTGCACAGGACAAGACAGTTCAACCAGGTTGTGAAGGCTTGAAGGAGTTTGCAAAAAGGGTGACAGGAGAAGAGTTTTCAGTGGGTTTGCAAAGTTCCCCAGACATGAAAGAGCATGGTGCATTCTGGGAACTGGAGATAATTTAAATGGCTGGAGTTGGGGTGGGTACAGGGTGACCACCTTCTCCTGGATTTGGTCCCCTCCTCTCTGTTTCCATTGTCCCCCACAGGCCCCTACTGTCCCACTGGTCACCTGCTTGGCTTGTCTCACACATGGTAGATGCTCAGTAGACGCTTGCCAGTCTCTCACACATAGTAGATGCTCAGAAAATTGAATGAATGAGCAAATCAATAAATGAAAGAACTGATTCATGGAAGGGTCTCATACACCAGCCTGGGAAGATGGGATTTTGGTTTGGGCAGTAGGGAGTCATTGCAAGGTTTTGAGCAAGGGAGTCACCTGCTCCTGGGTGGAGGGTGCTTTGGAAAGGATGGAAGCTTGAGAAAGCCAGCTGTCTGGATTGTCCAGGTGCCAGCTGATGAAGCCTGAGCAGTGCTATTTCAGAGGAACAATTACGGGAGTCGATGACTGATTAGTCGTGACAGGGAGCAAGAGGGAGGGGTCTGAGTGGCGCCTGGATGTCTGGTTAGGGTGACTGGGACCTAGGATGGGGGAGGGCTGGGGTCAAGAAATAGGGAGTGGAGGGGAAGGAGTAGGAGGAGATGGGGTGAGGTGCCTGTAAGAGCTCCTCAGAGGAGTCCAGCGGGTGGATAGAGTTCAGAGTCTGAAGGAGAAGTCTGACTAGGAAGTGGAAAAGTAGAAGTCATTTATGTGTAGTGACTGGAAGAAAAAGCATGTAGTTCCATTTCCAAGGAACTGGCTTTAGCTATTCCCGCATACATACAAGGCAACAGCAGCAGCACAGATGTTTGGAGCAAGAGCAGATCTTTCCTAGAAAAACACTTTAAAGAGCCCTTGATTCCATAAAGGAAAGGCCTTGGGGTTGCCTGGAAGCGACTTCCTAGGGAGATGGAATGACGTTTTCCCTAGAGATGGAGTGGAGTAGGACTATGGGATGAAGGGCTGGAGGGACTCGCAGTGGGGGTGCCTCTGGGACGCGAAGACTGGGTCTCCCCCAGAGACAGGAGACAACCTTGAGAAGCTGTGGTTTCCAGCATTCCATTTTAAACCCCTCCTGATGTGTAGTCCCACTTCATCTTGGAATAAACAGGCAAATGACCCAATTAAAAATGGCAAAGGATCTGAGCAGACGTTTCTCCAAAGAAGATATACAGATGGCCAATAGCACGGGAAAAACTCTCAACATCATTAGCCATAAGGGACATGCAAATCAAACCACAATAAGACTTCACATCTTTGAGGATGGCTATAATCAAAGAGCCAAAGCCAAAACCAAACAAACAAAAACAAGGGCAGGATGTGGGGCAGTTGGAACCCTCGTGCATTGCTGGTGGGAATGTTAAGTGGTGTAGCCACTTTGGAAACAGTCTGAAAGTTCCTCAGAAGGTTAAGCACAGAGTAACCATGTGACTCAGCAATGTCACTCCTAGAGAATGCCCAAGAGAAATGAAAACACATGTCTATGAAAAGCTTGTACATGAAATGTTCACAGCAGCATTATTCACAATAGCACGAAAGTGGAAACAACCCACATGTCCATCAACTGAAGAACGGATAAACAAAACGTGGTGTGTACCTACAGTGGAATGTTAGTGGACCTTAAAAAGGAATGAAGGACCAGGTGCAGTGGCTCACGCCTATAATCCCAGCACTTTGGGAAGCCGAGGTGGGTGGATCACCTGAGGTCAGGAGTTCATGACCAACATGGCGAAACCTGAGGTCAGGAGTTCATGTCCAACATGGCGAAACACAACTGTCCTCACACTGAAACACAGCCACACCCATTTACATACACACTGAAAAACAGACACGCATACTCACACAGATGCTGAAACACACTCATGCTGAAACAGACATACATGCTGCAATAGACACAGATCCATACGGCAACATACACAATAAAGCAGACAGAGAGATATACACACAGACACTGAAAGACACACAGTCGCAAACACGCTCACACTCTCACACTCTCACACTAGGGGGTGGGCCCTGTTGCCGGGCTCCGGCTTGTTGCTAAAAGTGTTGGTTACGTAATAAATCCTGGGCTGAAGGAGGGTGAACCTGTCAGGAGAGGCAAGGCTGGCTTTGGGTTTCCTGTGGACTTTGGGTCACTTTGACCCATCCGGGACTCCCTGTGAGGCACTTGGCCATCTGGTGCCAAGCAGTCCATTCTAGATGCTTGTTGAGGTCGAGGGTGAGTGGGCCCTGGCGAGAGTGAGTCAGGGGCAGGGAGCACCTCTGGGACTAGGGCAAGGTGCTCTGGGGCCACCTCTGTGAAGGGCTGAGTCCTCTCCCATTCATTAACTCCAGACTGTCAGAATCCTTGAGAGTAGAGGTGACGGCTCCCTGCTGGATCCCAAGGGGCACAGTTAACAATAATAGTAATAGTGGTGCTGATGGTAGCAATGAATAACTAACATTTACTAAATACTTTCTATATACCAGGTACTATACTAAAAGCGTGATCACCTTCAATCCTCATAACAGGCAGGTCAGTACTATTACTGTACCATTATACAGATGGGGAAACAAAGATCTACTGAGGCAAAACCACCTGCCCATGCTCTGGCGTTTAGTAAGTGGTCAAGCTGGTCCTGGGAGCCAGGACGGTTCTATCAGTCAGCTATTGCTGCAGTAATGCTGCATAACAAACCGTCACAAATGCAGTGGCTTATGGCAATAAATATGTAAGCTCATGCACATGAGTCTGCAGGTTGAGTGTGGATAGACTGATCTAACCCAGCTGGGCTGGGTTGGGCAGCTGCTTCAGTCCACAGTCCAGTGAGCCCAGGCAGGGCTTGGGTGTCCCCCATATGTGCTTGTTTTGGGCCCCAGGCTAAAGAGGCAGCAGTCACCCAGGGTATATGCTTCTCATGGTATGTCACTGGAGCAAAAGAAACCAAAGCAAATTGCACAAGCACATACATGTCCTGTCCATTCTCATTCTGTGAGCCGAGGCAAGCCACATGGTCCAACCTAATGTCAATGGCATAGGGCAGCATGCTTCACCCGTGGTGACAGGGGAGTGGGGGGCCATATTAACCTCTCACTCAGGCTTAACTCAGGAACCTGGGGTCACAACTTACATGTGGCATCACCTCCATGAGTGCACAGGTGAATGGGATGGGCCACAGAGTTGGGCTGACTGGGACCAGCGTCCTGGCTCCAACCCTACCTGGCTGCTGCTTAGCCTTTCTGGGCCTCACTTTTCTCATCTGTAATATGGATTGTTACAAAGTAGAAATGGGGTAATACTTGGCACAAGGCCAGCACACAAGATGTCTTCCATACACAGTAGCAGAGATTAGTAATTATCACCTAGCTGTTCTCAGCTGGGGGCCACAACACCCTCCTTGGAGCCTTGTGGAAATGGTTGTGGGGTGTTTTGGGTTGGGGGTGAGGGCCAAGGATGCTTAACATCCTGCACTTTGCGAGACCACTTGCACACAAAGAACTGTCCCATTCAGATGCCACCTGCCCTCATCAAGACACTTGAACACCATCTAAGCCAGGCACTTCCTGTTACAGATGAAGAGGCAGGGACTGGAGAGGTGTAGCTGGGAGCATATCTGCAGCGGCTCTGAGCTCCCCAGCCCTCCCCCAGAGGCTCCTTTTGGGTTATCCCCTTGGGTCTGACATGAATTCAGGGAGTCTGCTGCAGCTGGGCTGTTGACTCATTCATAGGTGATTTTAGCCTTCGATCTCAGAGCACACAGAGCCTCTCTCCTGCCTGGCGTCAGGAGGGAGGCAAGGATGTCAGCATTAACAAGGACGCATCGACCAAGCAGCCAGGGCTGGGATGACAGCTTGCCCCTCCGTCAGTCTCGGACACTTGCTGAGACCCAGCTGCATCTGAGCGGCCCTCCTGAGAGGGGCTTTAAACGCCTCACGAGTCTGACAAATCAATAAGAACATCACATCAGCAGTGGTCATTCAGAGCAAAGAAAATAGCAAAACCTCACATGCCTTTGCAGAGGAGACGCCTGCTGTTCACCAGCAATCACAGCTCCCCGTGACATGGCACCACAGGCACCGGGGACAGAGCAGCACGCAGGTGACATTCTTGCAGAGCCTGCAGTGAGTCAGGAGGTGGCCTTAGACAAACCCACCTGAGGGGCCGTCTACAAAATACCCTGCTCGTGCTCTCCAAAAATGTCAATGTCTCTCCTGAAGGACAAAGACAGACTAAGGAGTGTTCCAGATCACAGCCTGCTAAAGACAGCACATGATCCTGGATCTGAGGAGAAAATGCACGGTAAAGGATATTGTCAGATCAATCAGAGAAATTTGAATATGGACTGTACATTAGCTAACACCATTGTATCAATGGTATACTTCCTGATTTTTTGATCACAGTACTGTGGTTTCATAGGAGAATGTCTTTGTTCTTTGGAGATTTAGGGGCAAAGAGTCTGCAACTTACCCTCAAATAGTTCATTAAAAAAAAAAATCACTGTATAGAAACTGATAAAGCAAAGGCCAGAAAATGCTGAAAACAAATCTAGGTGACACATATAGGATGTTTAATGTATAATTCTTGCAATTTTTTGTTGGGTTGGAAAATTTTCAAGGTAAAAACATTTTTCCCCCCTGAGATGGAGTCTTGCTCTGTGCCCCAAGCTGGAGGGCGGTAGTGCGATCTCAGCTCACTGCAATCTCTGCCTCCCGGGTTCAAGCAATTCTCCTGCCTCAGCATCCCAAGTAGCTGGGATTACAGGCACCCACTACCATACCTGGCTAATTTTTGTATTTTTATTTTTTTTAATTTTATTTATTTATTTATATATTTATTTATTTATTTATATTATTTTTGAGACAAAGTCTCACTCTGTTGCCAGGCTGGAGTGCCGTGGCAGGATCTCAGTTCACTGCAACCTCCAACTCCCTGGTTCAAGCGATTCTCCTGCTTCAGCCTCCCGAGTAGCTGGAATTACAGGCATGCACCACCACACCCAGCTAATTTTTGTATTTTTAGTAGAGACGGGGTTTCACTGTGTTGGCCAGGATGGTGTCAATCTCTTGACCTCATGATCCGCCTGCCTTGGCCTCCCAAAGTGCTGGGATTACAGGCGTGAGCCACCATGCCCAGCCCTAATTTTTGTATTTTTAGTACAGACAGGGTTTCACCATGTTGGCCAGGCTGGTCTCAAACTCCCGACCTCAGGTGATCCACCCGCCTCAGCCTCCCAAAGTGTTGGGATTACACGCGTGAGCCACGGTGCGCGGCAAGGTAAAAACTTTTAAGTATCGCTTAAACATTACAACAGTCCAATTCATTTAAATTAATAAATTCAAGAGACTGCAAAGACTAAGATCCATGGGTGTTTTTGTTTTGTTTTGTTTGTTTGTTTGTTTGTTTTTTGAGATGGAGTATCGCTCTGTCGCCCAGGCAGGAGTGCAGTGGCGTGATCTCAGCTCACTGCAAGCTCTGCCTCCTGGGTTCACACCATTCTCCTGCCTCAGCCTCCCAAGTAGCTGGGACTACATGTGCCTGCCATCACACCCGGCTAAGTTTTTGTATTTTTTAGTAGAGACGGGGTTTCACCGTGTTAGCCAGGATGGTCTCGATCTTCTGACCTTGTGATCCGCATGCCTGGGCCTCCTAGAGTGCTGGGATTACAGGCGTGAGCCACCGAGCCCGGCCCTTAAGATCCATGGGTGTTTTTGAAAAAAAGGCACAAAGAGAAGTTGTGTTGGTAAGTAGTGCAAATAAAGCACTATTCTAATTTAAATGAAAAGCACATGCGAAAACGTCACTAATGATGTGGGAAAGAGGCAAATAACATTTTTCAACTAATTTTTCAACTTTGAAGTAACATAAACATTTTTGGACTAATACTCTGTGCTGGTGAGTATGCAGGGAAATGGGAACTGTACTATTCTGCAGGCACTGAGCTTTAGAAAGCAGCTTGGCTGTCCTTCTGTGCTTCCAGGGTCAACCCTGAGGGATTAATCCTAAACAAGACTTCAACATTAAGCAGATCCATGTGCCACTGGAAGGAAAGAGTTTTTGGTGAGGCCCTACCCCATCCTTAGCTCTAATCAGGGCTGCCTTCAAGTCTTTTTTTTTTTTGAGATGGAGTTTCACTGTTGTTGCCCAGGCTGGAGTGCAATGGCGCGATCTCTGCTCACCGCAACCTCTGCCTCCTGGGTTGTAGCAATTCTCCTGCCTCAGCCTCCCAGGCGTGCGCCATCACGCCTGGCTAATTTTGTATTTTTAGTAGAGACAGGGTTTCTCCATGTTGGTTAGGCTGGTCTCGAACTCCCGACTTCAGTGATCTGCCCGCCTTGGCCTCTCAAAGTGCTGGGATGACAGGCGTGAGCCACTGCACCCGGCCTCAGGTCTTTTTTGTTGTTTTGTTTTGTTTTTTGAGATGGAGTCTCACTCTGTCACCCAGCCTGGAGTGCAGTGGTATGATCTCGGCTGACTGCAACCTCCGCCTCCCGGGTTCAAGTGATTCTCCTGCCTTAGTCTCTCGAGTAGCTGGTGGGGGCCACCACACCGGGCTAATTTTTGTATTTTTAGTTGAGCTGGGGTTTCACCATGTTGGCCATGTTGGTCTTGAACTCTGGACCTCAGGTGATCTGCCCGCCTCGGCCTCCCAAAGTGCTGGGATTACAGGCGTGAGCCACCGCGCCCGGCCTATGCTCTTAAACATAGTGGGATTAAACTGGAAAACAAGATGATAACTTTAAAAAAAATCTTCCAATATTTGCAAACTAGACAATACTTTTTCTTTTTTTTGAGACAGGGTGTCTGTTGCCCAGGCTGGGGTGCAGTGGCACAATCATGGATCACCGCAGCCTCGACCTCCCGAGTTCAACTGATCCTCCCACCTCAGCCTCCCAAGTAGCTGGGACTACAGGCACTTGCCACAATGCCTGGCTAAATTTTTTTGTATTTTTTGTGGAGATGGAGTTTTACCATGTTGTCCAGGCTGGTCTTGAACTCCTGGACTCAAGCAATCCATACTCCTCAGCCTCCCACAGTGTTGGGATTATAAGTGTGAGCCACCACGACGGGCCAGACAATACATTTTTTTCAACCCCAGAAACAAGGTCCAGCCTGGGTCAGGTGTCATCCATGGACCAGCAATGGGGGCCAGGGCTTGGGGTGCTATCACTGGCTCAGGGTGGGTCAGGTGACCAACTCTACTCAAGCAACAGTGGCCAGGGGAGGGGCAGGTGACCAGACTGTATGAGAAGATAGCATTTCCCATTTAATCTCACAGATAGAGGGCTGGGGTCAGGAGGAGGCATGAAGCATTGAGTGCCAACTTAGTGCTACTCGGACAGACAGAGTGCTGTGCGAATAAACAATAACAAGCAGTCCCTGCCGTGGCGGCTCAGAAGCGGCTAGGGCATAAGCAGGCCATTACCACAGAGTGGAAAACTGCTCCACAGGGGTGTGCACAGGAAGGGGGGAAAGAGCAGCATTCAAGACTTGAAGGCAGGACGGGCGCGGTGGCTCATGCCCGTAATCCCTGCACTTTGGGAAGCTGAGGTTGGCCGATCACCTGAGGTCAGAAGATCGAGACCAACATGGCCAACATGGTGAAACCCCAGCTCACCTAAAAATACAAAAATTAGCCCGGTGTGGTGGCCCCCACCAGCTACTCGAGAGACTCTACTAAAAATACAAAATTAGCCAGGCGTGGTGGCACATGCCTGTAGTCCCAGCAACTCCGGAGGCTGAGGCAGGAGAATGGCTTGAACCCAGGAGGCGGAGGTTGCTGTGAGCCGAGAATGCACTCCAGCCTGGGCAAAAAGAGCGAAACTCCGTCTCAAAAAAAAAAAAGAGCATAAACTATGATTTCAATCATTTGAAATCTGTTGAGATTGGCTTTATGCCCCAGCATAGGGTCTGTTTTGGCCAATGTTCAGTGTGAACTGGGGAAGAAGGTACATTCTACAGTTGCTAGGAGGAGAGTTCTATGAATGCCAATCATGTTCAAATCTATAGTCTTACCGATTTTTTTCTGCCTTTTCTCTCAATTACCAAGGTAAATATTTTAAACTCCACAAGATTATTTTATTTTTACAAGCACCTAATACTTATCTAGATTTACCTACACGTATGTGTCTTTTTCATTCCTTCCTGTGTTCGTGGGCTTCCAACTGGGATCATTTTCCTGCTGCCTGCAGAACCCGCCCATGGTATTTCTTTTCAGGTTGGGCCTGCTGGTGATCAATTCTCTCAGCCTTTGTTTGTCTGAAAATAGCTTTACGTTGCCTCTGCTTTTTTTTTTTTTTTTTTTTTTTTTGAGACAGAGTCTTGCTCTGCTACCCAGGCTGTAGTGTAGTGGCACGATCTCGGCCTACTGCAATCTCTGCCTCCTGGGTTCAAGTGATTCTCCTGCCTCAGCCTCCCAAGTAGCTGGGATTACAGGCATGCACCATCATACCCCACTAATTTTTGTATTTTTAGTAGAGATGGGGTTTCTCCATGTTGGCCAGGCTAGTCTCGAACTCCTGACCTCAGGTGATCCGCCCGCCTCAGCCTCCCAAAGTGCTACGATTACAGGCATAAGCCACCGTGCCCAGCCTTTTTGCCTCCTTTTTTTTTTTTTTTTTTTTTTGAGGCGGAGTCTTGATCTGTCACCAGTCTGGAGTGCAGTGGCGCAATCTCAGCTGCAACCTCTGCCTCCCAGGCTCAAGTGATTCTCCTGCCTCAGCCTCCCAAGTAGCTGGGACTACAGGTGCATGCCACCACACCCAGCTAATTTTTTTGTATTTTTAGTAGAGATGGGTTTCATCATGTTGGCCAGGATGGTCTCCATCTCCTGACCTCGTGATTCGCCCACCTCAGCCTCCCAAAGTGCTGGGATTACAGGTGAGCCACTGCGCCCGGCCACCTTCATTTTTGAAGTATATTTTCATGGGACTTAAATTCAATTCTGACCTCCTTCATTCAGCAAATATTCACCCAGTGCCATCTGGGTGCCAGGTGTGTACTGGCTGCTGGCAGGGGATGTGGAGGTGGGCAGGGCAGACGATGAGGGGACCATTCTTGATCTCCAAGAAGAGAAGGGAAGAGTGTGCCTGGCAGAGTGAACAGGAGGTGCAAAGGCCCTGTGGCTGGAAGGAACCTCAAAGAGGCCAGTGTGGCTGGAGTACAGAGGGCAAGAAGAGCTGGGAAGGTGGATTGGGCCCGGACCATCCAGGACCTCAGGGCCATTGTAAGGAAGAATGTTTTGCCTTCATCAGACCACAGGTTTCAACTCTGACACTCAGCTGTGTGACTGTGGGCCAGTACCTTCCACATGAGTCAATTACCTCATCTGGAAAGTCAGAATAACATTCCCTACCTCACAGGGCTCTTGTGAGGCTTAAAGAAAATGTGTGCTTCAAGTGCTGAGCTCAGGGCCTGCAGCCAGCAAGAGCTCAGACAGATTAGCTATTGTTTCCATGTTTAGGTTTTTTTTTTGTTTTTTTGTTTGTTTTGTTTTGTTTTGTTTTCCGAGACAGGGTCTCACTCTGCTGCCCAGGCTGGAGTGTAGTGAGCCATCATGGCTCACTGCTGCCTCAACTTCCCGGGCTCAAGTGATCCTCCCACCTCAGCCTCTTGAGTAGCTGGGACTACAGGTGCACGCCACCATGCCTGGCTAATTTTTTTTTTTTTTCGTAGAGACAGGACTTCACCATGTTTCCCAGGCTGGTCTTGAACTACTAAGCTCAAGCAATCCACCCATCTTGGCCTCCCAAAATGTTGGGATTATAGGCGTGAGCCACCACACCCAGCCAGGAACTTTAATCTTTTTTTTTTTTTGAGACAGAGTTTCGCTTTTATTGCTCAGGCTGGAGTGCAATGGTATGGTCTCAGCTCACCGCAACCTTCGCCTCCCAGGTTCAAGTGATTCTCCCACCTCAGCCTCCCTTAGTAGCTGGGATTACAGGTGCCCCCCATCAAATCTGGCTAATTTTGTATTTTTAGTAGAGACGGAGTTTCACCATGTTGGCCAGGCTGGTCTCAAACTCCTGACCTTAGGTGATCCACCCGTCTTGGCCTCCCAAAGTGCTGGGATTACAGGCGTGAGCCACCACAACCGGCCGAACTTCAATCTTAATAGGTGGGTTTGGTCTCTTATTTAGGTAACAGACTTGGTCACCCTCCCCATTCCACAGACACGGTCACTGAGGCCCAGAAAAGTGGCTTTCCCAAGATCACCCAACTCAGAGTGGCAGAGCTACAGTATTCATTCACTCATTGTATATTCAATGCCTGCTTTGTGCCAGAGCTAGGTGCCCAGGACAGGGCTGTGTACAAACAGATAGAAATCCCTGCCCTCAGGACTGGGCATGGTGGCTCATGCCTGTAATCCCAGCACTTTGGGAGGCCAAGGCGGGCGGATCACCTGAAGTCAGGAGTTCGAGACCAGCCTGGCCAACATGGCAAAACCTCATCTCTACTAAAAGTACAAAAAAATTAGCAGGGCATGGTGGTGTGTACGTGTAATCCCAGCTACTTGGGAGGCTGAGGCAGGAGAATCACTTGAACCCGGGGTGGAGGGGAGGTTGCAGTGAGCTGAGATCATGCCACTGCACTCCAGCCTGGGTGACAGAGTGAGATTCCATCTCAAAAAAAAGACATCCCTGCCCTTAGCCGGGCATGGTGGCATGCACTTGTAGTCTCAGCTATTCCGGAGACTGAGTCAGGAGGATCGCTTGGGCCCAGGATTTTAAACCCAGGGGTCTCTTAAAAAAAAAAAAAAAAGCCAGGGGTGGTGGCTTATGCCTGTAATCCCAGCACTTTGGGAGGCTGAGGCAGGTGGATCACCTGATGTCAGGAGTTTGAGACCAGCCTGGCCAATATAGTGAAACCCTGTCTCTACTAAAAAATAGAAAAATTAGCTGGGTGTGGTGGTGCGCACCTGTAGTCCCAGCTACTCCAGAGGCTGAGGCAGGACAATTGCTGGAACCCGGGAGGCAGAGGTTGCAGTGAGCCGAGATCACGTCACTGCACTCTAGCCTGGGCGACAGAGCAAGACTCCGTCTCAAAAAACAAACAAACAAAAAATCTCTGCCCTGGTGAAGTTCCCCTTATAGGGGATAGGGGATGGACAGGGAATGACACTATACAAAATAAATAAGTGCACTAAATACATTTGTTAAATGATATGGCCAATGGAGAGAAATAAAGTTGGGAGAGGCCCATGGCGAGCATGGGGAAGTCAGCATGTTCAACAGGGTGGAGAGGTGGAACTTGAGCAGAACCCAGAGGAGGTGAGGAGGGTACTGGGAGGAAATGCGGGGAAGAGCAACCCAGGCGGAGGACATAGCACATGAAAATGCCCTGTGGTGGGTGTATACCTGGGGTGTTTAGGACCTCTGGAGGCCAGCTGGAAGGCAGGGGTTTGTGCTCTGTGGACACTGTGGACACTGAGGGGCAGTGAGGCCCTGCCAGCACCAACATCCTTGCTGGTGTTTCCCAGGCTGGCCTAGGCTGTGGACAACTGGGTTCAGGTAACTTCACTCCCGTGCCCTCTTCCCAGCAAGTAGTAGGTCCTTGGGGAAGGGGCTTCTTCCAAAGCTCAGGGCAGATGGGAGTGGGGAGGGAACTCGTGATCAGGGCACACATCTCCAGATGACCTCTCCCCTGCCCCAGTTCCCACCCTGGCTACCCTCTTGTTCCTGGAGCCACCAGGGGTAGAATGAGGGCAATCAGGCCTGAGTCTATGAAGTGGGTGCTGGGCATTGCGGCCACAGCCCCTCACCACCTTCCTGGTTTTAAAGCACTCCCAGTGACAATATGGTTTCTGATAACCTGCAGTACCTGCTGTCTGGGGAGCAGCTCTGGCCACCCATCCTGGCCCCTGCCCACCCATCTCCTCCCAGGAACTCTGGCAGGTCCCTGAGCTGTCAGCCAGCTCTCCTGGCCCCCAGTGGTGTCCTAAATCCCAGCAGCATGTCCATGAGTGTGACCTTAACCACCAGATCTCAATTATATAGAAAGGAGAGAAACATTTTTTTCTTTCTTTTTTTTTGGAGACAGGGTCTCACTCTCGTCACTTAGGCTGGAGTACAGTGGCACAATCACAGCTCCCTGAAGTCTCTCTCTCCTGGGCTCAAGTGATCCTGCCGCTTTAGTTTCCCGAGTAGCTGGGAGTACAGGCACGTGCACCACACCCGGCTAATTTTTTTTTGGTATTTTTTTTTGTAGAGATGGGGTTTTGCCATGTTGCCCAGGCTTGTCTCGAATTCCTGGGCTCATGCAATCTGCCTGCCTTGGCCTCCCAGAGTGCTGAGATTACAGGCATGAACCACTGCGCCTGGCCTGGACATTTTCTTAGAACCCACTGTATGCCAGGCACTTTTGTACGAGTTATTACCTCTAATCCTCACAACAGCCTCACTCGAGATATTATACTCAAGAGATATTCTATGATATAAATATTATTATGTTTTATGAACAGAAAATAGATTCAGAGTAGGGAAAGGTTTAGGTTTTACCCAAAGGCACCCAATAAACACATGTTAATTTTAGCACTAAAACCCCATTTTAATGATTGCTGGGAGTTTCTGCAGCCTGATTCATAATTCAGGAGCCAGGGAGGTGGGGTTAGAGAAAAGAGAGGCCATCAGGAGGTTTGCCCTGGGAGCTGTTCCATGATAAATGGTTTCCTATATCTGAAGAGCTCAATCAAGGGGCAAAGAGAGATAACCCTGAAGGTAGAAAGGAACTTTTGTTTGTTAAAGCTTCAGGAAGGGTGACTTTGGGTTAATGGGTATCATGACTTTGGGTTAATGGACCCCTGTCCATCAGTGGAGCGGGCGACCTCAAGAGGTGGGGAACCTCTCATCACTGGCGGCACGTAAGCAGAACCAACTTTTCCATTTGCCCAAGATGCCACAGAAGGAATGTTTCAGTGAGGGAGGTTGGCCTGGATAATTTCTCTACAAGCTCTCAGACTTGGGAACTTTTGAAAGGCTCAGGCAAGTACTTGTGCCCCAAAGTATCTTTGGCAGGGTTTTTTATTTTTATTTTTTTAGATGGAATCTCTGTCGCCCAGGCTGGAGTGCAGTGGTGCAATCTCGGCTCACTGCAACCTCCACCTCCCAGGTTCAAGTGATTCTCCTGCCTCAGCCTCCTTAGTAGCTAGGATCACAGGTGTGCACCACCATGCCTGGCTAATTTTTGTATTTTTAGTAGAGACGGGGTTTCACCATGCTGGCCAGGCTGGTCTCGAACTCCTGACCTCGTGATCTGCCCGCCTTGGCCTCCCAAAGTGCTGGGATTCCAGGCGTGAGCCACCATGCCCAGCCTGGCCCAGGCTGGAGTGCAGTGGCGCGATCTCGGCTCACTGCAGCCTCCACCTCCTGGGTTCAAGCAATTCTCCTGACTCAGCCTCCTGAGTAGCTGGGATTACAAGTGTGCACCACCATGCCTAGCTAATTTTTGTATTTTTAGTGGAGACGGGGTTTCACTGTGTTGGTCAGGCTGGTCTTGAACTCCTGACCTCATGATCCGCCTGCCTCGGCCTCCCAAAGTGCTGGGATTCCAGGTGTGAGCCAGGCAGGAGGTTTTTATCTGACTTGTTTCAAGCTGCAAGTCTGTCTCCTGGGTGGGGTGTTTGCTTTTCACAGAGGAAGGGTGGCCCAGGTTGGGTAGGCTGGAGTAGAGGATCGGACTGCATCAGTTCTGGTGTGACCTCTTACGGTTGCCTTACTTTGTTCTCAGATAAAGCAAACGCACAAAAATTTGTTTTCTGGGCTTAACAAAACAGGAGTGACCAGTTAGGTCAGAAGACTGGAACATCAGTGAAGTGGATGTGTGGTAGGCGGAGGGGAAAGACTTGCTAGAAGCCCTCCCGCTGCGGGGGGCTCCTTCAGAAATGGCTCTGCCTCTAGCAGCTCTGCCTGGACACTGAGCAGGGAAAGGGTCCCGACACTCATTAGTAACAGTGGTAAGTCAGAGAACCAGCCCTGAGCCTGTGTCCCCAGCCCTGCCGGGGGCCAATGCCTACTGAGCACTTCCCACAGGCCAGTTCCTGGGTGATGAGTTTTACCAACATGTATTTCCCTTTTACTTTTGAGGAAAATGAAGGTGGGCTCAGTCACAGAGATAGTGCATGCTCCAAAGCCAGTGTCTTTCCTGTCTCCTCGGTTGGCCTGCCCCATCCTAGCGATGTTGTGAAGATTGGGACTACCTCTAAAGCAGCACACAGTGGCTGCTCAGTAAATGCTCAACACTGGTAGGTGCTGTGGGCCAAGGTGGAGAGAAACGGGCCATCTGGAGCAGGAAGCAGCTGACTGCAGAAGTCCTGTCTGGGCCCCCAGCAGTCTGGGTGACTGAGCAAATCTTGGAACCTCTCAGTCTATTTCCCCATATTACATAACACCTGGCTACAAAAGGGCTTTTTTCTTTTTTGAGAGGGAGTCTCGCTCTGTCGCGCAGGCTGGCATGCAATGGCACCATCTCCGCTCACTGCAACCTCCACCTCCTGGGTTCAAGCGATTCTCCTGCCTCAGCCTCCTGAGTAGCTGGGATTACAGGTGCGCGCACCACACCCGGCTATTTTTTGTATTTTTAATAGAGACGGGGTTTCACCGTGTTAGTCACGCTGGTCTCGAACTGCCGACCTCTGGTGATCCGCCCACCTCGGCCTCCCAAAGTGCTGGGATTACAGGCATGAGCCACCACACCCGGCCTACAAAAGGGGTTCTTCTGGGACCCGATCGTCTAAACTCTTCTCCATTTGACCCCCTCCATCACTACTCCACAGCTCACCGGTCTTTTCTCTGTTCCTTAGGTGCCCGTCCTGTCTCCAGGCCTTTGTACATACCATTCGTCTTGCCTTGTTTGCCCTGCCCTCACACTTGGCACATCTGGCACCTCCCCTGCACATTCTAAGACAGCATCCTTCCGTACCATTTGACCCACCCCGTTTTTTCCACCACAGTACTCATCCATATTATAACCCTTTATTCACATTTTGTCTTTTATCTCAGTCAGGAGGAAGCGAGGGCGGGGGACTCTGTGTTGTTCCCTACCGTACCCTCAGCGCACAGTCTGGTTCAGAAAATACTCGAGAGTGAATGAGAGAATGAATGAAGGAAAAAATGAGTGGAGGAGGGGTCTTTGGCCGAGCTAAAGAGCCTGGGCGCCGCGGGGGCGGGAAGCTCTAGGCAGTGCTCGTCGCGCACCGCCCCCAGAGTAAAGCGAATTTCAGAAGAGGGCGTGGGGCCCTGGGCGTGTGGGGCCCTGGGCGTGTGTGACCCGGGCCAAGTCCAAGTCCGCAGGAGGCTGCGCGGGAAGCTGCTTATAGCTACGACCCGCGGCCCCCGGCCTCTAGCCCCACCGCCGCCAGGCAAGGGCAGGGACGCCAGGTCAGTTACAGGCTCGGGTGCGGCAGCCGGCGACCAAAGGCACTGGGCGGGAGGCCGGATCCAAGGGGATACTGCTACGTAGCTGCAGCGGAACCGGCAGGCTCTGCGGCGAAACACACTGGGACTTGTAGTTCTCGGCTCCTCTAGACGCTGTCGCGAGCCCCCAGATAAAGAGGCACTTCGCGGTGACGGGGAACTACATTTCCCAGAAGGCCGGAATATGTTGGGGGTCACCGGGAAAGCGCCCCGACTGGCGGCACTTACCCGGCTCTATAGGTCCGGTTCCGGGGGCGCGTGGCTGCAGCGGGGCCCGCGTGGTGCCTCCTGAGGCGGCCCCCGGATGAAGAGATCTGGGAACCCGGGAGCCGAGGTAACGAACAGCTCGGTGGCAGGGCCTGACTGCTGCGGAGGCCTCGGCAATATTGATTTTAGACAGGTACTGACCGCACCGGACCGCCGCGGAAACTGGGAGAGGGATCTGCAAGGCCCGAGGGGCGTGAAGGCTTGCGGCGCCTCAAACGCTGCGGGGCGGGGCCGCCAGTTCCCAGGCAATGGGGGCGTGGCGTGGCGGGGGTGGGGGAGCCGCGTGCGGGAGCGCCGGCTGGTGTCTGTGTGTGTGCGTGTGCGCGCGCGTGTAAACCTCAGATTGCGTGTGTCAGAGACGGGGGCGTTCCTGAGCTCGTCTGATTGTGTGCCTGTGTGTGGCCCTGAGATTGTGTGAGACTCAGAGGTTGTCCGTGTTAGTCTTTGGGATTGTGTCTCACTGAAATTATGTGATGCTCTGAGAGTGTGCCGGAGAGTGAGTGTGAGTGTGTATGACCGAGGCTGTGTGTGACTGAGCGTGGGCGAGGGTGAAGGAGGCCGATTATATGTTTGGGAGTGTGTTGTGTGGCCCCTGCTCCCGTCCATCCCCCAGGGTCAGGAGGCCAGCTTTTGCCCAGAGGCAAGAGAGTGGTGGGGACCCTGCCTGTCTCCCAGCCGGCCCTGGGCAGGCTGCAGACCACCACCCAGCCGTTTCGGGGCCATAATGGGTGCGACCGGCCCCAGAAGCTGGGGGCCTGGCTTGCCTGCTGAGGCTGCCCTCTGCAGAGTCCTAGGCCAGAGAGTGCCTGTCCTGGCATCTCCCCAGGCTCCCAATTCCAATGGATTCCAATTTCCAACCTCTCTTGCATTCTCCCTTCTATCAAAGCTTCCTCTTAGATGCTCCATTTACCTTTTTCATCACCCACTCTTCATGAAGCCTGTAAGGCACATCTCTGCCCCAAGCAGCTTCTAATCCAGTTCTTTCGCTCCCTTCATTCCTTACTCACATGTGCATTTATTCACTCACTGATCCAGCCAGTATTGATTCAGGGCCGGCTGAGGGCCTCGTGTCACTCAGAAGTTTAAGGGCACTTCTGTCACTGAGCTTTCATTCTAGGGAGGGAGATTGTAGGCCTGGAAAGCCAGAGAGTTCTCTGAAGGAGCTAATACCAGTTAGTGTTTTGAAGAGTAGCTGATGGGAAGGCGGGATTGAAATCCCAAGAGAGCCTGTTGCCGTATCTGCGAGGGAGGGACCTGGGATCTGAGAGCCGAAAGGTCAGTCAGTGGGGCAAGATTCCCCAGAGGAGGGAGGCAGTTGCGAAGCCCTCCAGGAGGCACAGGAGGAGATGGGCCGCTGGCCCTGAGGGAGCGCAGGACCGTTGGCCAGATGGGTGCTCAGCAGAGGACAGGAAGAAGACTATTACTTTAGTAAACTGTCCATTGAATTACAACATGCAGTCAGATGAGTGATGGGTCCTACCCCTACAGCTCCTGCATTTTCACCAGGTGAACCTGTATCTGTTAATCCTCAGATCAAGATGGGGGGTCATGATCACCTCCAGGGGCTGCCCTCAGAAGCCACCGTGTAGAAGGGTGGGTGGGGGAGCCATGTAGAAGGGGGGGCAGAATGCAAGGGGGCAGTGTCCCTTTGCAGACCCATCTAGGGGCCTGCCCCAGGGCCTGCCAGTGGGCAGGGGAGACTAACCGGGTGTGTGAGGGGTGGGCTTCTCTGCTCTTTCTCCTTTCTCCCCAGGGCTGTGCAGCTGGAGAGAGCTGGGGCTGGGGTTCGGGTCAGGGTGACCCTTGTTGACTAACATTCTGCTTTTCTTCTGCTGTCCTTGTTGGTGCAGTTAAGCTTCCTGTTGCCAAGGGATTTTTCTTAAAGAAAGAAAGAAAGAAACATACAACATACAACATTACATATTTGCTTATGTGGTAGCTCTACTCCCTCCTCAATCAAAATCTCCGGTTTTAAAATATGTCAGTCCCTGGCCTGGGAGAGTTGCAAGGTTTTTGTTCACCCCATGGGCGTCTGAGCTGCAGGATCTCCGGTGCTAGCCCTGTGCTGCTGTGCTGTCCAGTAGAAACATCGTGTGCCACATGCATAATTTAAACCTTTCTAGTAGCCATGTTAAATTAGTGAGAAGAAATGGAAAATAGCAAAGAAATAGAAAAATAATTTTGACAATATATTTTATTGTTACCAAAATATATATCAGACATATTTTGTCCTGTGGCATTCCAAGCTTGTGGCACTGCCTGTGACCAGTGGCTGCCATGTCATACCAAACAGTGCTGCTCTGGGTACCATGCCCTCCACCAGCTCTTTTCTGGGCCTGCTTCAGCAGGTACAGAATCTTGCTTTTGTTTTTAAAAAAAAAAAAAAAAAAATCAGCTGTTGGGGCTGGGCACGGTGGCTCACGCCTGTAATCCCAGCACTCTGGGAGGCCAAAGCAGGTGGATCACCTGAGGTCGGGAGTTTGAGACCAGCCTGACCAACATGGAGAAATCCCATCTCTACTAAAAATATAAAAAGTTAGCCAGGCGTGGCGGCACATGCCTGTAATCCCAGCTACTCGGGAGGCTGAGGCAGGAGAATCACTTGAACCCCGTAGGTGGAGGTTGCAGTGAGCTGATATCACGCCATTGCACTCCAGCCTGGGCTAGAAGAGCGAAACTCTGTCTCAAAACAAAAACAAACAACCCAAAGAATCAGCCATTGGGCTGAGGAGTTAGGGTGAGGAGTGTGCCCGCTGCAGCCCCACTGACTAAGGCCCTTTTGCTCCTTGTTGCCCTCCCTGTCAGGATTCTGGAGCCTTGCTCCTCAGCTGGGCAGCTGCCTGAAGGCAGTGGGGTGGCAGATGGATGAGAGCAGGGTCTGCATCTTGCTGTCCACAGGCCGGGGCACCTCCAGGATTCAGAAGATGACTCCAGTAGGGCCTAGGGGTGCGGGCACCCAGGCTGGCAGAGCACACTGAGGTCCTCAGAGCAAGGGCACATGCCCAGGTCTCAGGTCCCTTTTCCATAGCGAATCACCTGCTCACCAGAGCGGGTGAGTGATGATGTCTCCAGCTTGGTGTTGGTGTCAAGAAGAATGGGGACAGTGAGGGGGTTATGGTGAAGACCAGAATGAGATGAGGGGTGTAAAGCTTTATGAAGTATCGAGTGCAGCCCACCTAAGGGTGGTCCTCAAGAAGGCAAAGCCCTTGTATTCAGAAGGCTGAGAGACCTGGGGCAGGGGACACAGGTCCCTGTGTGTAATATGGGCACCCGAGTAAGACCCTGGAGGCAAAGCTCCGATGGCCGATGCGGGGTATCTTGACTGCCTTTCAGGGAAAAATGTTTGCCTTTATCCAAAATCGTTTCCAAAAATCTTTTGATTGTATTACTTTAGTTGAAATAAACATTAGGCCGTTATATTAGATGAGTTACTCTGTGGTGTTTTCAAGGCCGTACATTTTGTCTTCAGTAATTTTGGCATCAGCCAAGACAGAGCAGGGTTGAGGCTTTCCGTGGCTGCTCATCAAAACAATGACAGAAACTCTTGGAGCTTGTTTCCCCTGCCTCTGTTGAGATGACACTGTTTTTCCTCATTAAGCTGTAAATATGAATTCCATTGATGTTTTGAATGTTGAACTAGCTCTGGATTCCTGGGGTGATCTCTGGCTGGTCCTAACATATTATCCTTTGTATATATTGCTGGATTTGATTTGCTCTAATTTTTGGGGGGATCTTCTTTCTTTATCTGGTTTCATTTGATTTAATTAATTTATTTATTTTAAGACAGAGTCTCGCTCTGTTGCTCAGGCATGTACTCAGGAATGCAGTGGCGTGATACCAGCTCATTGCAACCTCCGCCTCCCGAGTTCAAGCAATTCCCCCACCTCAGGCTCCCGAGTAGCTGGGATTACAGGTGCACCTACCACCACACCTGGTTTTTGTTTTGTTTTGTTTTGTTTTTTGTATTTTTAGTAGCGACAGGGTTGTTGGCCAGGCTGGTCTCAAACTCCTGACCTTAAGTGATCCACCCACCTTGGCCTCCCAAAATGCTGGGATTACAGGCGGTGAGCCACTGCACCCGGCCTGGTTTTAGTGTTAGGGTAATACAGTGAGTTGGGAAGTATTGCCTCCCTCTTCCATATTCTGGAAGAGATTGTGTGGAATTGGAATTATTTTTTCCTTAAATGTTAGGCAGAATTCATCCAGGAAACCATCTGGGCTCAAGGCTTTCTTTTTTTAGGTTTTTAAGCCATAAATTCAAATCCTTTAAAAGATAAAGGATTATTTCTTGAATGAATTTTGACAGTTGTGTCTTGCAAGGATCGGTTCATTTCATCTAAGTTACTTAATTTGTGTTATTCATAGTATTCCCTTATTATTACTTTAATGTTTGTGAGGTCAGTAGAGAAGTCCCCCCTTTTATTTCTGATATTGATATTTTGTGTCTTTTCTCTTTTTTTCTTGGTCAGGCTGGCTGGAGGTTTCTCAGTTTTATTGGGAAAATAAATTTTCCCCAAAGAACCAGCTTTGGGTGTAATTTTTTTTTCTCTATTGTTTTCCTGTTTTCAATTTGATTGATTTTTGCTTATCTTTAATTTTTTGTCCTGCCTCCTTTGGGTTTAACTCATTCCTCTTTCTCTAATTTCTTTCTTTCTTTTTTTGAGACGGAGTCTTCCTCTGTTGCCCAGGCTGGAATGCAGTGGTGCAATCTCGGCTCACTGCAACCTCCGTCTCCCGGGTTCAAGCAATTCTCCTGCCTCAGCCTCCCAAGTAGCTAGGATTACAGGCGCCCTCCACCACGCCTGGTTAATTTTTGTATATTTAGTAGAGATGGGGTTTCACCATGTTGGCCGGGCTGGTCTTGAACTCCTGACCTCAAGTAATCTGCCTGCTTCAGCCTCCCAAAGTACTGGGATTATAGGCATGAGCCACTGCGCCCAGCCACTCTTTCTGTAATTTCTTAAGGGCAAAGCTTATATTCCTGACCTGGGACTTTTCTTCCTTACTAATAGAAGCCCTGCCTTAGCCGCATCCCACAGGGTTTCATGTGTTCTATTCTCATTTTCATTCAGTTCAAAATGTTTCTAGATTTCCCAAGACTTCCCATTTGGCCCTCGCGTGCATTCTTTCCACGATCGCTTTCTGTGACTGATTTCGAGTTTAATTCTGTGGTGGTTTGGGAGCATACTGTGTATGCTTTCTATTCGTTTAAATTTAAGGTTTGTTTGGTGGCCCCAAGTGTGATCTGTTTTGGTGACACCAGAGACTGCAGGCTGTTCCCAAGGCTGCCATGTGCTGTGGTCAGGTCCAGCCACTGGATGGCGCTGCTCAGGTCAGCTGCGTCCTCCCGATTTTCCACCTGCGTTTTTTTTTTTCTTTCTTTCTTTCTTTCTTTCTTTCTTTCTTTCTTTCTTTCTTTCTTTCTTTCTTTCTTTCTTTCTTTCTTTTTCTTTCTTTCTTTCTTTCCTTCCTTCTTTTTCTTTTTCTTTCTTTCTTTTTCTCTTTCTTTTTCTTTCTTTCTTTCTCATTAGATTTTTTTTAATGGGTCTCAAAAATCTGTGACAATTTTTTTTTTTTTTTTGAGACGGAGTCTCGCTCTGTCGCCCAGGCTGAAGTGCAGTGGCGCCATCTTGGGTCACTGCAAGCTCCACCTCCCGGGTTCACGCCATTCTCCTGCTTCAGCCTCCCGAGTAGCTGGGACTACAGGCGCCTGCCACCACGCCCAGCTAATTTTTTTAATTTTTTAGTAGAGACGGGGTTTCACCGTGTTAGCCAGGATGATCTCGATCTCCTGACTTCATGATACGCCCGCCTCAGCCTCTCAAAGTGCTGGGATTACAGGCATGACTCACCGCGCCCGGCCCGACAAATTTTTGGTCAAGTTGTTTCCATTCAAAAGTACTGATTTTAAAAACTAATAACTTAAAACTGCCACAGGCAAAAAAGAAAACCAAAGTGGTCCACAAAACATTTTCCTTTCCTTCTAAAGGTTTTATGATGCATTGTTATCATTAACCAGTCTTTTACTACTAAATTTAAATGGTCAATTGAAACAAACAGTTCTGAGACGTTCTTCACCACTGATTAAGAGCGGGGTGGCAGGTATTAGGGATAATATTCATTTAGCCTTCTGAGCTTTCTGGGCAGACTTGGTGACCTTGCCAGCTCCAGCAGCCTTCTTGTCCACTGCTTTGATTCTCTCAGTCACTGAGAGGACCATGGAGGGCCCTAACAAGAACTGTGGATTTGTCTTTTCCACCCTTTAGTTCTGTCAGCTTTTGCTTCATACCTCACCTCACTTCTTTTTGTTGTTGTTGTTTGTTTTTGAGATGGATTCTCGCTCTGTCGCCCAGGCTGGAGTGCAGTGGCATGACCTCAGCTCACTGCAACCTCCGCCTCCCAGGTTCATGCGATTCTCCTGCCTCAGCCTCCAGAGTAGCTGGGATTACAGGCGCCTGCCACCACGCCCGGCTAATTTTTGTATGTTTAGTGGAGACGGGGTTTCACCATATCGGCTAGGCTAGTCTTGAACTCCTGACCTCAGGTGATCCACCTGTCTTGGCCTCCCAAAGTGCTGGGATTACAGGCGTGAGCCACCGCGCCTGGCCACTCACCTCAGTTCTTAATCTGAAGAGTGGGCATGCCTCGCAGGGTTGTCACCAGGACTCGATGACACAGTTGTCACAGCCAGCGTCTGTCTAGCCATGCCCCCCGCCAGGCACTGCGCTGAGTGCTTTCCTTGCACTTTCTCATTTAATCCTCCTGGCGTCCCATGGCACCTCTACCATTCCCACCTCCCAGGCTAGGAAGCGGTGCTCAGCGAGGGGAGATGGCTGCCCGCCGTGGCACGGGCGTCCTTGTCTCATCAGCACTCTGTTCTGCCTCCTGCAAGTCCCTTGCCAGAGCTTGGCAGCTGGTTCACTTCCGAGTGAAGGTTGGCTGGCTTATTGTTACTATTGTCTTCAAAATACAATGTGTATTTACACAGAGACACAGTAGCACCTAGCAGGTTCTGTCCTGGGCCCTGGAAGGTAAAGGTAAAGAAAAGGAAGATGGCTGGGCTTGGTGGCTCACACTTGTAGTTTCAGTACTTTGGGAGGAGGCCGAGGTGGGAGACTCACTTGAGCCCAGGAGTTCCAGACCAAACTGGGCAATGTGGTGAGACTCCATGTCTACAAAATAAAAAAAAATTAGCCAGGTTTGGGCCGGGTGCGGTGGCTCACGCCTGTAATCCCTCGGCACTTTGGGAGGCCGAGGCAGGCGGATCATGAGGTCAGGAGATCGAGACCATCCTGGCTAACACGGTGAAACCCTGTCTCTACTAAAAATACAAAAAAATAGCTGGGCATGGTGGCGGGCGCCTGTAGTCCCAGCTACTTAGGAGGCTGAGGCAGGAGAATGGCGTGAACCCGGGAGGTGGAGCTTGCAGTGAGCAGAGATCGCGCCACTGTACTCCAGCCTGGGTGATAGAGTGAGACTCCATCTCAAAAAAAAAGGAAAGAAAAAAGAAAATGGGGTGAAGCTCACAACCAGCAGAGGAGTGAGAAGAGGCAGCCCAGCGTGGAGGCGAGCAGGGCCTTGAGAAGCACCGTCTTACCCGTGGGCCCCACACCCACCCCTGCTGGAGCACGTGAGCTGTCAGTGCCTTTTGAGTTTGGTGCAGGTCACACTTGTTAATTGAAGAATGAATGACATTTCACCCTCCTGAAAGGAGTTATGGATCTAGGGAACTGGAGCAGCTGCCTGCCATTTCGTTTTACTGTGGGATCTAGAGACCACAGTCGCATTGTGACATTCTAACTTCCACCCCTCCTGCCATGAGGTGGTTTTTGCTGCCCAGGGCTTGCCTGACCTCAGATTCCAGCATCGGGGTCTTCCCAGGAGGGTCCCTCCAGAGAGTGAATGGTGAGAGAGGGACCTGTATTAGTTGACATTAAGCAGACAGAGTAGAGGGGCCGCCAGCCTCGGCCCTGAGTGGGCCCTGTACTTTTACATCTGTTCTTGCTTCTGTGCAGAAGGTAACCTCAGGTGGCCTGTCTCATCACCCCCATTCCACTCAAGGGAAACCTGGGCTTAGATTGGTCATGGGAGGCTTGCCATGGTCCCTCACGGTGGGTGGTGAAGCTCCCAGCTCAGACAGTGGCTGCCAAAGGCCAGAGTCCTCTGAGCCAGGTGGCCTCTTATGTGGAAAAACAGGGTTAGGGGGCTGGCTTAATATGAAATGGCTTCTCCTCTTCTACCAGAGAATAAACTTTTTAAAAAATATTTTTATTTTATTTTATTTTTTGAGATGAAGTTTCACTCTTGTTGCCCAGGCTGGAGTGCAGTGGCGTGATCTCGGCTCACTGCAATCTCCACTTCCTGGGTTGAAGCGATTCTCCTGCTTCAGCCTCTCCAGTAGCTGGGATTACAGGTGCCTGCCACCACGTCTGGCTATTTTTGTATTTTTAGTAGAGACGGAGTGTCACCATGTTGTCCAGGCTGGTCTCGAACTCCTGACCATCAGGTGATCTGCCTGCTTTGGCCTCCCAGAATGCTGGGATTACAGGCGTGAGCCACTGGGCACGGCCAGAGAATAAACTTCTTCTTTTTTTTTTTTTTTGAGATGGAGTCTCGCTCTGTCATCCAGGCTGGAGTGCAGTGGCATGATCTCGGCTCACTGCAACCTCTGCCTCCCAGGTTCAAGTGATTCTTCTGCCTCAGCCTCCCCAGTAGCTGGGACTACAGTCGTGCACCACCATGTCCAGCTAATTTTTGTATTTTTAGTAGAAACGGGGTTTCACCATATTGGCCAGGCTGATCTCTGACTCCTGGCCTTGTGATCCGCCTGCCTAGGCCTCCCAAAGTGCTGGGATTACGGGGGTGAGCCATCGCGCCCGGCCCAGAGAATAAACTTAGAGGAAAAAGACTCTGGCACACTCATCCTTATGTCTTTGTGCCAGGCACAGGGCTCTAACCCAAAGTTGCCCTAAATAAACGTTACCCGAGTCAGCTTATGGTGCCAGGGCATGAGGGCAGCTCTGGGGGCAGTGGGGGCTGCAGCGCTGCAGGCAGATTCTGCAGGGGTGATGGATCCCAGGAGGACCTGTCCCCTCTCCAGCAGCCCCCACCCATTCCCCTGCCCTTTGTTGTGTGTGGTGTGTGGCCTGGAATCGATGTGACTTTGCCTGTCCAGGCCTGCTGTTTGTCCATGTGTCACAATGTGACATGTTGACCCACTGCAGATCATTCCCTGACCACAGAGCGCTGCTCCCGAGAACCCTGCACCCCTCAATGGAGTAAATTACCATAAAGCCTCTTCCTTACCCATGCTTTGGGGTGTTAACAGCTGAGGCTATTCGTCGGTGACCTGTGGGACTCGAGCTATTCCTGCAGCTCAGCAGACCTCCTGGCCGTGGTGGGTAGCTCCTTTCCTTTAGTCAGATTCCGAGGCCTCTGCAACCTGGAGCCTTGGAGTGGGGGTTCCATTAGAATTACTGGGTAGCAGAAAGCCGGGACCTCTGTTGTATGAAGGAGGTTGGGGCTGGGAGTGGATGGGAGACCGCCCTTTGGTCACAGGTGTGAAGGGGAGGCCATCAAGGGAGACTCTGACACCCGGAGGCAGAGCCTGGATGTGGGACCCAGGACTCTCCTACTCTGCTCACGTCTGACCTGGATTTTTGGTTCTTTTTTGCCAATCCAGTTTCAGGAGGGAGGTCCACCCTCCTGAGGGGGGTTTTGGAAATGACAGCTATGAGAAAGGGACTATCATGTCTCTGAGTGGGGATCGGGGAGCTGGGAGGGGCTTCCCTCTGCTGCCTAGAATTCCACTCTGAACCATTAGTCATTCTTTCCAGCGAAGCAGGTGCTTCTCCGGGCAACATAAATCCTCCTCAAGGTGACTGAAGTGACCGGATGGACACCACCACCCTCCTGAGACAGGCTGACCTGAGGCCATTGGGACCTGGGCACAGGAGGGAGAGGGGGGAGGGGGTGGATACGTTCCAGCTTTGACCAGTTCAGCCCTAATTGGGAGACTCAGGTGGATGTCAGCTGCTGCTGGGTTCCCCCAGTGTTAGTTGCTTAATCTTTCAGTGCTCAGTTTCCGTCCTTCATCTTGGCTCCCACAGAAGGTGAAAAAAGCATATTTCTTGCTCACTTTCCCAGTTTCCTTGGGTTTCAAGACCCAGAAGCACTCACTTTTATCCTTGTCCCATTTTTATGGGGCTTTCTGTCTGGTAGGGCTGGCCTTGCTCAGGCTGGCTCTGCTCCTCACTGCCTGGGGTCTGGAGGCTTTGCTCTTTTATCTGGAAAGTAGGCTAACAACAAGGCTTTACTTTTAGGGTGGCTGAGAGTATGGCCAGAGATAGGTCTGCGCTCACTGACAGGTCCTGTGTTTTCTTAGATCCCCTAGAGTGAGGGCCTCCTTAGTGGAGCTCAGCTAAGGTGACTAACATCGAGTTGAATTCCTTATGAGAGGCAGCATTTCCCCCAGGGCCCAGTGGGGAAGTAGTAGAGAGATCATTTACACTCAGGAAGATGCACCTCTCTTAGCTGTAGAGTTGAAGGGGCGCCAGTGATATGGGAAGTGTTTTTCCTGGCCCTGGAAAATGCCCTCTGTCCCTTCCTGGCCCCAGGCTCAGTGTCCCTAGGCCTTTCCTGCTTTCCCCTTTCCCCTAGCTGAGCGGGGCTCTGCTCTGTGACTCACACTCTGCCCTTTCTCCTCTTTGGCTTGGCTAACAGCATGCTGGTCCATAGGTAAGGGTCCATGGGGAGGGCTCTGGGGGAAGTCCAAAGGCAGGAGGCCACTGAGGTCCTTTGCTGTGCCCTGGGGAGCAACCGGCAAAGCCAGGGTTGGAGGAGGGAGTGGATTAGGTGGTTGTGTAAGAGGCGGAATAACAGATGGGCCACGGGAGGATTGGTAATGGGAATGAGGCAAGGGAGGGGTAGGGTGAGGCCAGGTTTTGGCTGGGGGCTGAATGGGGAATGGGGAGTGGGAGGGATGGGTGAAAACTGGCCGCTGGCCCACTCATAGGGTCTGCTGTGCACATGCAGGGAGATAACTCACTCTTGGTGCACTTCGTAAGTGCCAGGCATGACCAAAGCCACGACTCTTCCCTGAGCCAGCTTTCCACCCTCCCCCCACCAGGCTGTCAAGGGACAGGGCCTTGGAATTGGATGCGTGTTTTTTGTTTTTGTTTTTTTTTTGAGACGGAGTCTCGTTCTGTCACCCAGGCTGGAGTGCAGTGGGACAATCTTGGCTCACTGCAACCTCCGCCTCCCAGGTTCAAGCCATTCTTCTGCCTCAGCCTCCCGAGTAGCTGGGCCTATAGGCGTGCGCCACCATGCCTGGCTAATTTTTGTATTTTTAGTGGAGATGGGGTTTCACCACATTGGCCAGGCTGGTCTCAAACTCCTGACCCTGTGATCTGCCTGCCTAGCCTCCCAAAGTGCTGGGATTACAGGCCACCATGCCTAGACTGGAGGTGCTTAATAGATGTTATCATCAAGCTGAAGATAAGGCCAGGCCTCAGGTTAAGCCCCAGGTTCTAGAAGCTTTGGGGCTGCATCACAGGCCTTCCCTCCCCTCCCTTCCCCTCCCTTCAGGGCAGGACAGCCTGCTCTGAGCCTGGCCCAGTTGTCCTTCATGAGCGGCCAGTGTCTGCTCTGGGGAGTGTGGGCCTAGGCTCACAGCCCCAGGCGTTGGGAGGCACCTGCTGGAGCGCCAGGCCTTGTTGGCTGCAGGCGCTGGGCAGGCACTGCGCAGTTCCCAGAGGCTGTGGCCACAGCTAGGCAAGTGGTGCTTCCCTGGGTTCCTTCTTCCCGCCATTTGCGGAGTGGCTTTTCTTAGTCATTTGTTTACTGATGCCCACACCTGCTGCCGTGGCCACTCTTTCACTCAGCTATTCTGTCTACAGATTCCAGTAGCAGTGCACCTTTGGTCCTATGTCAGCTCATTCATCCCTTAGGAGGGGCCTGCATTGGAGCATTTTGTTTGTTTGTTTGTTTTCAGATGAAGTGTTGCTCTGTCACCCAGTGGAGTGCAGTGGCGCATCTTGGCTCACTGCAACTCCCACCTCCCGGGTTCAAGTAATTCTCCTGCCTCAGCCTCCTGAGTAGCTGGGATTATAGGCATGCACCACCACGCCCAGCTAATTTTTGTGTTTTTAGTAGAGACGGGGTTTCACTATGTTGGCCAGGCTGGTCTCAAACTCCTGACCTCAGGTGATCCGCCCACCTCGGCCTCCCAAAGTGCTGGGATTATAGGCATGAGCCACCACGCCCGGCCTAGAGCATTTAACATCTGCTTAGCCCTGCCCTTGGCCCTACAGTGAGATGATTGTTTGCACCTCAGGGATGCAGGCTGATCAGGTGGGGAGGCCACACGTGGGAAGGATGGCAGGCCATAGCAGAAGATGGCTTTATACTGATAGACGTCTGAGGGACATCCCATGGTCACACCCTGCAAGTGACCTGGTAGCAGGCAGAGTTATGTCAGGAGACTGTCGTTTGGGGAAGCAAGGATTGGAGTGGAGGCTGCGCTTGCCCCCCAGGGCTGGCTGACCCTGGGCAGAAGCACCATCTCCTCCCCACCGCTTCCCCAAAATGTGGGAGATCAAAGCGCTCTTTGAAGGAATTTACTGTATTTCCAAATGCAATAGAACAAAACACACCATTATGGGAAAGATCACAGCTCTGATGGACTTTACACTTATTTTTTTTATTTTTTGTTTTTAATTTTTTAAAAAAATTTTTATTATTATACTTTAAGTTCTGGGGTACATGTGCAGAACATGGAGGTTTGTACATAGGTATACATTTGCCATGGTGGTTTGCTGCATCCATCAACCCATCATCTACCTTAGGTATTCCTCCTAATGCTATCCTTCCCCTAGCCCCCCGCCCCCTGACAGGCCTCGGTGTGATGTTCCCCTCCTTGTGTCCAAAAATGTGGAACGCTTCATGAATTTGTATGTGTCACCCTTGTGCAGGGGCCATACTAATCTTCTCTGTATTGTTCCAATTTTAGTATATGTGCTGCTGAAGCGAGCACAACTTTACACTTATTTTATAATTTAGTATTTTTAAAAAATTTTGAGTTGCATGTGGAGAGACACCATAATATTTTTCAGTGCATTTTAGAAAAAGTTTTTTATTTTAATTTATTTTTAAATTAATTAATTGTTTATTTTTTGAGACAGGGTTGCCCAGGCTGGAGTGCAAGTGGCACGATCACAGCTCACTACAGCCTCGAACACCTGGGCTCAAGCGATCCTCTTGCCTTGGCCTCCCAAGTAACTGGAACTACGCCCAGCTAGTTTTTACATTTTTGTAGAGACAGGGTCTCACTATGTTGCCTAGACTGGTCTCAAACTCCTGGCCTCAAGTGATTCTCCCACCTTGGCCTCCCAAAGTGAGCCCAGGAGTTCAAGGTTGCAGTGAGCTATGAACGCGCCACTGCATTCCAGCCTGGGTGGCAGAGGGAGACTCTGTCTCAAAAAAAAAAAAAATTGTAAAATCTGAATATTTGATACTATATTTTATGTTGTTTTCTAGAAATTTCTGTCTAGGTGCTGAATCATGCAGCCTGCTCTTCTACTCAGCCGTGTGTTTCAGAACGTTTCACAGTGCTGTGTGTAGACCTCGTGCTTTTTTTTTTTTTTTTTTGAGACGGAGTCTCACTCTGTTGCCCAGGCTGGAGTGCAGTGGCGCGATCTCTGCTCACTGCAAGCTCCGCCTCCCAGGTTCATGCCATTCTCCTGCCTCAGTCTCCTGAGTAGCTGGGACTACAGGCGCCCGCCACCATGCCCGGCTAATTTTTTGTATTTTTAGTAGAGATGGGGTTTCACCGTGTTAGCCAGGATGGTCTTGATCTCCTGACCTCGTGATCCGCCCGCCTCGGCCTCCCAAAGTGCTGGGATTACAGGCATGAGCCACCGCGCCCGGCCGACCTAGTGCTTTTAACTGCTGTAGTTTAGCTGCTGTAGGAATGGGCCGTGGGTTTTTTTTTTTTTTCTTCATTTCTTTGGTTGCTGGACACCTAAGTTGTTTGTCATTGTTCCTGACGTTTTCATGCAAGATGATGGCGGGGCGGGGGCAGTGTCCACGTGCCCCCCGTATGCGGGTGGCGTGGCCGGGATGTGGGCACACACTTTTTCAGTTTACCCCGCCCCACTCACACCCTCGTGTGCACTCAAGATTGTCCCCTGTCGAGTGTGGGCGAGGAGAGGCACACCACTATTGTTTTAATTTGCTTTTACCTGATTCCTGGTAGGTTGAGCATCTCTTCACATTTATCTCAGCTGCTTGGGTTTCCTCTGGGGCCTCTGAGAACCCTCATCCAGGAGGGTCTCGGTCACACCAGGGTTGGTGTCACCTCCCTTCAGGGTGCCAGGCACCCCTCTTCAGAGGTGCTGATTTCCTCATCTGGCATCCAGGCACATTTCTGCGGCCGCCCTCCCAGGACATGACACAGCTCATTAGGTTTCAGCTTTTTATCTTCCCTTTTATGAGACTACACTGTAGTAACCTTTGCCGGACTTGGATGTTCCCAGGCCTCCCAGTGTGTTCCCAGAGGGTAACTTTTTCTCCGACTCCTGGGGGCTCACAGGCCCTGCTGTGTCTGGGTGGTGCTGATGCTAGCTCTGTCCCTGCAGGCAGACTTCTGCGTTATGACCCGGCTGCTGGGCTACGTGGACCCCCTGGATCCCAGCTTTGTGGCTGCCGTCATCACCATCACCTTCAATCCGCTCTACTGGAATGTGGTAAGTGATGTGCCTGACACTGTCCAGACGGGAGTATCTCACTGCTTGGTGAGCCCCACATGCAGGGGATCGCGGTGGTTGCTGCTGGCTGGCCAGACAGACAGACAGCTCTGCTCTTCCCTCCCGTGTCTGTCGCTGGCTGGTGTGGAGTACTAGGCGCTTCCTGCCGTCTTGCCTTGGGGATCCAGCAGCCATTGGGCTGCCCAGGCTGGCGTCAGGATGGTCCAGGACTGTAGGGGTGGCCCTCCTACCCTCACAAGAACCTGCAGGAGAACGCTGCCATGGTGGGGCTGCCATTGGTCACATGTGCCTGGCAGTCTGGTGGCCTTCTCATGCATGAAGTGGGTTGCCCAGGAAGTAGGGGCTCTCTTCCCTCTCTGCCATGTCACACAGTAAAGCCACTTGCTTGTGAATCTCCCACCCCTCGTGTGTTCCACAAACATGGTTATTTTTCCCACATGAGGCTTCCTGCAAAACGGCCTGCGCATTCCGGACCTAGGCGAGCTGGGTGGCAGGAGCAAGCCGGCATGAGTTGAAAGGAAGCCACCAGCGTGGCACCAGCTCGTGATGGGTGCCAGGGGATGTTTGGGTGCCCGGGCACCAGCACCGAGGGGTGGGTGGACTGCATGGGAAGTGGGCTCTGGGCCCTTCGAGGAAAGTGTGGGAGGGGAGGGCCGTCAGTTCCTTCTGCAGCCTTTCTGAGATGCCTCCCACACCTCCCAGACTGTGGGGTGAAGCTCTTGGGGTTCCTGGCCCGCTCTCCCAAGGCTGTCTCTGGGGGGTGCTTCTGGGCTGCTTCCCGGGGATCCTGCTGGGGGAGTGGGTGGTCCTGGGGCTCAGCGGGGGTTGGGCTTGCTGATGCAGAGCCCTGAGCGTCCTGTGATCACCCCCGAGGCTAATCTGCAGAGTAAGGCCAAGATCAGCGTCAGCAGCACATTGTTCCAGACAGTTTTCATTTAAGGTGAACCCTTGATCCCAGGGCAGAACAGGACATGTTTTTCATTTAGTTTATGACTTGAGATTTTTCTCCATCTGGTGAGAGAAGTGGGTGGGGGCCAGCCTGCTCATGTCAAAGACAGTGCATTCCAAAGAATGCCCTGTTCCTGCTGTCCTGAACATGCTGGACACACTCCGAGGATGGATGCTCTGGCGGCCCACAAGGGAGGGGCTTCGAGGGGAGGTCCAGAGGTGGGAGTGAGACTGGCGAGCTTGGTGTAGCCAAACACAGGCCTCCCGGACACCCCTTTCTCCTGAGAAGCCTTGGCTGGGCTGGGGAGCACCTGTACTCTCAGCCACACCGTCCCCAGCTGGCCCCAGCCTCCTGACATGGGCCTCTGGAGCCAGGGCTGCAGCCGAAGTGCCTGGCCATCCTGGCGTTTCCTCCCACTGCCTGGCCTGCATGCTTCCTCTCTCCTTTCACCTTTGCACACACCCAGCATGCCAGAGATATGAGGTGGTGAAGGGTGAGGAGGGTGTTTGGAGGCTGAAAAATGGTCCTGCAAAGACGTCCACATCCTGTGAAGGTCTCTTATATGGCACACACACAAGGATCTTTGCAGACGTGATGAAGTCAAGGAGCTTGAGCTGGGGAGATGGCCCTGAGTTACCCAGGTGGGCCCTAAGTGCCATTGTGTGTGTCCTTTTAACAATGGAGTGGCACAGGGACATTGAAACACAGGAGTGTCTCTTGTCACCATGGAGGCAGAGGCTGGAGTGACCAAGCCACTAGCCAAGGAAGGCCAGGCCCACCAGAAGCTGGAAGAAGCAAAAAATGGAGTCTCCCCCAGAGCCTCTGGTGGAAGCACAGCCCAGTCGGCACCTTGATTTTGGCCCAGTGGTAACTGATTGGGGATTGCTGTTGTTTTCAGCCCCTAAGTTGGCAGTCATTTGTTACAGCAGCCACAGGAAGCGAGGCCAGGGTATTTAAAAAGCCAAAGACCCCTGCTGGAAGACGTTGTGGGCCTAACCTTTGGAGTGTTGGGTGTGCCACGCTCTTGGCTGTCCACAGTCCTTCTCTGAGGGAGATGTTGGGCTCTTACAGCCGGAGGAGGTCCCTGCCCTCTGGCTTCCTGCAGGCCTGACGTTGACCAGCAGTCATTGAGGTACATATGGGTCTCCCAGCACTGGGAGCTTGGCTGGCTGAATGCATAGCAGGTCCTGAGGACGCTTTTATTTATGCACAAGCCCCCTCAGGTCACTTCCCACTAGCCTAGCCAACAGTGTGTTTTTAAAGTGAAGTTCATTGTGAAGGTTCTCAGTGGCTCATGAATGGCAGAGTGGTTAAGATGCAGTAAGATTTGGCCGGGCGCGGTGGCCCACGCCTGTAATCCCAGCACTTTGGGAGGCTGAGGTGGGTGGATCACCTGAGGTCAGGAGTTCGAGACCAGCCTGGCCAACATAGTGAAACCTCATCTCTACTAAAAATACAAAAATTTAGCCGGATGTGATGGTGTACGCCTGTAGTCCCAGCTACTCGGGAGGCTGGGGCAGGAGAATCTCTTGAACCCAGGAGGCGGAGGTTGCAGTGAGCCGAGATGGCACCACTGTACTCCAGCCTGGGTAACAGAGTGAGACTCTGTCTTTAAAAAAAAAAAAAAAAAAAAAGATGCAGTAAGATTTGGAAGACAGCATGTGTCTGTGTGTTTGGCATACGGTTTTTTTTTTTTTTTTTTTTTGGTCATAAGCTTTTGATTAGTCTCATTTTGAGATAGTTTTTCACTGGAACAGTTTGTGGTCATTGGTGGGAGAGGGAGTGAGCTCTTCAAAGTGGTTTCAAAAGGAGAAAAGTTAAGAAACATGTTGCAGTTCCGTGGGCTGCTGCCGGGGAGAGTATCCGGACGGCATCTGGAATGGGATGACGAGGCCCAGCTCTGTGATGCCAGAAGCCCAGTGGGTGGATCAGTTGAGCCAAGGAGTTGGAGACCATCCTGGGGAACATGGCAAAACCCTGCCACTACAAAAAATACAAAAATTAGCCGTGTGTGGTGGTGTGCACCTGTAGTCCCAGCTACTGGGTTGGCTGAGGTAGGAGAATCACTTGAACCCAGGAGGTCGAGGCTGCAGTGAGCTGTGATCACACTACTGCACTCCAGCCTGGGCAACAGAGCAAGACCCTGTCTTAAAAAACAAAAACAAAGACAGGCCAACAGGCCACAACCAGGGAAGCACTTAAATAACTTAATAGTTATCAATGCAGTTGTCCCTGGGTATCCATAGGAGATTGGTTCCAGTTCCCCGTGGATACCAAAATCGGCAGATGCTCAGGTCCCTGATGGGAAACAATGTTGTATTCGAGTATAACGTATGCCCACCCTCCCATATACTTTACATCATCTCTAGATTACTTATCATACCCAAGACAGTGTACATGCTGGGTAGTTACACTGTATTATTTTTTATGTTATTACTTTTTGTTTTTATTTTTTTCCTGAATTTTTCTTTTTTTTTTTTTTTGAGACAGCATCTCACTCTGTTTCCCAGGCTGGAGTGCAGTGGCATGATCTTGGCTTACTGCAACCTCTGCCTCTCAGGTTCAAGCGATTCCCCTGCCTCAGCCTCCCAAGTAGCTGGGATTACGGGGACCTGCCACCAAGCCCAGCTAACTTTTTTGTAGTTTTAGTAGAGATGGGGTTTCACCATCTTGGCCAGGCCTTGTGATCCACCTGACTCGGCCTCCCAAAGTGCTGGGATTATAGGCATGAGCCACCGCGCCAGGCCTTTTTTTTCTTTTTGAGACAGAGTCTTGCTCTGTTGCCCAGGCTGGAGTGCAGTGGCACGATCTCGACTCACTGCAACCTCCACCTCCCAGGTTCAAGTGGTTCTCCTGCCTCAGCCTCCTGAGTAGCTGGGATTACAGGCATGCACCACTGTGCCTGACTAATTTTTGTATTTTTAGTAGAGACAGGGTTTCACCATGTTGGCAAGGCTGGTGTCGAACTCCTGACCTCAGGTGATCTGCCCGCGTTGGCCTCCCAAAGTGCTGGGATTACAGGCATGAGCCACCACGCCTGGCTCTTGAATATTTTTATCTGCAGTTGCTGCGGAGGGCTGGCTGGTGGTGGCGGGACTCATGCTCAGGTGTTGTGCCCAGTGCATGTCATGCAGTATTTCAATGAATCTTCACAGCAAATGCTGTTAATATCCCCTTTGGAGACTGAAGCTTGAAGAGGTTCATTCATACATTCTTCAAATGTTTATTGAGCATCTACTGTGCGCTGGGCACCATCCCGGCCCCTGGCCCTCACGCAGCAGCTTCAGTGGTGAATGAATGTATAGCACTGCCGGTGACACAGCAGGCAAGGGGAGGGACAGACAGGGGTGGTGGTCAGGGAAGGCCTCTCTGATGGGTGTCCTTTCACCAGAAACCTGATTCTCATGCAGGAGGGCCCTCAGGTGTCTGGGGAAGAGCATTCTGTCAGGAAAACACAAGTGCAAAAGTCCTGGGGCACTCTTGAGTGTCCTCGGAGGTTTTAAGGGACAGCTGCCGCTGGAGCCAGGCAGAGGGAGAATGGAGGAGCAGGACGGAGAGGTGGCTGGGGACGGTGGTGCAGGCCTTGCGGGCCATGGGGAGAGACATTCCCTGGACTCTGAGCTGGGAGCCATTGCAGAGGTGGCATGATCTGAGTCAGAGTTTCAAGGTCACTGCACCAAGGACAGAGGAGAAGAGACAAAGGTGGAGCTGAGAGGCCAGCAGGCCCCAGATGGCAGCTTGACCACAGTGGGACTGGCGGAGGTGGGAGCAGTGATCAGGGAGAGCTGAGAGAGGTGGCTTGGCCAGCCCATGGTTGGGCCTGAGTGACCCGTGGGAGGCAAGGCCGTTGGCTGCCCTGGGGCAACCGTGGGAGGAGAGGCTTGTGGAGGAAGAGCTCGGTTTTGCCTGTGTCAGACACGGATGTCCTTGGGCTCCAGACAGTGTGAGAAGGCCAGGCATGGTGGCTCACGCCTATAATCCCAAGCACTTTGGGAGGCCAAGGCAGGCGGATCGCTTGAGCCCAGGAGTTCGAAACCAGCCCGGGCAACGTGGTGAAATGTCATCTCTGTAAAAATACAAAATTTAGCCAGGTGTGGTGGTGAGCACCGGCTACTGGGAAGGCTGAGGTGGGTGGGTCACTTGAGCTCTGGGGGTCGAGGCTGCCATGAGTTGTGCTCAAGCCACTGAACTCCAGTTTGGGTGGCAGAGTGAGACCCTGTATCAGAAAAAAAAAAAAACCCAAAACAAAACAGACTGTGTGTGAGTCTGGACTCCTGGGGAGCTGGGGGCACTGGAGAGGGGCCTTGGCCCCAGGCCCACTGTGTGCCTTTCTGGGCTGTGGCTCTAGGGAGTGTTTTCCCAGCATTGGGCTGGGGTGCTGCCCGCTTCTGCTCATCAGCACCCACTCCGTCCCTTCCCTCTTCCCTCCCAGGCTTCCTAGGTGAGCCACCTGCTCCCACCCCTCCCTCCACCTGGCCAGCTGGCATCTCCTCCACTCTGTTGGAACATTTCTTCCCAAGGCCTCCTCCTGCTCTTCCTTGTTCAGACCATGGGAGGCTTTCCCGGCCTTCTCTTTCTGGGTCTTTGGGGGAG
The DNA here is from genome assembly GCF_000001405.40 of Homo sapiens. NCBI lineage: Eukaryota > Metazoa > Chordata > Mammalia > Primates > Hominidae > Homo > Homo sapiens. The sequence continues at coordinate 17,571,356 of NC_000017.11, read as the reverse complement.
TTCACACTGCGGACCCTCACTCTTCCTGGAGACCGGCCTTCCTGTGCGCCACGATGCTTTTCTGGCTCTCTTCCTGCTGTTCTTGTGAATTCTGCTTCCTCCACCTGATGTTCATTTGCTCAGCGAATAGTCACCGAGAACCTGCCATGCACCAGGCACTGTGTGTGTCCTCAGAGAGTGAATGACCTCTGTCCTTCCAGAGCACAGATATGTTTGTAATGAACACTGTGATAAGGGCTCAGGAAACAAAGATCAAGGTGTCACAGAGGGACTGACAGGCTTTTCCCTCTGTCATCTGAGTCTCAGTCTGTGGCCTGGACTCCTCAGGGCTTCAGGACCTTGGGTCCAGGCACTGTGGCCCTACGTGGGAGTCTCCAGTCTCCAAAGGGAGCCCCTGCCAAGACCTCCCCAATGTTCTGTTCTTTCCCTATCACTCCAGATGCCAGGGCAGTGGTCCAAGGACCAGGATGGACTCCCTCTTCTCACCTGCCCCCGGATCTGTACCCTCGCGGACTCTACCTGGCTTCGTGCCATCACCCCCGCCAGATCACCAGCAGCAGCTGCTTGCAGCCAGTCTCCCCACTGCTCCTCTCTAGCCACCCTTGAGGGCCATGCTCAGAGGTCCCCAGGTTTTCCAGGAAATGGAACTTTTCCCCTGTCCCGGGAGGCCCTTCTGGCAGGCGTCCTCCCACCTGTATCCTCAGTCATCCCAGGTCTTGGGCCTTTCTGGGTGATCTGGCTTCTCTTGTGCAAGGCTGCCCACAGACCTTTGTTACCGCAGCTTGGAGTGGTCCTTGTCAGGTGTCCCCTCCCTCATGCCTCCTCACCCTGCCCTCTCTGACTCAGGGTTGCTGACTTTTGGGGCCATCCCTGGCACTACAGGTGTCCAGCAATGTCCCCGGCCTCTGCCCACTAGATGTCAGTAGTACCCCAAGCCCAGGCCATCTGAGTGGTTTCCAGACATTGCCTGATGTCCCTTGAGGGCCATGGCTGCCTGGGCGTTCTGAGTACCTACCCCTCAGCACAGCCTGCCATACCTGCTGTCACTGTTTGTCTCTCACTGTCCCCTTCCCAGGAGCATCCTAAGAGAGTTGAAGCGGAGCCTGCTCTGCTTCTGTGTCCCCAATCCTGGCATGTGCAGTGCTCCGGGTGGCAGCTGCTGCCTGACCTTCTGTGTCAAGGAGGGTAGGGCACCTGTTGTAGCTCAGTGCCTGTGCCCAGCACCATGCCTGGCAGAAATGGATGTCCAGGCAGTGTTTATTGGCTTTGTGAGCGTGGATTGCCCATTGACTGGTTTTCTGCAGTGGCACCTGGTGGACAAGGTGAGGCTCCATTGTGCCAGGTTCTATGCACACCCCGACTCTGTGAAATAAAGCACTGCATGGAGGTAAAGAGCAGCAGTCATTTGTAGCAGGCTCAGCGATTCCTGGCATCCCAGTGAAGATAAGATAGGCAGCCTGTGCCACTCCAGCTCCCAGAGCCCCCCTGCTTGCCCTGCCCTGCCATGCCCTGTGTTGTCCCGAGGGAGCCAGCATGGGAGGCACAGCAGCTGCCTTGAGCAGTTATTTACAAGAGCAAAGTGTGCACATGCTTTGGTATTTTAACTTTATTGAAGACCAGTTGCATGTAACCAACATCAAAGCTGCTGGAGACATAGCAAGTTGGAACCCTACTTCCAACCTAGAAGGATTTCTAGGCAGAGTTGCCTGTGTCTGACTTCCCTTCCTCACTGGGACCCCGTAAACCTGAAGGGGAGCTGTAAGGAATCCTGCCAAGACGGCAGATGCACACGGGGTCACGCCGGTTTCCTCCAGCCTTGGGAGGGTGCTTCCTGGTGCCTTTGTTTGTCCCCTTCCAAGCCCTGCGTGGCCACCCTGCTTTCTGCTCTCCCTGGGTGCCTGGCTCTCATGTGCAGGTCTTTGCTTGGGGACACCCAAGTCCATCCTCAAGGTCAGTGTGCAGCTCCTCCCCTCTGAGGCCCCTCTCTCCCACAGTGCACCCTGCCCAAGACCTCTCGCTCCATTGGGCCGGGGGTGGCTCCTGCACATGTGCTCCAGAGAGGAAAGGCATTTGACAGGTCAGCTGCAGACAGGTGTTCTGACACTCACTGTCAACCAGACCAAAGCCCCAGCCCTTGGCCCTGCAGAGGATACCTATAGAGGGGCAGCAGGCCTTATGTCTGTATCAGGACGCTGACCTGTCCCTCTGGCCGGGGACTTTCCTGCTTTTAGCCTGAGAGTCTCTTTCCCTGGAACCCAAGTCAGTCCTGGGCAGAACAGGACAGTTGGCCACTGTAGTCTGGAGAGTTGTTTGGGAAGAGGCAGCTTTTCCTTTCTGGGAGGTGAGAGTCCACTTGCTGCGCTGGGCCGCTGGCTGGGCCTGGGGTTTCCTGGGCCTGGATGTTTGACCTGCTGGCTGGTACTGGCAGCAGCTGCACCCCAGGGTGGCCAGACGGTAGGTGGCGCTGTGGGCAAGGTGAGGTGTGCTTCTCCTGGCTCCTGGGAGGAGGAAGAGGAGGAGGAGGAGAAGGAAGAAAAGGTGTGGGTGCTCCTGCCTCACCTCAGTCACCTCCTCACCTGCAGCTCCCTCACCTGCCTACCACCCTTAGTGTGAGTTTGCTGCTGCTGCTGCCTCAGTTTCCATTTTCAGATCCCCAGCCAGCGGTCTATGGCTCGTTTCTGAGTGCCCCAAGGGATCCCTCCAGGTGCCGGGAAAGCCGACCTTGTAGGTGCTATGGGATCAGCCCAGGCCCTGTACCCTTGTCATTCACATCCCCTTCCTGGGCATCGGTTTCTCCATTTGTAAAGTGAGGACGCTCAGCTGAGGCCCCATCTAGCTCTGAAATGCTGCAATCCCTGCGCTTTACCAAGTCCTGGCTCTGGGGCAGCTCTGTGCCGGGACGGGACCCTGCCCTCCTGGGCTGGCACTGGATTAACAAGGTCAGATTGGACATTAGATGTTACATAGAAAAATCAGCATTTGGTTAATAAGAAAGCTCACAACTTATTAACCAAGGAGTTACGGAGAGAGCATAACCAGGTAATGCGTGGGGAGACAGGGTCGTGGGGGCTGGAGGAGGTGATGGTGGGCCATAGGCAGGGCAGCACTTGGCCCACGTGGGCTTTTTGGAGGAGTCATAGGGGCAGGGTGGGCAGGAGTTGAGGCCAAGGAAAGGGATATGAGTGTAGACAAAAGGTGGACTACAGGTGGGCCTGGGGCTTGTGAGGGAGGACCCCAAGTGCATACCTGCAATCTGGACTGTCTGCTCAAGGATGGTGGCATGTGTGTGTGTGTGTAGGTGTGTGAGTGTGTGCATGTGTGTGAGTGTGTGTGTGTCAGAAGTTAGGATGGGGGCATGAGCCAAACTGTCTGAGACCCTTGCTTCCATCTGGCTCAGAAATCTGGCTCCCAGGGCATGGCCGCATATCCAGTGGGCTCCAAGCCAGTGTTTCTGGACCAGAAAGCGTCGTCCTCTGCCAGGGCCTCTTGCACTTGCGGGAAAGCTGAGCTGAGCTGGGCTTACTGGCGGAGCCTGTGGCACAAGAAGGGTTTTTCTTTGAGCAGAGCCAGCTGGCTCATCAGGCCTGACTGAGACCTTGGCTCTAGGAGCACAGCTCTTGTCTCTTCAGACCAGTGTCACCTAAGATACTGTGGCCCTCCTAGCTCTCCCCCGCTCCTGTCTGGGCTGTGCTCACAGCTGGACTCCTGCAGAACGAATGGCAGGTCTAGCTTCAGCTCCATGGCTGGGGACAGTCAGTGCCTTGTCCCCAGTGCCCACGCTCACTCCCCTGGCCCCTTGATGTTGGGTCTCAAGTGCAAGCCGTTCCACGGCACATGAGTGTGGGATCTTTCAGAGCCAGGCAGTGGACGTGGGCTTTTAGCTGGCAACAGCCCTGCTGCCCCTGGGGCACTGCCTGCCTCTGAATGGCAGCTGAGCTGGGCAGCAGCATTACTCTGTGTGCTGCTGGCACTGGCCTGGTGGGGAGCCTCTGCTATCAGGCTAGGGCTAACTTTAGAATTGTGGTGCCTGAGCAACGTGGTGACAAAGTGTACAACAAGGTGTCTCGAACTGGGTCAGCTCACAGCCTGTGCCAGGATGGCTGGGAGTGACATGGACAGGAACAAAAGGGAGGGGAGAGGGAGCGCACTCCCACCTGGAGCCTGGCAGGCAGGATCCCCACTGAGCCGATCTCTTCCACTGAGCCGGCCCATCCCTCCCTGTAGGTTCCTCATACTCCAGAGATGGCTGGGTGGGACCCAAGCGTGTCTTCCCTGGATGATTTATTTTTGGTTCTGGCATTTACAGCATGATGAAGGCTATTGGACACTGCTAGTGTGAGCAGAATCACCCTAACCGAAAGGCAGCGTGCGGCCCTGGGCAGTAGGGTTTGGTGTAGACATCTCTCGGGATCCCTCCCACACTGAGGAGAGGAGGCAGGGGACCCAGGCTGCCTTAGTTACTTTCCCTTTTCTTAGGCATTCCCAGTAGGTTGGGCCTCCTACTTCCACCTTTCTGTGGACCCGGCTGGTGGCCTTCAGGCTAAGCATGGCTGGTGAGGTTCGTTCGCGACCTGCCCCCCTGCGCCCAGTTGGGTGCATCTCCTGAAACTTATCTCCCAGAGCTTGGGCCACCTGAGCCACCACTGTTCTGCAGACGCGTTCTTCTCCGTACTTCAGTGCCTTTGCACTTTCTGCTTCCTCCCCTTCGCCAGCTTTCCCGCCTTCACCTGGCTGCCTTGGCTCTTCCAGCCTGGCTTCCCTGAGCCCTGGCTCTGTGCAGACATGGCTGGGCCCTCCTCCCTGTGCCTTCCTGAACCCTGCGGCAGTGCTGAGCCCTAGCCCCGGGAACTGAGGTTGAAAGTGTGTGTTTTGCCTCCTGCCTAGACTGAGAGCTCTTGGAAACTAGGGGTGGGGTCTGAGGCACCTGTGGATGTCCCGGGCCTGGCCTGGTGCTGTGAGGCATGGATGGTGAAGGGTGCCCTCTTTCCTGGAGGAGGAACCCTGAGGCGTCCCCAGGAAGCCATGCAACCAGGCACACTCACCCCCAACTCTACTGGGATCACGCACAACCCGCTTGGCTGTTCCCCACTTTCTCATGCCTTCTTTCTCTCCCTGTAAAACTCCCTGCCAGGCCCCAGGCCTGCACTGTCAGGAACTGAGATGCAGCCCAGCGGGGCTGTGTTATTTGCTTTACCCCATTCCTGGGTCTTCTTTGGAGGCTGAATGAAATTCCATGGACAATTTCCAAGGCATGAGTTTTTGTGTCATTTCACTGCTAACCTACTTGGTGACCCAAAACAAAACCCTTCCCTTGAGTCTGGAGGAGCAGCCTCTGCCCCACTTTGCTCAGAGGTGCAACAAGGCCTTCAGGAGGGAATGGGTGTAAAAGGGTTTGGGCTCCAAGGAGAAGCAGCTGCGGGAGCTGCCTGGCTGCTCCATCTCCAGAAGAGCTCTTGCATGAGTGGAAACACCCAGGCCTGCCTCTTTCAGCCACTGCTCCCAGCTTTAGGCCAAGCACTTTCACTTAGCCCCAGAAACTCTTGCCTAGAAAATTCTCATGGCCTCTAGGGATACATCTTGGAGAGTACTTCTGTAGCTGGCGGCCCCTTTCTCTCCAGAAGTGCGGAGTCAGCCTGGGAGGGACAGCTTGAGACTCAGGAGCTGATGGATGTGCTCATTTGTGGCCAATGCCACAGGGCCACACAGTGGCAGCTGGTGTTGGGCTCTCCAGTGTCACGGATGCTGCTGCCAGGGTTCATCAGTTGCCCTAGAGGCAGCCCTGTTCCTGCCACCTGTCCTGACTCCCCGCCCTCCCCATTTCCTGCCAGGCGTGGCACAGTGAGACTTAGGTGGGCTCAGATAGGAGACGGTAAGTGCTAGGCTGCCCACTGGGCCTCCCGGTTCAGAAGATGCTGGGCTGAGAACACTGAGCTTCTGTTCCAGGGGAGTTTCCCTTGTTTGTGTTACTGCTGGACCTTGAGATGATTCCATTATTTTATTCAAAAAAGGGGACACTGGCCTGATGCAGAGGTGTGGTCTCTCTCCTGCAGGTGTTGGTGGCTGGTGAGCCTGGGCTGGCTGTGGGGACCCTTCGCTTACAGGCAAGGTGTGCCCTGGGCAGTGGGCAGAGATCTCAAGAGAAGCTGAAATGGGGGCAGAGCAGCCTGACTCAAAGGTCCTGGGGGAAGGGGGATGGAGAATCTGGTTGCCTGATGGGAAGTAGCCAATTAGGAGGGTCCTGAGGATGGACGCAGAGGGTGGGAGGTGGAGCCTGCAGAGATTCCCCAGCCACAGTTTTCAAAACCAGCTGTTGTCTCGCAAGGCACTGGCAGGCAGGCGCAGGGCTCTGCAGGTGTGCAAGAGGTTCCAGGCAGCTGCTGGGCTCACCCTCCTAGGAAGACATTTGTCCCACCATCCCATGCTGAAAATGACCCAAGGCAGGGACCCCACCCGGTGTGTGCAGTGCAGGGGTGTGTGTTCCTGGAGGCCTTTCTCCCAAGGCCCTCCCTGGCCAGGGCACCCCTACCAGGCTGAGTCCCACCTGTCCAGCTGACGTCACAGCCTCTTGCTTGAATTGGCATGGGCGGTGGGTGTGAGCCCCTCTGGTGAGGACAGCGTTGGCAGCTGCTAGGCACTGTCCCCCTTGGGCAGCTGTGGGAGCAGAGGGAAGAGAGACTGGGGGTACCCGCCTTCCCAGATGGAGCGGGCTGCTCATGGGACTTAGCTGGAGTTTCCAAGGAGACTGAGGTTTGGGGGTTTCTGTGAGCTGGCCGGATGTTGCTGAAGTGCCTCTGCCCTCTCTGGCCTCTGTGCCCTTATTATGTGTAATTCTGTTCTGCACCGCCCTGCTGTGTAAACTTGGCAAGTTCTGGTCCCCTCTCCTGCTTGTAGTTTCCTGGGCTAAAATCAAAGGAGGTAAATTATCTCCCAAGGTCCTTTCCATTCTGGATCCTCTGTTAATCCAAGGGAGATGGGGAAGAGGGCTTGGAAACAGCTGGATTTGGGGATGAAGATTCCACTGGGGGCAGAGGGGAGGCAGCCCCCCACCCAAGCCCCATACTCCATCTCCATTCCTCACTCCCTGCCAGGAGTGGAATGTGGGCAGGTAAGAGTCCCAGAGGGGTAAGAGCCATTGGTGGGAAGCAACTGTGGGACCAGTGCCGCCACCACGGCCCAAGGACCTGGTGTTCGATGCCGCATCCTTCCGGTGGCGTCTGTGGCTCTTCTCCTTCCCCCTGACCCACCCATGCCTCCGCCCTGGGGCTGGTGGGATTGCTCTCAAAACCACCTTAGCCAAGAGGGCTCCTTCCCAAGACTCAGGAGGAAGAACATAGGGGACAGCCAGGCCTAAAGGGGCTGGGCAGGGGCTCTAGAGAATTAAAGCTGCCCAGGCCACAGCCCCGCCCTGTGAGGGCCTCACAAGCCCTGTGCAGGCCGAGTGCTAGAGACTCCCCTCTTCCAGGAGCCAGTGCCCTCCTGGGGAGGCGGGCAGACTGTGCCCCACTCCTGGGTGAGGTGGGTGGGGCTGTGCTGGAGCTGGCTGCCCTAGTGGCCTCAGACCTGGCCATGTGCGTTCTTAGAAAGGCGTTTGGTCTTTCCTCTAAGATGAGCATAGCGTCCCTTCCTCAGGGTTGGCTGAGGAGCTTGGTGTGGACAGCCGGGCTCCAGGCACACAGCGGTCCCAGTACACCTGTCGCTTTGCCTGCCACCCGCTTACGGTAGCAGCATGGTTGTAATAAAGCAATAAAGCCAGCGTGGATGGGCGATGTTGCTATTGCTATTAATGATCTTTGCTCATGAAATTTTTAGTCGCCTTTCTGGCCTTCCTCTATCTCAGGCCAAAACTGCCCCTTCTTCCTAAGGGGCACCCTGTGCTTCTTGCTGCAGAATCCTGGGGCTTCCCCCTTCGCATTTCCGTGGAACTCAGAGATGGTACCTCCCTGCGAGGTGGGGCTGAGAGGGGGCCCCTGCGGATGCGGTTATTGGAAGGGCTGAGGGGTCAGAGGCCAGGTTTGGCCCCACCAATGGCTGGCACCAATAACAACACCCATGTAGACCAGGTGTCTGCCCAGAAGCCCCATGTACCTGAGGTCAGGAAGCCTCCCTGGGAGGTGGAGGTGCTGTTAAGGAGCAGCTGGTGGGAACCCCCAACGTGCTTCTCTCCGAGGGCCTCAGGGGCTCTTAGTCTGCCGGCTCCTCAGGCTGGGGCTTCCTGCACCCCTAGCGCCCACCCTCCAACTCTCCCCTGCTGCTGAGACAGATCTTGGAGCCTCGGCCAGGCTGTCCTAGTCACAAGGTAAGTGTCCAAGGCAGGCGTCAGAGTCACCAGCAGCCACTTGAGGCCTCCTTCCCTTTGAATTGAGAGGCATGGAAAAGGGAGCGTCTGCGAGGAAAGGATGGCTGCATGCAGGTTCCTTGTCAGGTGGGTGGGGACGTGGGACATGCCTGACATCAGAGAAGCCACATGGGGCAGGGGGATGGGGAAATGGCCTCCTCTGGGCAAGGGTCTGGTGGGACCTGGGGGCATTTCTCTCTCTTTTTTTTTCTTGAGACAGACTCTTGCTCTGTCACCCAGGCTGGAGTGCAGTGGTGCGATCTCCACTCACTGCAAGCTCTGCCTCCCAGGTTCAAGAAATTCTCCCACCTCAGCCTCCCAAGTAGCTGGGACTACCAGTGTGTGCCACCATGCCCGGCTAATTTTTGCAATTTTAGTAGAGACAAGGTTTCACCATGTTGGCCAGGCTGGTCTCAAACTCCTGACCTCAAGTGATCTGCCTGTCTCAGCCTCTCAAAGTGCTGGGATTACAGGTGAGCCACCGTGCCCGGCCAGGGGCAATTGTCTGCTCGAAGGCACATGTTCCCCAACAGCCTTTGAGCGTGGGATCAAGGGAGTGCAGCTGTCTTGAGGGGCGGGACAGCCCGTGGCGAGGGACAGTGCCCTCCCCATCAGGAGCTCAGTGCTAACCGTGCCTCCACTGTGACTGTCACGGTGGTCAGCCTCATAGTCATCATCAACACTCCTGCCACTGTCGTGGCTGCCGCTGCAGTGAGCTCAGTGCCTGAGACACAACACATGGATCCAGCGGATCCGATCTGCCTTAAGGGGCAGCACTGGTGTTACAGAAGCAGCAGCTGAAGGCCCGAGAAGTCACTTGACTTGTCAGGGCCTCGGCCGTGTGTGCAGAGCTGGTCCCGCCCTGTGCTTCATGCCCCCTATGCCTCTCACTGCCTGGTACATGGATGCATCATGGCAGGAAAGTGGAAAAACAGCCCCGAGCTGCAGCACGGCCGACTCCAATGGGCCGGAACGCCAGCCTTGCTGGCAGGAAGAGGCCCTCCAAGCGCCTCTCGTGGATCCGGCCCAGATCCGGTCCTGAGGCCCCTCCCACCGGAGCCTGGGGTGCCCTCACATGCCCTGCGCCAACTTCGCAACAGCCCAGCTTCCCGGCTGCTGTGTGCCCTGCCTGTGTCAATATTATGACTGGACTTCCTGTGGGTCAGGCCGCACGTGGGGCGTCCGCGTGAGGTAGCCACGTGGAAGTGGTACCCCCATGTCCTTGAGCCCACTGGAGTCTGTCCCCCTTGCCATCCTCGGGAGCCCGGTGCGGTTGTGCCCCCCTCATATCTCTGGGCCTCTCAGCACACAGGTCTGTCCTGCCTTTGATAGCAAGACGGACCTGGGCAAGGTTCCTGGCTTCTCCGAGCCTTGGTATTCTCATCTGTGACCCAGGCACAGCTGCCTGGCTCACTGTTGCAAGGGCCGGGATGGTGCCTGGAGTGGGTGGTGCCTGGAGCCAGCTCAGCGTCAGTGACCCTCGTCTGTTCCCTCTTCCTACCTCCAGCCTTACCGTCCGCTTCCCCCTCGGGCAGCCACCCCAGGGCATCTGTTGTGGAACTGCTCTGTGGGTTTTGTCCTTGATACCTTTCCAGGCTTCTTCAGGTTGGGCTCAGGCAGGGACTCAGGGGGACTTAGCTTCCAGCTTGCAGCCTCACCGCTTGGGTTCCGGCTGTGGCTGGCCATTCACTGTGCTAAGCTTCGTGCCTTGGCGTTCTTAACTGTGAAAGAGGGTTACCTGTAGGTTCCACCTCCTGGGTCGTGTGAGGATGTGACACACTCCGTGTGCAGCACAGGGAGCCAGGCAGAGTTGAAGCCTGAAAAATGTGAGCTGGGAGTGGCTGTTGTCCTCTGGGCCCTGCCCCACGGTGCCCAGTGAATGTTTGATGACTGTGGTGTGTGTGGGTCCTGCCCATCATGTGAGACTCCCTGGAACCTGAGGCAAATAGGATTTGAGTGTGGGGTCTGGAGGAAGGGAGGAGAGAGGGGAGAGGAAGGCGCGGCCGGGGTCCTTGCTATCTTCAGTCACACTGCACACATTGCTGACTCCTAGACGTGTGTCAGGCCAGGCCCAGGGTTCAGGGATCCCAGGGCCCAGGGGATGGTTGGTTAAAGGCAGTCTTGGGAGCGGGAAGGACAAGCGGAAGCTCAGGCAGCGTGTAGGTGAGGGTGGGGTGAGGTGGAGGTGGGGAGGAGTGTCGAGGGGAGGCTGGACACCCTGCCCCTGTGGCTAGGGCAGCAGGGAGCCTGTGTAGACATGCAGCTGGTGTGGACGCGAAGGGTGGCTTGGTTGGGACCTGTCACCCGGTCACCATGCTGCTCCTTGGCTAGGCAGGGCTATTCCTCAAGGGCCAGTTTGGTTAAAAGGTGATGATGTCTGCACAGATGTGGCTCCAAATTCCACCATCCCCAGGGGCCCGCGCCCCCATTCCCGGTTCTCTAACCCCTCCCCGGGGCCGGTGTGGTGAAGACAGCACAGCTTCTGGGCCCCAGGCAGCCCCTGTTGCTCCTTAGCTATGTGGCTTTGGATAGGTTAGCTGCCTACCCTTTTCTGGATAGGTACCTCTGTCTCCTTTTCCGATAACCTCTGCCACAGCCTCTGCTGTGGCATTTGGTGATGAAATGAGACCATGTGTGCCAAGAGCTGGTCCAGGACCTGGCCCCGGCTGGCGAGTGGCGGGGATGGGGCGGCCCCTTGGTGTCTGCTCCTGCCTCCCAGGCGGGCAGCTCGGCCTGGCCCAGGGCACATTTCTCCTGCACCCAGGCATGTTCTTGCCTCTGGTGTCCCCGAGGCTGGGGCCTACAGCCTTTCCATCGTACTTGGCACACTGGAGGCCTCCCTGTCTGCCTTCACCCGATGCCTGCCTTGACCATGTGATGGTCAAGGAGTGCACAGTGTACAGCACATGGGGTGCTGTGCAAAGGACATGCCCCAGCCAGGTCACCGGGGATCTTTCTGGCCAGGTCAGGCCGTGGCTTCGCTGTGACTGTCTTGGAGACTGGGTCTTGGCGGGCCTGGTGGAGGCCTTAGGTGGGGTAGAGTAGCCGGTAGGCCTCAGAGGCTTTGTCCACCTCTGACTTCCCAGCACTCAGGTGGGGCCCACTCAGGCCAGGAAGAGCACCGGGCCACTCGCAGCCGTGCAGCGGGGCTCCAGCCCCAGTCACACCACTGATTGGCCTGGGCTTGCCGTTTCACTGCTCTGAACCATAGGTTCCCCACTCAGAAACTGGGAGGGCGTGGGGCTGCATGGTGGGCCTTTTCTGCCCCCACACTTCTGTTGCCATCCTGTTCTCGGGCTCCCCTCTGTGCCTAGGGTTTCCTGGGAATCCTGGCCCAGACTCACTGATAACCACAAATGCCCACCCAATCCAGAGGCCACAATTCCTCCACCCCTACTTGGACGTCCCTTACCAGCCAGAACTGGCCTTCATCTGGCCCCACCAGCCTTTGGCACCTCTGAGGACTCACAGGCCCGTTTCAAGGAGCTCAGTGCTGGACTGCCTCTGACCCCTGTCCCTCTCCACAGGTGCCCAGGCTCTGGCTGGCCCCCTTCACAGCGGGTTCCCTTCCCCGACAGGCCTCTGAGGGGCAGGCACCCGCTTTAAACAGGCTGCCTGGCTTCCAGTCCTGTTCTGCCTGCCTCGAGCAGGTCAGTTAGCCTCTGTGAGCCTCAGTTTCCTCTTCTGTGAAATGGGTACAGTGGTGTTGATCTCACTGGCAAGGCTTGCATGGGAAGTCCTAACGTAGTGTTCCTTCAGACCCCACTGCCTCCAGCCCTCCCCAGGGTCCCCTTTTCTGAAGTCCTATGTCTTGGAGCCAGGCGTGGAGAAGGGGCTGGGACCAGCCTCGCCAGCACACTTGCTAGCTGTGCAGCCCCGGCGGGTCATACCGGGCCTCTGGGACTCAGTTTCCTTGTCTGTAAAAATGGGGGGGAGCGTAAGAAGCTGCGACGGGGTGAAGTGAGCAGAGACGAGGTCTGATTTGGATTTTGTGAAGGTTTCTGCAACCATGGCAGGGATGCAGAGAGAGCAGGGTTGGGATGGGATGCATTTTGGAAATGGTGAAGGACTTGCTGATGGAAACCTTTCCAATCAGACTTGCTAAGAATTCTTTCGTGCTTCTCTTAGGACCCTGGTTGGGTGGGCTGACCTTGGAGTGGTGCTTCCTGCTAGGTGGTGGGGGCAGGCTCTGGGAGGGGTGTCGGCTGGAAGGGACCTTGTTATAGTGTACATGGAGCACCTGAGGCCTAGGAGGGCTCAGAAATCACTACAAACCCGTTGTCAAGCCAGGCTCCGGTCCACTCTGCTGCCCTTTCTTTTTGTTTTTTTTTTTTTTTTTCGTGAGACTGGTTCTCACTCTGCCTGGGCAGGAGTGCAGTAGCGCCATCTCTGCTCACTGCAACCTCTGCCTCCTGGGCTCAGGCGATCCTCCCATTTCAGCCCAAGTAGCTGGGAATACAGCCACACGTCACCATGCCTGGCTAATTTTTTTTGTTTTTTGTTTTTTTTTTTTGAGATAGAGTTTCACTCTTGTTGCCCAGGTTGGAGTACAATGGCACGATCTCAGCTCACTGCAACCCCTGCCTCCCAGGTTCAAGCAATTCTCCTGCCTCAGCCTCCCAAGTAGCTGGGATTACAGGCGTGTGCCACCACACCCAGCTAATTTTTTGTATTTGTAGTAGAGACAGTGTTTCACCATGTTGGCCAGGCTGGTTTCGAACTCTTGACCTCAGGTGTTCCACCTGCCTCAGCCTCCCAAAGCCCTGGGATTGCAGGCATGAGCCACCACGCCCAGCCCTAATTTTTAAATTTGTGTGTGTGTGTGTGTGTGTTTGTATGTGTGTGGAGACGGGAGTCTCGCCATGTTGCCCAGGCTGGTCTCAAACTCCTGGGCTCCAGCGATTCTGCCGCCTCACCCTCCCAAAGTGCTGGGACTGTAAGCATACGCTCCTGTGCCCAGCCTCCACTGCCCTTTCTTTCCGTGCCTCCAGCTGGCTCCTCTGACTGTCCTGCAGCAGGAAGCTACTGCAGGTGCCAAGCTCTTGGGGTTCTGGTGTTTAGCCCAGCCAGCCAAGCATGGTTCTGTCCCTAGCTAGTCCCTGGCCCTCCCTGGCCATTCGCTTAGAGATGCCATTTCCTCCTAGTAAACCCTGGGGAGGGTGAGGCCGGCTTGAAGCTCAGCTTGGCAGCCATGGGCTCCAGGAGCCAGTATTTTCCCTCGGGAACACCTGACAGTCCCGGACGCCTGGCTCTACATGGAACTGGGAGAGTGGCCTGTCATTGTCACCAGCCCCTGCAATGTCCCCCTCTACTCCTTGGTGCTGGCTTGGGCCCACCCCATTTCAGTCCTGCTGAGCTTTGCCTTGGTTCTTTATTCATTCAGCAAACATCTCCTGGGCATTTGCCCCAATGGAAAGTACTGTTCTGGGCGCTGTGGGCTTTTGGCCATGAGCAGGAAGTTGACTCCGGAGGCTGCAGGGACCTGCTTAGGCATCCTCATTACCGCCTGGGTCCCAGAGCGAGCCAGGAGCCTCTGAGGCAGCGGGGGCTTCTCAACCACACACCTGGCTCTCCTCCTCCAAGACTTTCTGCGTGCACCAGCATCTTCCATTTTGTGTTTCCTGTCTGTTTACCATGTGTAATTTTGTCAGCATGTCACGTCCCTTTCATAATGAAGCAAGGGACAAAGAAACAAGGGCCAGTGGAGCCCAGTACAGGGTGGCCAGAGGTGTCGGCTCTATGTAGGTCTGCTGCTCTGGTGTGTCCCTGCGTGAGGGTCAGGCTGGGGAGGTGGCGGCAAGAATCAGCCAGGCAGGAAAGACTAACAGGCTGCCCAGAGGCCGGGAGCCGGTGCATGGGTGGTAGTGGTTGGGGGCATTGCTGAGTGCAGAGGCTCCGGGGGAAAAGCCAGGGGTTAAGGGATGCCAGGCAGGCATCTGACCTGGGACTGAATCCTCTGGCAGCAACCTAGAAGCAGCTCAGCAAGGTGAGGGAGATTTGAGGCATCAGAGGCAAATTATGTCCTCTTAGAGCCCCTGCGGATCTGCCAAGACTGAGGGCTTCTCTGTCTCTTTTCTGCATCCTGTGCTTGGCTGAAGATGAGAACCTTGCTTTCCCACTGAGAGGCAGTGGGCCACAGCACTGCGGGAGCCACGACATCTGCAGACGCATTTGATTTCCCCATTAATAGCAAAGCTCCCACTCCAAGGATCTTCCAGCAGACAAAGGGCATTTTAACCTTCCTCTCAGTCCCAGTTGCTTGGAGTGGCTCATGTGGCCTCTCTGAAGGAGGGAGGAGGCTTCAGACAGCCCCATGCATGTTCAGAGGCAACAGAAATTTGCAGGAAGGGCCAGGCGCAGCGGCTCACACCTGTAATCCCAGCACTTTGGGAGGCTGAGGCAGGTGGATCATCTGAGGTCAGGAGTTTGAGACCAGCCTGGCCAACATGGTGAAACCCCCTCTCTACTAAAAATACAAAAAACAGCCAGGTGTGGTGGCACGTGCCTGTAATCCCAGCTACTCGGGAGGCTGAGGCAGGGGAACCTCTTGAACCCAGGAAGCGGGAGTTGCAGTGAGCCAAGATCATCCCATTGCATTCTGGCTTGGGCGACAGAGCGAGACTCCGTCTAAAAAAAAAAAAAAGTGAGAGAGAGAGAGCAGGAAGGAAGGAAGGAAGGCTCCCATGCAGAAGGCTCCGGCCTTGGCTGAGCATCCAGTTTGCTGGGTACCTGGGCCAGGCCCTTCTCTCTTGGGCAATGAGACTCCCAATGACAGCTGCCTCGCAGGGCTGCTCTGAGAGTCAGAAGACCTGTTCCTGAGTTTTAGGGATGCTCAGTTGAGCAGGACCTGGCCCTGTTCTCTGGAGCTCATGGTCTGGGGGACACCCCCTCACCTGCCTCTGGACTCTCTGGCGTCCATCCAGCCACTTCAGTGCGACGTGTGACTGCTGCTTGTGCCCTTCCCCAGGAGTGGCTGTGTTCCGCTCATCATGGAGGCCTGGTGCCCGGCACAGTGCGCAGCACTTCAAGGCCTCAGAGCATGTTTCCTTAAAGCCACATCATCTGTGAAAGGAGCGGAGCATTCAAGCCTGCTGGCTCTTCCCAGGCAGAGGGAGACCTGGAGGAGAAGCCCAGGGACCCACGCATCCCCCTCCTTCTATGGGAGCCACTCTGCCTGCCCCACCCAGATGCCATATTCAGAGGATGGGAGGCAGAAAAACAGGTGGCTTCCGCCCCAGAGGGCGAGCATTTGCTTCTGTGTGATCGGAGGGCAGCACAGGGGCTGGCTGGGCCCTGGGATGATCGTGACAGGCTTTAGTGGTCTGGGTGGATGGGCCGTGGTCAGAGCCGATGTGACCAAATTGGCTTTCAGGGGAGCCCAGGCCACCTTCTGAGTGGAACCCAAGCACCAGCATAGGTCCTGGAGGGGCCAAAGGAAAAGGGAGGTTCAGACTCACTCAGGTGTGAATGCTGCCCCTGCCCAGGTAGGGACATGGCACCCCCACCCTCTTCTGTGATGCAGGCCTAGAGGTGGCAGTTCTGGAAAGTTCCTCCTCACCTTGCAGGGGAAACTGTTGAGGTGGAGGGC
Organism: Homo sapiens; assembly: GCF_000001405.40. Classification (NCBI taxonomy): domain Eukaryota; kingdom Metazoa; phylum Chordata; class Mammalia; order Primates; family Hominidae; genus Homo; species Homo sapiens. The sequence continues at coordinate 17,555,433 of NC_000017.11, read as the reverse complement.
ACTTGTCCAGGGCAGCACACTGTGACAGGTGGGAGCCGAGGCTCGGGAGGTGGGCCGGGCTGAGCTGTGACAGGTGCTGGTGAGCATCTCCTCCGCTTCCCCGTGCTCTGGCCGTAGCAGAAAGTGTCCCACTGCTGTCTCCAGGCAGCTCTGGCTCTTCCCTAATTCGGCCCCATCCCTCCGTGTCGCCCTTCTTCTTGGGGGTGGGTACAGTGCTCTGCAGAGCTCCATGGCTTCCCAGCTGGGTGACATGGACAAGCCATGTCCTCACTCTGGGCTCCAGTTTCCTCCTCTGTTAAATGGGCATAGTGGGAGTACCTGCTTGTAGGATCATCGTGAGAATCCAGTGAGTTGGTCCCTCTGCAGGGTTTAGAGCTGTGCCCATTAGTGCTCATGCATGTGTGTGTGGTCACTCTGGTGCCCATCCGCATCCCCAGTGGAGGCCGTGCATGGCCTTGAATGAGTAGCTATGTGCTCCCTTTCACTTCTGTGCTGTGGGACCTTTAAAAAAATCTGCTGGCCGGGCGCGATGGCTCGTGCCTGTAATCCTAGCACTTTGGGAGGCCGAGGTGGGTGGATCACCTGAAGTCAGGAGTTTGAGATCAGCCTGACCAACATGGTGAAACCCTGTCTCTACTAAAAATACAAAAATTAGCCAGGAGTGGTGGCGGGCACCTGTAATCCCAGCTACTCGGGAGGCTGAGGCAGGAGAACTGCTTGAAGCCGGGAGGCAGAGGTTGTAGTGAGCCAAGATCCTGTCACTACACTCCAGCCTGGGAGACAGAGCGAGACACTCTGTCTCAAAAAATTAAAAATAAAAATAATAAAAATTTTAAAAATCTGCTGAATTCACTCTGGCCGTCACTGATGAAACCTTGCAGGGAAGCGGCTCCGTTGCCTCAGCCTGTGCCGCTCGCAGCTCACGTTTGCTGGCTTAAAAGCAGCCAGAGCAGGGAGGCAAGCTGCCCACGCTGTTGGCCGCGCACTCTGCCTTCCGAACACGTTCCTGTACTGCTTGCCGTGCACGGAGGGCCACGTTCATGCCTTTGGGGCCACGACAGCTCTCTCTAGAGTAGGACATGGGAGGGGGGCTGTGAACATCTGGGGCAGCATCTTCTCTTCATGGATTGTCAGGAACTGCACCCTTGTTTACCGAGGGACAGAGGCCAGCCTCCCACTGCCTTGTGGCTGAGGGGAGGGGGCCGGGTCTCTAACGCTGTCTTCTTTGTACTGAAAACCAAACACCTTCTCTGCACAAGGTATGTCTGTGAGAGAAACAGACAAGAGGACAGAACGGAGCAGGTGCTGAAAGGGTTGCTGTTGGCTGCAGGATCCCGGCTACCAGGCCCCGAGCCTGGCCTCTGCTGGCCTTCACAGCCAGTTCCTGCTCACGGGCCAGGTCTCAGGTCCAGTGCCTCCTCCCGCAGAAGCCTCCAGACCCTCCTGCCCAGAGGAGCCCCCCACCCCACCCCTGGCTGGGTGTGCTCTGGGTGGGAGGGCTGTGACTGCCGGGCAGCGGGGAGGGAGGGCGAGTGGTTCCCCCAAGTGCGGCTCCTCTCCTGTCGTGGCAGGGACATGGCAGCTTTCAGGACAGGCAGAGGACATAGTAGGGAACTGAGGAGAGTTGTCCAGAGAAGTTTCTAGATTTGGCTCAGCTTTCCACGTAGGGTACAGACCTGGAAGGGACCGTCTGGCCACATCTGACTGCCAAGTGCTGCCGGGGAGAACCTGCTGAAGGTGCTGGACGTGGCTGTCCTGCGAGAAGGCCACGCGTGGGAGCTGAACTGAGCAGGGGGTGCTGGGTCAGGTTAGTGCTGGCCATTGGGTGGACGCGGGCCCATCGTGGGCTTGTGAGCCACTGTGGGCTTAAAAAGTGCAGAGTTGGGGGGATCCAGAGTGAGGGGCTGGAGCACAATTTCATGTGAGGGGTCATTCTGGGACAGTGGCACCACAAGCAGACCCGGGTGGCCGCTGGTAAGGGCCTGTGTGTGTGGTTGCCTACGCTCTTTCCATCTCTTGTCGGCTTCTCACAGCCTCCACAGAAGACAGGGATAGTTACAGGGAGGACAGGGAAAGTCCGAAGTGTGCAGGCGCCCTGCATCCCCGCAGCCAAGTTCTGGGCGGACACTGCCCTGAGCCAGGACGGTGAGGTGGGACGCCTTCCCCACCCAGCTGCCAGATCACCCCTCCTGGAGGGTGGGGTGGGGCCCTGACACCTTGTTCTTTGTCCCTGCCCCAAACTTTGGGGCCTGAATAGAGGAAGGCAGTGACATTAACTTCTTCCTGGCCATGGATACAGGTCCCTGAGGACACCGTGTGTGGGGACAGCAAAGCCTTCCTAATCCCCCAGCCGGCCAGGCACCTTCACACCTAAATGGAAACCTGCATGCTGGTTTCCATGAAGAAAAGGTTGCGATTGGGGTTTCTGGGAGGCCAGTGAGGGGTTGGGACTCTACAGAGGAGAGTGGACTCACGGGGCGCTGGGCCGCCCTCCAGCCAAGGCTCCTGGCCTGGGGGAAAGGGGGCAAGGGATGAGGGATGCAGGGAGCAGTGTGTTCAGAAAAGGTTGTTCCCTGAGCACAGATTTGACACCTCTTCACTGTCAGCGCTGAGACACGCCCCTGCCCTGGGGAGCTCAGAAAGTCAGGTGCGGGATCCAGTGGCCTAATTTTAGATCTTGGGTCTCCATGTCGAAACGACAGCAGAGTGATTAAAAAAGAAAACGACAGCATGGCCTTGCCCCCTTGTTAATTATGGATCAAGCACATTTCCATGAGAGGGGCATCTCCACGCAGGGCCACCGTGGCCGCATTTCTGCAGCCTGCAGGTCTCCGTGGCACCCACACCCCCCAACCGGGAATGGGGGTGGACTCCCCACCGCCCTGATGGGGCTTGGGTGCGCCGCGGGTGAGGAGCAGCGTCTCACCCACAGAGGTGTCTCCTCACGGGGATCAGCACCGGGTCAGGGATGGGAGGGACGGTGGTGGCCGTTTCAGGCAAGGCCCTTATTAGACATGAGAATCCCAAATGGCAGATGAAATACCCATTTACCCAGGACCCTCGGGAGGAACCCATTTTGCATCAGAGAATTCTCCAGTATTCAGTGAAACTTTTTTTTTTTTGAGTCAGAGTCTCCCTCTGTCGCCCAGGCTGGAGTGCAGTGGTGAGATCTCGGCTCACTGCCACCTCCGCCTCCTGGGTTCAAGCAATTCTCCTGCCTCAGCCTCCCTAGTAGCTGGGATTACAGGTATGCGCTACCATGCCCGGCTAATTTTTGTATTTTTTGTAGAGACAACCTCCACCTCCCAGGTTCAAGTGATTCTCCTGCCTCAGCCTACCAAGTAGCTGGGATTACAGGCACGCACCACCGTGCCTGACTAATTTTTGTATTTTTAGTAGAGACGGGGTTTCGCCATGTTGGCCAGGCTGGTCTCGAACCCCTGACCTAGGTGATCTGCCCGCCTCGGCCTCCCAAAGTGCAAGGATTACAGGCATGAGCCAATGCGCCCAGCCTTCAGTGGAACTTTAAATGCCTGAAGTTTTTTTGTATCGTCTCTTTAAAAAATTAACCGTCCGTCTCAGTCTCAGGTAGGTTCCCTGCCCTCCTCCATCCAACCGTGTCATGGTGACGAGGGGTCGCTGACCAGCAGCTCACCAGAGCTGGGACACACGGCCCTCATGCCCTGCGCTGGTGGCCGAGGGTGCTACACTTTTTCAGGACTCTCCTTGTTCAGTGTTTCTGGCCCCTCCTTCCAGTGTCACATTGCTGCTTATGGTGCCTGGTGCCTGTCCCGTGCCCCTCCTGTTTTGCTGCTGCTTATCTGCTGTTCGGGGCATCCTGTGACAGGCCAGTTGGAATCCTACGTAGAGTGAAAGCATCTCAGCCCCAGACAGGCCCGACCACTCCCACGCCAGCTTGTCTTCTCATCAGGGACTGGGCTGGGCTGCTGTGGAGGCCTGCAAGCCCGCGCCAGCTTCTCCACCCTGCTGGGCCTCAGAGGCGCCTGTCAGCTCCAGCTCACCACCGTGTGTGGCCCTCTGCCCCTTGCCTCTGGGACAGGTTTAGTCTGCAGTTATTATGTTCAAAATTTTAAAATTTTAAGCAGTTAACACTGATGCGTGATGAAAATTCCAACAGCACAAAAAGGCAGATAGTGACAATGTGCCCCTTGAATCCCTTTCCCCTGAACCCCTTTCCGGTGTCTTGGGTCCCTTCCTGAGATGTTCTCTGCAGCCTTCTGCATGGCGTTCAACATCATTTCCTTCATCAACAGTCGAGGATTACGGTCCCATAATAACAACAGTAATTAACGTTTATTAGCATTTCCCAGGTGCTGACCTTTGCACCCGTTCTCCCACTGATGGTCATTTGGTTTATTTCCAACTTTTCCTACTATGCACAGTGCTAAATTAAACCACCTGATACCACCAATCTGCACACGTGGGCAGGTACATGCAAGATCTGCAGCAGGGTCTGGAATAACGTCCTTTAGTTACAACGTTGATGATAAAAAGTTGATTCCCTTCTGCACCCACTGCCTGTGTGGAGTTTGTGTGCTCTCACGACTCCGTGGGCTTTCTCTGTACTCTGCTTTCTTTCACATCTCCGAGATGTGCACATTCAGTGAACTGGACATCTAAGTGGTCCCAGTCTGACCAGGTGTGGGTGCGAGTGTGTCCTGTGATGGAACGGCGTCCTGTCCAGGCTTTGTGCCCTGGGAGAGGCTCTAGCCACCTGCGACCTTGAACTAGAATAAGCGGGCTGGAAAATGAATGAATACAAGTAATTGTCAACTAAAAACTGTTGAAGTCTACAACAATCACACAAATGCATGACAATAAATGATGGGATCCGAATGCAGCCTGAGCCCGACACTTCTGTTCTTGTTTGGTTTTGAACTGTGTGGTGGTAGGAGGTGCTGTGGCATACCCTCGATAGCTGCGGGGAGTGGGGGGAAGGGGGGTCCTGAAGCAGACCGTTCAGGTGTGGCTTGTGCACACACCCCTTGACACCCAAGTGCCACAGGGGACCCCAAATTCCGTCCCAGCTGTGCATCTGCAAAGCTCAAATGGACTCTTGTTTCAAATTCGACCTAATCGGTGGCACAGAAAAGCTGTGAAGATCGTCCCCAGAGAAACCGAGCGGCAGCAGGCCCTGGAACAGGCAGAGATTGTGCTGTTCTGTCCTGTCCCTCCCTTTGGGTGACAGAGAACCACGAACGTCTGTGTCCTCAGAGGGTCACGGGACACGTTCCAGAGGGGGGTGGTGGGGAGCACAGTGAGCACAGAACATGGTATTTTCAATCCAGGCTGTACTGGCGAGGAGAGAGAGTCTCTGTGCCCAGCCCTGCTGATCCCCCCCGCTATCAGGGAGGAACTGTTTTCAGGGACAGTCTCACCACCCTGTGAAGAAGGATCCATTTCCGTCAGCACCCTGCCTTTCATGCTCCTCCCTGCTGTTGAGCAGCGTGTGCTCCCTCCCTGCGCCCACGCTGCCCACCCCCTGTTGGCATGGCCTCTGGAAGCTGCGGACTTGCAGGGACTGAATGTGTGTGCAGGTACAGAGTGGCCCAGACGAGGACGTGCCTCCCGTCTGCTGGGCTGAAAAGCTGTGGCAGCCCCAGACCCGCCTGAAAAGCACTGCTTTTGCCCAAGAGGATGGACAGATTGTCACAGCTATGGTTATCATAAGTGGCCTGTGGCTTTGTGAGGTATTAGCCTCAGGGAGCTGAGTGGAGACACACAGGCCTGCCCTGTGCTGTTTTTGCAACTTTCCTGAAAATCTAAAAGTGTTCTAAAATAAAAGGTAAAAAATGCCACGGTTGGCTGGGCACAGTGGCCCATGACTGTAATCCCAGCATTTTGTGAGGTTGAGTGAGGCAGGTGGATTGCTTGGGCACAGGAGTTTGGAAGCAGCCTGGGCAACATAGCAAGACCCCATCTCTACAAAAAAATATAAAAGTCACACCTGTGATCCCAGCACTTTGGGAGGCTGAGGCGGGTGGATCACGAGGTCAGGAGTTTGAGACCAGTCTGGCCAATATGGTGAAACCCCATCTCTACTAAAAATACAAAAATTAGCCAGGTGTGGTGGCATGTGCCTGTAGTCCCAGCTACTCAGGAGGCTGAGGCAGAAGAATCACGTGAACCCGGGAGGCGGAGGTTGCAGTGAGCCAAGATTGTGCCACTGCACTCCAGCCTGGGCGACAGAGTGAGACTCCGTCTCAAAAATAAACAAATAAATAAATAAAAATTTTGTTAAAAAGGGCATGGTGGCACATGCCTGTAGTCCCAGCTATTTGGGAGTCTGAGGTGGGAGGATCATCTGAGCCCAGGGAGGTCAAGGCTGCAGTGAGCTGTGATTGTGCCACTGTACTCCAATCTGGGTTACCTTGTCTCAAAAAAAAAAAGAATTCCATGGCTGCTTGTCACTGCAGAGGGTTGGTCTCACAGCCTGGTCAGGGTCCTGCTGAGGAGATGTGGCCTGGTCACTGTGCCTTCTGGACACACACCACCTAGTGTGGACACTTGCCACCCTCCACACACTGCCCAGACAGGCTCTACCTCCTGTCCTTCAAGACCTGTACTCGGCCGGACTCGGCGGCTCACGCCTGTAATCCCAGCACTTTGGGAGGCCGAGGCGGGCGGATCACCTGAGGTCAGGAGTTCAAGACCAGCCTCAACATGGAGAAACCCCATCTCTACTAAAAATGCAAACTTAGCCAGGCGTGGTGGTGCATGCCTGTAATCCCAGCTACTCAGGAGGCTGAGGCAGGAGAATTGCTTGAACCTGGGAGGCAGAGGTTGCGGTGAGCCGAGATCGTGCCATTGCACTCCAGCCTGGGCAACAAGAGCGAAACTGCGTCTCAAAAAAAAAAGACCTGTGCTCACCGTGAAGCCGTCACAGACTCTGGTATGAATTTAGCCACAGACTTGATGTTCTGATGCCTCGAGGAGCTTCTGGGTCCCTCAAGGGCCCAGGTGACATGATCTCCAGTGCAGCCTAGAGCTTTGGAATCCCTCTTCCTCCCCCAGACCCCTGGTCTCCAGAAGACCCCTAGGAGCCCAGGGACCATTCTAGAATGGCATGTTGTATACACGCTGTCCCTCCCCACTGGATGGTCAGCCCTCAGGGGCAGCACGGCTTGGCCCAGCCTACCCAGCCCAGGGCATTCAAGCTTTGGCCTCACCTAGAGCCAGGCTGGACGCCAGCAGGGCTGTGTGCAGCTTGGCCAGCTTTGGAGCTCCCATCTGTGGACTGCCGCCATGACAATAGCTACCTCAAAGTGTTCTTGAGGACCAAAGGAAGTCATTCCTTCCCCTCGAGGGAGGCTGGAACCTAATGGGTATCCCGGGAGGTGGGGGGAGGTTCGGATAGAACATCCCGCTGCTGTGCGTGCAGCAGAGTGGCTGCCATCAGATTTCTTTGGGGTGGCCTGCGCACTGGCTCTGATTTGATGACGTTCTCTGTGTTTTCCAATTTTCTTCTTGCTCTTTAGCTCCTTCCTTCTGGCTTCTCCATCTTCACATTTCCCACAGAATTCAGTTGTGATTTAGATTTTCCATGCCCCTCACTAGCGTGTTCTGGCTCCTGTCATGCAGACACCTTACACTTAAATACCAAGTCCGAGATAAACCTGCTTTCAGTTCACGGGCGCTTGGAGGTCCTGGGAGTTCTGTCCTTGAGCATGAGGAAGGAGATGCACAGGGTAGGGCCCTGTGGCTGTGCCCCAGACAGGAGGAGGAGGACGAGGAGGATGAGGAGGAGGAGGAGGAGGAAGAGGAGGGAGGCTTTCCAGACACACAGGCAGGGCTGGGGGAGCCATGCAGGAGATAAGCCAGGCTGAACTTGGGACTTTTGCACACAATGCTTCTCTGCCTGGAAGGCCCTTCTTTCTGTGTTCTGTGTGGTGTCTGCTTTTCATCCTGCACGCCACAGTGTGAAGGTCACCTCCCTGACTGCCCTCGCTCCAGGTTATTCTTTCTCCCAGCACCCTGTTCTTTGGCGAGCGCATCTCTGGCATCATCACACAGAGTCCATGCGGCACAGACAGGAGGCCCCCTTGGGCAGAGGCCCTGAACGCCTCGCCTGCTTGCCCTAGTGCCCCAGGGCCTGGCACTTGGCAGCCCTCCATAGCTACCTGAAGAACAGATCTGTGTGTGGAGAGGGGTCGGGAGCTCTGCACTTTGGGAGGACTATGGCTGGCATTTGCTTGCAGTTGGGGCTGGTTTGCAAATATTTCTCTCTGCCTCAGCAGGTGAGAAATAGCACCTCGGAGCTCCTTGCCTGTTCAATTATTTCTGATTGAATTAATTATCCTGCAGTAACAGCGGAGCTGCTAATAGGGAACATTGGGTGCCCCCCAGGCGGAGCATGTGGCTCGAGAGCACGCCTGGAGCTGGAGACCAGTGGGCAGCCCAGCTCTTCGGGGGCGCAGGCCCCCTGGAGCTCTTCTGACGATGGGCAGCTTCATCCTGCAGTCACCAGTGCATGCAGAGGTCCAGCCACGGCCACCTCTTTCTTTTCTGTCCTTTAAATGGAGAGGGTCAGCACGTAGCAAATGAACCAACTTTGCTTTGACTGCAGCTGTGAAGATAATGAGGCAGCCTTGGTTGTCATCTAAACTCAGCAATGGTCGAGAGCTATTTGGGATTTCCTGGCCTGCTTCCAAATTGCAAGCCCTGTTGGGCTACTAATGCCCCACCTTGTCCCAGCCTCTCTTTGGCCATAGGCTAGGCCAGCCCCAGGGTGGACAGGGAGGCTCCCCAGGGTCGGACGAAGGCAGGCGCCTGTGAGCAGAGGCCTGGGGGCTGGATGGGTGGCAGGTGGCCAGGCCACTCTTCCTAGCCCAGCTGATGCCATCCCGTTATCTTGTAATTTTCTTCCCGGGGCCTTATCAGCCTTATTAGCAAATGTCAGAAACAATGAGAGTCACTTAAACCTGATCATGCCCACTGCACCCCCCACCAGCCTGGCACCAGTTTGAACCAAGCCTGCTTCTGAAAATGTGGTGGAGAAAGCCCTGCTGCTCCTGGGAGGGGCTCAGGCCATTTGATTCTGCCTGGTGGGTTCAGGGCTGCCTGGCTAGCCACCAAGACACGGGAGAGCAAAGCCCGGCCAAACCCAGGGGCAGTGGTGTCCAGCAGGCATCAGGACATGCCGTGGCCCACACATGCCCTTCTCCACAGGTGCCATCATCTCCTTTCTTCTCCTGTTAGTGATGGCTTCATTGGCCTCAGGTGACACCGCCTTCTAGCCCAGGCCACTGGATCCAGCCAGAGCGTCTGTGCATCGCCCCAGGGAGGTGTGGGGAGGCTCGGCCCCACCTGGCAAGTTTATAGGCTGCTTGAGGACATAAGATGGGTACAGAAGAGGCTTCAGGGCTCAGCAGATGCTGTGCTGGGAGTGAGCCCAGGCAAGGTGGCCCAGGGACAGAAGATGGAAGGTCAGTCGTGGCCTCCTTCCAGAAGGAAAGAGATTTTAGCAGGAAGAGACAGGCAAGGAAAGGAATTGGTTTTTCAGGCAGAGCGGTACTTTTTTAAATTGACAAATTTTAAGCATACAGAAAAGTAGAGAGGACGAACCTCCAAACATCAGCCCTTAGATTCCAGTACATCCTGCCTTGGTAGCTGACGTCACGAACGCTGTGACCTGTCCCTCTGCACTCCATCATAGCATCTCTAAAACGGAGGACATTTCCTACCTCAGCACAACTTCATTATCACAAAAGAGAACATTTTGAGCAAAAGTTTGGAAGCAGGCAAAAGTAGGGTTTGTTCTGGAATGGCATGAATGAATGAGTCATGGGCTGGACCCGGCCCCGCAGAAAGAGCAGAGGAGGCCGTCTCTGGTGTAGGAGTTGAAGCCAAGACTCAGCATGCAGGACAAGGAGCCCAGCCTGGTGGCATGGGCTGTGGCTTCTCCAGTGGGCCCATAGGAATGGCCCTGGGGCTGGGACTTGTGGGGACGGCGGCCACAAGAGGAGGATCTTCAGCATGGCCTGACAGCACCTGTAATGTAGGCAGGCAATGGGCTCCTCCAGGTGGCAGGAACACTGTGAGGAGCATGCAACGTGCTGGAGACCATGGGGCATGTGACCTCCGGGCACACCCTGGACAGACCTGGGTGAGAGGTGGGCTGGGACGCCAGGACGGTGAGGGGCTTCAAGGTGTGTTTGTCCTTTGTCCTTATACAGGTGACCTGCATGGGCGGGTGAGGTCCATCAGAATGCTCTAGAACAGGACAACTGAGGTCCCGGCTGCCCCGCTCAACACGCCATGATTCCTAGACTGCCCTGAGAGGTCAGGTTTTAAATAGGGTGTGGCCCGGCAAGGACCCTGAGGGATGTGAGGCCAGACAGCTCCTTGGTGGCCGCCTGCACGGGAAGCTGAGTGGCCCTTTGGAACAGGAAGTGCCTTGTCCAAGTTAACCCGGGCCCGGGCCCACCTTGGACTCCCTCTGGAGAGAACGGCTGGCCTGTTCGCCTCCTTTCTCCTTCCTTCCAAAATAACATGTCCAGGTCCCTTGGTAAGAATGCTGCAGCTGGGGTCAGTCTCCAAACTGGAGTTTGGTGGCTAAAATGCCCGCCTTTCTGCCCCCAATTTCACACATGGATGATGGTCCTGGTTCAGCAGGGAAGATTCTCTTGGACCCGTGTCTGCTGGTTGGGAAGTGGAGAAAGCCGCCCTGTTCTGCCTCCATTTTGAAACGTCTTTTCTGTTCGGAGGACTAAAGGAAGCCAGAGCTGGTTCAGATGTTCATGAGCACCTGTGCCAGCCCCTGCCCGTCACACTTGAGGACACCAAGGCTGTGGTCTGTGCAGTGAATCGGGGCAGTGGGGGGACTTCATGGTTAGAAACACAAGCTGGAGGCCGGATGCGGTGGCTCCTGCCTGTAATCCCTGCACTTTGGGATGCCTGAGGTCAGGAGTTCAAGACCAGCCTGGCCAACATGGTGAAACCCTGTCTCTACTACAAATACGAAAATTAGCTGGGCGTGGTGGTGGGCACCTGTAATCCCAGCTACTCGGGAGGCTGAGGCAGGAGAATCGCTTGAACCCGGGAGGTGGAGGTTGCAGTGAGCCGAGATCACACCATTGCACTCCAGCCTGGGCGACAAGAGCAAAACTCCGTCTAAAAAAAAAAAAAAGAAAAGAAAAAGAAACACAAGCTGGGCTTCCTGCTTCCCAGCTGTGTGGCTTTGGGCCAGTTACTCACTGTCTGGGTGCCTCCATGTTCTTGTTTCCTTATATAAAATAAAGTTCTTTCCTCGTGGATTGTCAGGAGGATTCTGTAATAATCCACAGGATGTGTTCTGCATGCACTAGGTGCTCAACTTTCCTGACCCCCGTCCAGTGCCCCCCTCACCGACCACGTCTGCCCTCTAAGCTGCCAGTCCTATAGGAGGCATTAAGACGTCTAGCAAGGCTGTGTTCTCAGATGCCTCGAAATGGGACCTCAGCCTTGGAGTTCTCTCCTCCCACATGGAGGCAAGTCACTGACAGTCATCTAGCAAATTGTATGCATGGTCAAGCTCAGAGGTTCTATTTTGGGTCAAAAAAGGCATGAGCTGGCTGGGCGCCGTGGCTCACGCCCGTAATCCCAACACTCTGGGAGGCTGAGGCAAGCAGGTCACCTGAGGTCAGCAGTTCAAGACCAGCCTGGCCAACATGGTGAAACCCTGTCCCTGCTGAAAATACAAAAATTAGCTGGATGTGGTGGTGCATGCCTATAATCCCAGCTACTCAGGAGGCTGAGGCAGGAGAATCACTTGAACCTGGGAGGCGAAGTTTGCAGTGAGCCGAGATCGTGCCCCTGCCCTCCACCTGGGGTAACAAGAGCAAAACTCCATCTTAAAAAAAAAAAGCACAAGCTGGATTTTGCCCTTTGTCGTGAGAGCATTTCATGCCTTCATGAAAGTCACTGCAGCTGTGCTTCAGGCAGAGGGCCCGGGATCCAGGTGGCGTGCGCTGCCTTCCGTGGCCCCTTCAAAGGGCAGCCACCTTCCCAGTGCCGCAGGAGCTCCTGGTCTGGGGCCACATGCTTGGAAGGGCCACTGAATGTGGTGAAGGGCTGGGTCCTGGTACTGAGCCTGTTGAGACTTCTGCAGGATTCACTGCCGTATGCCTGAGGAAGGCAGACGAAGGAAAGGACAGTGTGGAGTGCTCAGCAGAGTCCCCATGGTCGCACTTGGGAAGAACGCCCTGGCAGTGGACGGTCAGTGGTCACATGCACATGCGAGGCCCTCAGGACTCTGTAGGACACGACGTGGCTTCTCCACAGTCCTGGGGATCGGAAGCAGATGCAGAATGTGGCCGAGTGGCCCGGGCCAGGGCCTGAGAGTCTGCATTCTGACATGCTTCCCCGGTGGTGCTGCTGGTCTGGGAACCACACTGGGTTTAAGTAACTGATTTAAGTAACTGATGCGAGGAGGCCATGCTCTGGGGGAAGGCAGCTGGAGAGGAGAAGAATGATGTCCCCATGCCCCTTCCAGCCTCAGAGTCCTCTAGACCCGGCAGTGTGCAGGAACGGCAGCTTCACTGCCCATCCCCTGGGGTACTCCCTGCAGCCTTGGGCCCTGCTCCTGCAACGGTGGCCGAACGGTGCAAAGGAGGGGGCGGCCCAGTCCCTGCAGGCTGCCCTCAACCTGGGTTTGCTCATCTGTGAGATGGGATCACATGTATAATCCTGGCTACTTCACAGAGCCCAGGCGAGGATCTCATGGACTTGTGCATGTGGAAAAGCCCTGAAACTGAAAGATTCTAGAAACACCAGGATTGTGGTCACTGTCATTACTGGAGGGCATAACCCATTCCCCTGTTTTTCCTCCATGAAAGACAATCCCACCAAAACACGAAGGCCCTGCCCTCAATCTGTTTGTGTCCTTGGCATGGTTCAGCCTGCTCTCCCCATGGCCTGAGAGGAAAGCGTTAGCCAGGAGGGTAGTTGGAGGTGGCGGGAGGTAATCCCAGGAGCCCGTGGTGAGCTGAGGATATGGAGAAGGCTCATCTGGGGTGACCTGAGCAAGCACCCTCTATCCCAAGCCAGTCCCCAGAGGCCACGTAGGCCCCTGTTTCTGGATTAACTGAGCGGGAGCTCAATCAGGCAAACCAGGTTGCTTGGCACGGTGTTTGCCTTAAAGAAGAACAAGGTGGGCCAGGCGTAGTGGCTCACGCCTGTAATCCCAGCTCTTTGGGAGGCTGAGGCGGGTAGATCACCTGAGGTCAGGAGTTTGAGACCAGCCTGGCCAACATGGTGAAATCCCGTCTCTACTAAAAATACAAAAATTAGCTGGGTGTGGTGGTGAGCACCTGTAATCCCAGCTACTTGGGAGGCTGAGGCAGGAGAATTGCTTGAACCTGGTAGGTGGAGGTTTCAGTGAGCAGAGATCATGCTGCTGCACTCCAGCCTGAGCAACAGAGCAAGACTGCATCTCAAAAAAAGAAAAAGAAAAAAGAAAAAAGAGGAAGGTGGGCTGTGCCCTTCTGGCTCAGGCACTGATATTCAGGGGCCAGTACCAGGCAGATGAGCCCTGGGTGTTGGGCTCACATGTCTGTGGCCTGTCGTTTTAGCCTTGGGGCCAGGGGTAGCAGCCGTTTCTCTCTGGGCAAGGGGCTCATGAGGAAACGTTTCTGCCTTGGCAGCCCAGGCCACAGCTGTGCTGGCTGCAGACACCCTGGGCAGGCCCCGGTCGCTGAGGAGCCTTCTTGGGCAGGTTGCTTCATCTCTGAAGCTCAGAATCCTTTCCTGGAGCACAGATATCAAAATATTTATCCCCAGAAGCCTCAACAAACCTGTGCTCACCGCTGCTTTAGGCCCTGCAGCAGTCCCAGGTCTGGGCAGATGTTTCAAGTTCAGTGTGTGGGCTCTGGCTCGCTGGAGCTGGGCCCAGGGAACTGGCGCCTTGGGATGAGGCCCGCCATGTCCGAGCCTGCCCATGCCCCGCTGCTGCTGCGGCCGGTGGTCTTGGGGCTGCCTGCCAGCCTTCTCTCCTGGGAGCTAAGTGGGGACAGGTGCTGCGGGCCACGGTCCACGATGCTCCCTGCTTCCTGTTTGGTGGGCAGCCTGGGTTTTAGGAATGTGTAGAGCTGGAGGAGCTGAAAGAGCTGGGGCTCGGGATCAGGTGGTTCAGCTGACTCGGGAAACTTTGAGGCACCACCGCACCTGTCCGTGCGTGAGGGAGACATCTTCCTTGCAGGGCTCTGGGAGGATGGGGTGCTTCTGTAATGCCCAGTCTTGGGCCTGGCGCCTACCTCATATGGGTGCTCTATATAGCAGCAGGCGGAGCACAATTCTGCTAACGTCAGCAACAATCCTGTCTGTTGGAATAAACATGCAGATGCATCTGTGACCCCAGAATCCCAGTGGTGGCTCTGTCCCCGTCTCAGCCGAGCACTCAGCGGCCAGGGTGGCTGGACTCAGCACGGGGCTGGCACTGAAACTGGCAGTCACTGCTGTCAGTGCCCACAGAAAGCAAGAAGAGAATAGACAAATACCAGGCAGTGGAGACACTCCCTGCCCACTGCAGATTTATAATCAGCGAACATTTACTGAGTACCTGTTGTATGCCTTGAGGTGCTCACAGGGGAGCACTCGGGAGCCCATTCACTCGCCAGTGATGAGTGGGCACTGTGCCAGGTGCTGTCCAAGGTGGGGGAGCGAGGGGGTCACTGCAGGAGAGGGTGAGAAGGAGGCTGCATGCTGCACGACCCTCTGAACCCTGAGCCTGCCTGGAGAAGTGGGCTGTGCTGCGGGGACCCTGTTGGAGAGGGGCAGCATGGGGAGGGGCGGAGCCTGCCTGGGGCCTCTCATCCTGCAGCTGCCTGGAAGTTGGGCTCCTTCTGACAGTGTCCTCAAGTAGACGCGGGTTCTGGGGGTCTGGCTGGTGGAGGCCAGCTGGTGCTCCTGACTCACTGGCTCCTCTCCTTGCACAGTGGCTGCTGCCACCTGCCTAGGGAGTCTTCCTGGGGCTCAGTTCCCCTGACCCCCTGGGACATAATGCCAGAACTCATGCTGGCTGGCCACCCTCCCTCACGTGTGCTGTGCTCAGCCCGAAGTTGGTGCTTTCACCTGTGTGCTCTGGGCAAAGCAGGCGCAGAGGAGGCACTGGGATAGAGCGCAGAGTCCACCTGGGGCAGCCCCCTCCTCGTCCCGGCCATTGCCCCATGTTGGGGGTCTTCTGTCGGGGGAGGGAGGGTTGGAGCTGGGATTGGAAGGCCCCTCTGAGGCTCTTCTTCCTTCCTCCATGAGCCCTCCAGGCCCCACCCTCCATCCTGCGCCCCTGCCCCATCCCCACCCACGGCCAGGGCTGGCTGCTGCCCATTTTGGCCCCTTCCCTTGGGGCGTTGCTTCCAGGTTCAACTCAGATTCTGTCTTTTCCAGAAGATGTCTCTGTCCTTCCATGCCCCCAGCCTTTGTTCCTTGTCCTCCCCTGTCCCTGCACTCCTGGGGTGGGCCCTCCTGCTCCCGAGCCTCCTGCGTGGAGGCTGTGAGCTCCCTGCCACCTGCGTGGTCAGTCTTTCCTGCACCAGCCTCCCAGGACCCCTCCTGCCCACGCTCCTGAGAGATTCAGGCGCCAGTGCATGGGTGGGGCACAGGGGCTGCGGCAGACAGAGGGTGGTGATACAGGGGTGGAGTCCCACAGGCCGGATGCCTTGATACTTCTCAGCTGCAGGGCTGTGCCCGGGGCTCTGTGCCCCTGAATGAGGGCAATGGTTCCCCTGCACAGTGACCTTGTGAGCTGATTCAGGCCCCATGATCGTGATTAGCTGACAGCACATTGGCCCTCAGAGAAATGAAAATACACAGTTACACAGTAGCAAAATCCCACGAGCAGTCCCTCAGCTGGGGCAGGGACACACGGACTGTGGCACGTCCACACCAAAGAATCCTGCGTAGCCACAAAAAGGAACAAGCTGGGGATACATGTGACACCCTGGGCGCATCGCAGAGGCATCATACCAAGTGCAGGATGCCACAGCCTGCGCGATTCCATTTCTGTGACACTTGAGGAGGGAAACGGGATGGAACACAGGACAGGAGTGTCTGGGGTGGGACAGGGAAGGGCCCAGCTCTGGGTTGGAGCCTGGAGCTGGCTGGAAGTGCTGTGTCCTGATGTGGTGGTGGTATGCATTTGTCAAGACTCATAGACCTGGTTGGGGCACAGTGGCTTACAGCTGTAACCCCAGCATTTTGGGAGGCCAAGGCAGGAGGATTGCTTAAGACCAACAGTTGGAGACCAGCCTGGGCAACATAGCGAGACCCCATCTTTACTAAAATCAAACAACAACAACAAAACTCACAGACCTGTGCATTAAAAAGGGTACATTTTACTTTATGTGTTACCTTCATAAATCTGACCTAAAAATGATTTTTAAAGTCCCCCCTTCTAAAATATACTAATCTTTAAGAAACAAAAACAAAACAAAAAGCTGGCTGACAGTGGGTCCTACTACTAGCACATGGGCGTTGATGATGGTGATAATGTCTCTCGCCCATAAAAGGCCAGCTTGGAAACCTGAGCCCCAGCTGCTTATCGGCCTGTGTAGCCAGACAACCATTCTGCCACTCGCCAAATATTTTCAAATTTCCTTTCCGAGGCAGGCTGAAGTCCAGGTAAATATTGACCCAAGAAGGCGGATCACGCTTTGTGCTATATTTGGTTAATAGTTGGAGTCACTCCTAAGCTACTTTTTCAGTTGCTTTGTACAGGTGGGTTTGTTTTATGTAAAAAGAAAAGACACTTTAAAAAGCTGCGCATAAATCAGACATCATAAATGCAGTAGAAAGCCTCCCTATTTAAATGACTCAGCGAATCTTCTGATGAAACAACTGCCTCTTCCCCTTTAATGTATTTATTAATTTTTTTTTTCTTTTTTTGGAGACAGAGTCTTGTTCTGCCACCCAGGCTGGAATGCAATGGTGTAATCCAAGCTCACTGCAGCCTCAAATTCCTGGGCTCAAGTGATCCTCCTGCCTCAGCCTCTCAAGTAGCTGGGACTACAGGCATGTGCCACCATGCCCAGAGAATTTTTCAATTGTTTGTAGAGATAGGGTCTCAATTTGTTGCCCAGCCTGAGGCAAATTTTTAGATATATATTTTATTTAAGTGAGAGCTGTGACAGCAATGGCACAATACTGCCTCTGTCCTGGCCTGAGGCTCTCTTTGCCGCTGGTGGCCATCGTCTTTGGAGAAGCCGCTCAGCGTGTATTGATGGAGTGACCTCCCTGCCTCCCTGTCCAGTTGGGCTCAGGTACCCAGCTCTTTAGCACCCTCCCTCTACCATCGTGGGGCCTGCAGGTCACTGAGGGCTGGGAGGGCTGGGACCCAGGCCCCTGACTGGCCCCCTGTTGCAGCGTTGGAGAGACCACCTCAGACAGCAAGGACGGGCATGCCATGGGTCCCGGCAGCAGCTGTCCCTTCCTGAGGAGGGCGTTTGCCAGCTGACCACTCCCTGGTGATTTCTGCCCTGATCTTCCCTGGAGGTGGCAGGTTGGACGTGAGGATGAGGTCCCACCCAAGTCACAACTGTGTGACTGTCTTCCAAGTCAACAAACATCCTCCTGGAAGGCTGAGTGGCGGGAAGGAAAGACACCTGCCTTCTACGCCATGCTGGGCCCTGCAGCAGGCACTGTCCATGTCTCAAATCTCCCTCCCCGGGAAATCTAGGCACAGGTCATACTGCTGGAAGGCTTGTCTGTCTCTCCCAGTCTCAGGGCCAGAGCTTCCAGGAGCAAAGAGTGGTCCGGGCCTTTCCTTCTCTTTCTCCCACTCTATCTTATCTCTCCTCCTGCTTTCTCCCAGAAGACAAGTATCAGGGATGGAAGAGGTGGCCACGTGCAGAGCATGACTAATCAGCAGCTGAGTGGCACACACACAGGGGATCTCGCCTGAGGCCTGGGCCAGCATGGGGAAGGCCCCTGCAGGCTGCTGGGCACGGGGATGGCTCAGGGTCCTGGGCTGGGCTGGGCTAGGCTTGGGGGAGCCCGGTGTGTTGGGCTGGAGCTGGCCTCTGCTGTCGCTGGACCACAGTCACCCATGGAGGGCAGGGGTTGGGAACCTGCAGGGACAGCATCTGCCCTCTGGCCGGTGGGGGGTTCTTAGTAGCAGGGCAAGGGGAAGGCAAAGGGGGCCAGGCCCAGGAGCAGGTGGGTCCTCCTCACAGGAGCAGGGCAGGATTCGAGGAGCTCTGGGCTCCCACCTCCGAGCTGGACTCTGAGCATGCTGGCTCCCTCCTTCTTTCCAGGGCAGCAGCAGCCCCACATTCAGGACAGAGCCATCTGTGTAAGCAGGGCTCAGAGACCCTCAGACAGACAGGGAAAAGGAGCAAAATGTATTGTCATCGTCCAGCCTGAAATCTCCAGTGGGACCCGTCAGTGGAGCACGTAGCAGACACCCTGTCCCTCCCGTGCCCCCCGGCCTGTAAGGGCAGCTGAGGCCGTCTTACCTGCTGAGGGAGACCCCGCACTCCCTGACTTCCCGGGCTGGGTGCTGGCACTGGTGAAGGGTTTCGGGCTGTGAGCCTCTTGCCTTCCACTCAGACTGGGCCAGACCCGACAGCACCATGAACCAGAGCCGCCCTGAGTAGGGGCTGACACTGCCAGGCCAGCCTCATCCTGCTCCCGGCCATACCAGGTCCCACGGGGCCAATGGACCATTTCAGTGGATGCAGGGAGCACAGAGCATGAGTCGCACCTGGTGGACGGGCAGGTGTAGCAGGCCCTCATGAGAGGAACACCATTGACTTTCCCACTGGGTGAGGAAGGGACAGCTCTGTACCATTTCCCTCTGCTCAAACCCACAGGAGCCAGCCAGGGCATGGACACTCCCATGAGGTCACCTTTGCTGGTCTGTTCCTTGCGGGGCTGCTGAGTTCTTGATAGAGGTAACAAGCAACCCTGGGGCTCCCGTGTGCAGGAGGAAGGTTGGGGACTGCCTGGTTGTGCTTCGGACCCGGAGGCAGACAGAGGAGGCCTTTGAACTTGGCCTGAGCTTGTTGGGTGAAGCCAAGGACAGAGGCTGGGGTCTGAGTGAGGGGAGATGGTCCCGTGAAGTCAGATTGGCACAGATTCCCCCATCAGAGTTGGGAGGCCCCAGAATGTTCAGGAACAGCATGTGGCAGGGGTCATAACTGAAGCCAGACCTGAGTTACAATCCATTTACTCACTGTGTGTCCTTGGCAAGTCCTGCAAGGGAGGCACACTATCGGACGTCCCCCGTGGGGCTGGCATGCAGATTGAATAGGATACATGGCTGCACTCACCCCAGCGCCTGGTGTGCAGCAGGCCCTGTGCCAGTGTCGGCTGACGTCACTGTGCTGTGGGTGTCATCAGAGCCTGCATGCCACAGTCAGTGCAGTGGCACAGGGCCTGCATGCCACAGTTAAGGAGATTGTAGGCCCTTGGGGAGACAGTGGCAGAATAAGGGAGTCGTTGCCAGACACTGGACCAAGGCCCTCACAGAACCCAAGGGAGGGCAGGGGCATCCCCTGCTCACCGATGGGGACTGTCACCCTTAGGGAAGTTGGGGACCTGCCTGAGCTCACACAGCTGGGAAACAGTGAAGCCTGGATTTGCCTTCTAACTTTTTATTTTCAAAAATATGCAACATACACTAAACTAGAACCGTTTAATGACCCCTGCACCACCGTACCCAATGCCCAGCTTCAAGAATTCTCTCACAATATGTCATTCTTGTTTCATCTGTCTTCTGCCCCCTCTCCGCCTCTTCCCCTTCACTCCTGTCTGCTTCCTTTCACTAGAGTGTTTTAAAGCAAATCCAGACATCAAATTTCATCAGTAAATATCTCACATGCATATGAAATGCAGAATGTATCTCTAACAAGTAAGGACTTTTTTTTTTTTTTTCTTGAGACGGAGTCTCAGTCTGTCGCCCAGGCTGGAGTGCAGTGGCGCGATCTCAGCTCACTGTAACCTCGTCTCCTGGGTTCAAGCCATTCTCCTGCCTCAGCCTCCTGAGTAGCTAGGATTACAGGCACATGCCACCATGCTTGGCCAATTTTTGTATTTTTAGTAGAGACGGGGTTTCGCCACGTTGGCCAGGATGGTCTTGATCTCCCAACCTCGTGATCCACCCGCCTCGGCCTCCCAAAGTGCTGGAATTACAGATGTGAGCCACTATGCCTGGCCATAAGTAAGGACTTTTAATAATATAATACATTAAACATTCAGCAAAATTAATAATTTCATTTTAAAATAGCCTTACAGGCCAGACGTGGTGGTTCAGCCTGTAATCCCAGCACTTTGAGAAGCCAAGGCTAGTGAATCACCTGAGGTCAGAAGTTTGAGACCAGCCTGGCCAACATGGTGAAACCCCTCTCTACTAAAAATACAAAAATTAACCAGGCATAGGGGCGCACACCTGTAATCGCAGCTACTCTGGAGGCTGAGGCAGGAGAATTGCTTGAATCCGGGAGGCAGAGGTTGTAGTGAGCTGAGACTGTGCCAGCCTGGGTGACAGAGCGAGACTCCATCTCAAAAAATAAAATAAAATAAAATAAAATAAAATAAAATAAAATAGCCTTATAGAGGAATAACCAACTTACAACAAAGTGCACCTATATGAAGCATACAATTTGAGTTGCCTTTTTTAGAGATGGGGTCTTGCTCTGTCGCCCAGGCTGGAGTGCATTCGTGCTGCAGCATTGAACTCCTGGGCTCAAGTGATCCTCCCACCTCAGCTTCCAGAGTAGCTGGGGCTACAGGCATGTGCCACTGCACTGGCTAATGTTTTTATTTTTGTAGAGATGGGGGTCTCACCATCTGGCCCAATCTTGTCTCAAACTCCTGGGTTCAAGCAATCCTCCTGCCTTGGCCTCCCAAAGTCCCAGAGTGTTGGGATTACAGGCAAGAGCCGCTGTGCCCTGCCTACAATTTGAGTTTTGATGTGTTTCTACAGCCAGGAGGCACGTACTCAGGTTAAGACTGTGAACATATCCATTCCCACCTTTGAGATCCCCCCAGCCCCTCTTGCCCTTTCTAACCCAGGCTGCTGCTGATCTGCTTTCTGTCACTGGACATTAGTTTGCATTTTCAGGAATTTTATGAAAATGGAATCATACAGTATACTCTATGTTTGTCTGGCTTCTTTCACTCAGCATAGTTATTTTGTGGGTGATGGATGCTCTTGCATGGACTGGTAGTTCCTTTTTAGTGCTGAGTAGTATTCCATTGTATCCATTCACCGTAGTTTGTTTACTTATTCACTGGTTGATGGACATTTGGATTGTCTCCAGGTTTTGACTATTACAAGTAAAGCTACTGTAAACATCCATGTTCAAGTCTGCCTGGATAGCTGCTTTCATCTTTCTTAAGTAAATACTAGGAGTGGAATGGCTGGGTCATGTGGTGGTAGGTGTGTGCATAACACTTCAAGAGACTGCCAAACTGGGCTGGATGCAGTGGCTCATGTCTGTAATCCCTTGCGAGGCCGAGGTGAGTGGATCACCTGAGGTCAGGAGTTCAAGACCAGCCTAGCCAACATGTTGAAACCCCTATCTCTACTAAAAATACAAAAATTAGCCGGGTGTCGTGGCATGCACCTGTAATCCCAGCTACTTGGGAGGCTGAGGCAGGAGAATTGCTAGAACTTGGGAGACGGAGGTTGCAGTGAGCCGAGATCGCACCACTGCACTCCAGCCTGGGCAACAGAGCAAGACTCTGTCTCAAAAAAAAAAAAAAGAGAGACACTGCCGAACTGCCTTCAGAAGTGATTGTGCCATTTTGCATTCTAGCAAGGAGTGAGCATTCTAATTGCTCTGCTTCTCTCCAACCCTCTTTACTTTTAGCCATTTTGTAAGAATTCTTTATGTATTCTAGATACAATCCTTTATCAGATAAATAATTTACAAATATGTTCACCCATTCTGTGGGTTGTCTTTGTATTTTCATGATAGAATCATTTGAAGTATAAAAGTCTAAATATTTGATAAAGCCAGTTTATTTTTCTTTCATTGCTTGTGCTTTTGGTGTTGCATCTGAGAAACCATTGCTAAATCCAGGGTCATGAAGATTTATACCTATGTTTTCTTCTAAGAGTTTTATAGTTTTAGCTCTTACATTTAGGTCTTTGATCCATTTCGAGTTAGTTTTTGTATATGATGTGAGGCTGAGAGTCCACCTTCATTCTTTTGCATGTGAATATCCTGTTGTCCTTGTGCTATTTGTTGAAAAGGCTATTCTTTCCACATTCATTTGTTTTGGCAGCCTTGTTGGAAATCACTTGCCATGTATGTGGAAGTTTATTTCTGGGCTCTGTATGCTATTCCATTGGTCTATGTCTATCCCTATGTCAGTGCCACACTGTCTTGATTACTGTTGCATTGTGGTAAGTTTGAAATCAGGAAGTGAGTCCTCCAACTTTGGTTTTTTGTTTTTTTGTGTTTTTTTGAGATGGAGCCTCACTCTGTCACCCAGGCTGGAGTGCGATAGCACGATCTCGGCTCACTGCAACCTCTGCCTCCCGAGTTCAAGCGATTCTCCTGCCTCAGCCTTACGAGTAGCTGGGATTACGTATGCCCACCACCACTCCCAGCTAATTTTTGTATTTTCAGTAGAGACAGGTTTCGCCATGTTGGCCAGGCTGGTCTTGAACTCCTGGTCTCAGGTGATATGCCTGCCTTGGCCTCCCAAAGTGCTGGGATTATAGGCATGAGCCACTGAGCCTGGCCTTTTTGTTTTTTGTTTTTTGTCTTTTTTTAAAAAAAGATTGTTTTGGATATTTTGTGACCCTTAAATATCCATATGGATGTTAGAATCAGCTTGTCAGTTTTACAAAGAAGCCAGCTGAGATTCTGATTGTGACTGCATTGAATCTCTAGATCAGTTTGGAGAGTATTGCCATCTTATCCAGTCTGTAATCCATGAACATGGGATGTCTGTCCATTTATTTAGATCTTTTGTTTCTTTGAACAATGTTTCATTTTCAGAGAGTAAGTTTTGTACTTTTGTTATATTTATTCTTAAGTATTTTACTCCTTTAATTGCTATAGTAAATGGAATTGTTTTTTTGATTCCTGCTTTCAGACTTTTTATTGCAAATGTGTAGAAATACAATCGTATCTTGTGGCCTTGCTAAACTCATTTATTAGCTTGAAATTTTTTTAGTGGATTCCTTAGGATTTTTAATGTATGAGATTATGTCATCTGTGGATAGAGTTAGTTTTACATATTTCTTTTCAATCTGAATGCCTTTATTTGATTTTCTTGTCCAATTGCCCTGGCTAAAACCTCTAGTACAAAGTTGAATTGCAGTGGTAAGAGTGAACGTCCTTTCATTGTCTTGTTGCTGAGTTTAGGGGGAAGGCATCCAGTCTTTCACCATTAAGTATGATGTTAGCTTTGGGTTTTTCTGCCCATTGAAAAAAATTGAGTTTTTTGTTTTCTTATTATCAAGTTCTAAGAGTTCTGTATATATTTTTGATATAAGTCCCTCAAGAAGTATGTGCTTTGCCAATATTTTCTGCCAGTCTATGGCTGATCCTTTCATTCTATCAAGAATGTCTTTTGAAGAGAAGAAGCTTTAAAAGTTTGGTGAATTTCAAGTTATCACGTTTTCTTTTATGAATCATGCTTTTCATATTGTGCCTAAGAAATCATCATATAATCCAAGATCATAAAGATTCTCTCTAGTCTATTTTCTTCTAAAAGTTTTAGAAGGCTTTATATATTTAGATTGATATATTTATATATAGATTTAGGTTTATATTTCTATTTATAGTCCATCTTGAATTCATTTTTATATTTTTTCTGAGTTATGGATTGAAGTTCTTTTTTTTTTTTTTTTTTTTTTTTTGCATATGATAGCCAATTGTTCCAGTGGCATCTGTGGAAAGGCTGTCCTTTCTCCACTGAATTGCCTTAGCACTTTGTCAGACATCTCAAAATCTGGTTGTGTTAGTTCCACTTTGTCCTTTTATTTCAGAGTTGTCTTGAGTATTCTAAGTTTTTTGTATTTTCATATCCATCTATTTGTGGTTTCCATCTGATTTTTGACATAGATGATTATTGTTGTCTGTGAATAAAGACAAATCCTACTGAGACAGACTGAGACCATGTCTCATAAAAAAGAAAAAAAAAACCATTTCAGAATAATGCGTTAGTGTCCTAGCAACCTCAGCATGTCTGCCTTTAGCCAGCTGGGGACCCTTCAAGTGTTTCTTAGTGTTCTTCTGGCGTTTCCACCTCGTCTTTCATAGCTTTCAGTCTCAGGTTCAACATCTTCTGTTCCCAGAGTAGACTGGAATCGGCCTTTTAACCAAGGAGCTCTGGTTATTTTTAGTGGAAAATGATATTTGGAGACCACAGTTTGAATGCTAGGGTGCTCACTGTTCCAGGCCTCTCTAGGAAAAATGATTTTTTTTTTTTTTTTTTTGAGACGGAGTCTCACTCTGTCGCCCAGGCTGGAATGCAGTGGCACCATCTCGGCTCACTGCAACCTCCGCCTCCTGGGTTCAAGCAATTCTCCTGCCTCAGCCTCCCGAGTAGCTGGGATTGCAGGCACCTGCCGTTACGCCCGGCCAATTTTTTGTAATGGAAAAATGAATTTTTTAGAAATAGAAATAAATCATGAATTCATACCAATATTTCCACTTCAAAAGTTTTTGTTCAACCTTTCAATTTCATTTTTGTACCACTTTTATAGGAAGCTTGGATCCTAAATACAGTAACATAATT
Organism: Homo sapiens; assembly: GCF_000001405.40. NCBI lineage: Eukaryota > Metazoa > Chordata > Mammalia > Primates > Hominidae > Homo > Homo sapiens. Next base: position 17,530,740 of record NC_000017.11, on the reverse strand, counting down.
AATGTGTATATAGTCAAAATAATAATAATATCTGTATTATTAAATATTTTATCACCAACAATAGATTTACTCGATGCAGTCTAGAATCTTTCTGGTTCTTTTGTCCTCAGGCTGTGCGGCAGGAGGGAGGATTAGTCAAAATACTGTATTTCAAAATCACTTGAAACTTCTTATCTGTGTTTTTACCAGGTTTATTGATTGAGTTTTTGGATTTCTAGTAGTTCCTTTGTTCTCTCTCTTTTTTTTTGGAGACGGAGTCTCTCTGTCACCCAGGCTGGAGTGCAATGGTGCCATCTCAGCTCACTGCAACCTCCGCCTCCGGGGTTCAAGGGATTCTCCCACCTCAGCTTCCCAAGTAGCTGGGATTAAAGGCACCCGCCATCATGCCCGGCTAATTTTTGTATTTTCGTAGAGACGGGGTTTCACCATGTTGGTCAAGCTGGTCTTGAACTCCTGACCTCAGGTGATCCGCCCGCCTCGGCCACCTAAAGTGCTGGGATTACAGGTGTGAGCCACTGTGCCTGCCCTGTTCTTACTCTTAATTATGCAAAACATTTACATGGTTCCATAGTCAACAAAGGACATTTGTAAATGTCTGGCATGTCTCCTCCCTCACCTGTAGGTAATAATTTTGATCAGTTTTGGGTTTGTCCTTCCCCTGTTGCTTTTTGAAAATGTAAGCAAGTCTGTGTGTGTATCTTCCCCCAGCCCCTCTTCATGTCCTTATACAACAGGATGGGTGCACCTTCCGCACTTGCTTTTTTACTTAATGAATATATCCTGGAGCTTACACCATAGCAATAGATAGAAATCTTCCTCCTTTCTACAAGGAGCCCTTCTCCAGGGTGGGGCTGTAGCGCAGTTCATTCAGCCCCTCCCCCTGCCAGTGGACACTGGGGTGGGTTCCATCTTTATACGATGCTATAGGTAGTGCTGGAGCTAGAATTTGAACTCAGAGCCCATGTTCCTATTGCTCTTTCTCCTGTGCTCTGTGGGCCGTCATAATGGAGGAGGCGGGGAGCAAAACGGAGTGAAGAGGTTGAGCATGAGCACTGAGGCTGGGGGAGGCGAGTGTCCCCCGCTGTGCCATGGCCCCTCGGGTGTGAAGCTGGGTCATGTTGCTTTGCTGGGGCCTCGGGTGCAGGTTGTCTGGAAGTGGGCAGCTGGTGCTGGGACCTGCTCTCTGGCACTAGTGTGCTCACTGCAGGGCGAGAGCTTGGGTGCACCTTGGACAGGGATTGATTCACTGGACTAGCTGGTGGAGTGGGCAGGTCTGTTGATCTGTTGGAGACAATGACTGTTGGAGCCCTCGAGCAGGCTGTGTCACGTGGAAGGGCAGTTGAGCCATGTGCTGTGGGACGCTTTGGATGCTGCCCTGAGCTGCCACTGGTCCTATGTCCTGGAGAGGCCCTGGCCCAGGTTCAGCAGCACTGGCCAGATTGGGGCAGATCTGAAAGGAGCCAGGGCTGTGCACACCTGGCAGGACAGGTGGAACTGGGTGTTGGGAAGGGCAGGTGTGATCCAGGTCACCGGGCCGGCTGGGCCTAGCGTGTGCAGAGCAGAGGGGGCTGACACGGTGCGACCTCGGAGAGCCGCCTGTTCATATATGCACTTGCTTGCTGGCCCAGGGCCTGCCTAGCTGGCAGTGACTGGGTCCTGTGCTGGGCTCTGCTGAGCTCCCACAAACACACCCCATCCACTATGAGCCCTGGTGAGAAGGGAGAGGGGTCCAGGCCCCGCTGGGATGCGCGGTGTGGACAGCACTTGGCGTGCACATGAAGCTTATGTGACGGTATCACAGTGACCTTGATCTGGGGCTGGGGAGGAAATGCCTCGATGGGCTGTCCTCATGCTGCTGGGCCTGGGCCATCGGGGCCGGCCTAGGGGATGCCCAGTAGCCTTGGCAGCCTCAGCCATCCTTGTCAACTCCAGTGGGACTGGGGGATCCTGAATCCCACCTCCTGATGCCAGTGGAGCCCTGAGTTTCTGTTCAGAAGGCCAATGGAGGGCTGGGCTCCACCGCCTCTGAGGTCCCTGACCTCTCATAGGTTCTGGGGGGCCAGGGTGGGATGAGGGAGAGACAGGAGTCATGGGCAGACTCCCTGCTGCCCCGGGGACGTCTCACTCAGACATTTGTATGTCACCTACAGGTACCCTGGGGGCCTTAGGGCCCCTCCTCTCTTCATGGAGCCCAGCTAGTGGCCCCCTCCCTTCCTGGCTCCCTGCAAGGCGAGGGAAAGAGGAGAGGAGAGAAGGCCTCGGAGCGCTGATGTATCCATCATTCCACACAGACCCGTGCTTGTTGAGTGCCTCCTCGGGTGGTAGCCCCACGTGGGATTCAGCATAGTGCAGGCAGAGGTGGACACAGTGTGAACTGTTAGGCCACAGCCACATCTTGCCGGAGCCGCAAGGCAGGAGTTCAGGAGTGAGAAGGCACTGGCTGCGGCTCCTGGGGCTGGAAAGGGGGCCAGTCAGGCAGGCAGAGGGGTGGGTCCAGCTGTAGAAGCGAGATGGGGGCGGTTCGGGAGGCAAAAGCAGGAAGGCAGAAGGAAGCTTGGAGCTCATGAGCCCCTCTGTGCTGGCGCACGGCCCACGTCCTCTAAACAAAAGGGATGGGCTCCTTCAGTGGTTCCGTGGGCCCTTGGCAAAGCTCGTGGAAACACCAGCTCCTCCCCAGCATTCATTACCAATGCGAAGCACTAGCCCTTTGCTTGGGGCATTCTAGACCCCCAGGTGCCTAGGCTGGGAGCCCTGGGCCAGGTGGTGGGGGGGTCCTGGCTGTGGAATCCAGATGGGACCTACCACTGCAGCTGGGTATTAGGCAGATTTAGCCAGGGAAGGACAAGGTGAGAGAGGAGGAGCTTCTGAGAGTCCATCAAGGGCTGGCCGCAGAGGGGAGAGGCCTGGCAGCCGGCGAGCCCAGTGTGGCACAGGTCTGTCTGCCTGTCCTCTCCCTGGGGACACTGCTTCACAACAGACTTTCTTCATCAGCTTTGCCGGGGCCTGTCAGGCCAATAGCTTGGACTTAGCCTCTTGACTCTCACCCTTTTGCCCATTCCAAAACAAAACAAACAGCAGCACCGCCATGCGCCCATGTGCCTGGTGTAGTATCGTTCCAGGCATTTCATGGGCAGGAATTCGCTTAATCCGCACAGCAGCTCTGTGACGCAGTCGAGAGTATTATTAGCTCCATTTTACAGATCAGGAAACAGGCAGAGAGAAAGGAAATAACCTGCCCAAGCTCCAAGCTGCAAGTAGAGGAGCCGGTGTTTGAGCCCAGAACCTGGCGCTGGGAGCCACGAGCTGCCCTGCTGGGCACTGGGGTGGACACTTGCCCATCAGTCCTTCAGTGAGTGCGAAGGAGCCGTGTCTCACTTCAAAGAGGGATTTAAAAATTCTACCCTCACCGGGCACAGTGGCTCACTCCTGTAATCCCAGCACTTTGAGAGGCCGAGGCGGGCGGATCACCTGAGGTCGGGAGTTTGAGACCAGCCTAACCAACATGGAGAAATCCCGTCTCTACTAAAAATACAAAATTAGCCGGGCATGGTGGCGCATGCGTGTAATCCCAGCTACTCGGGAGGCTGAGGCAGGAGAATCACCTGAACCCGGGAGGCGGAGGTTGTGGTGAGCCGAGATTGCGCCGTTGCACTCCAGGCTGGGCAACAAGAGCGAAACTCCGTCTAAAAACATAAACAAAAATAAAAAACTCGACTTTCTGCGGCCTCACTTCAAGGATGCGTAGGAAATTTGAGAGACCAATAGGAAGTCTCTAGGAAAGGGTCTTGTTCCCAGAAGGGGGTCGTGCTTCTTGGGCCCTTACTGCATAGCTGGGCTGGTGTAGGCCTTGTGGGGTGGGAGGCTGTGTTCATTGCCAAGATTTGAGAAGCCTTGGCTTTTATGTGAAAAACGCTGAGTGTTTAATTGTTGATCCAAATATTTTAAACATGCTATGAGTTTGACCAGAACACATCTTGGGCTGCCAGTTACAACCTCTGAGTCCAAGGACACCAAGAATAGCACCCTGGAAAGGGCAGGGAAGAAGCATGGGTCCTGGCGTGGAGACAGAGGCCGGAGCTGCCACCTCAGGCCAGACGGGCACCACGGGCATGTGCATGGGCAGAGGCCGTTCCCATCTGAGTGGGACCCAGAAGGAAATCAGACACAGTCCCTGCTCTGAGCCACGGATAGGGGGAGAGACGGGCGCTCTCACATGTCCTGGGCCACATGCCAGGGCTAGGAGCCTTTCATCCCTCACCTGCTCTACCCCTCCTTCCACGCTGGCCGGGGATCGGGGTGGGGGGTACTGTCCGTCCTGTTTTTCGTACTTTGCAGCTGACTCAGTTTAGGTAGCGGGCAGCTGAGTGATTTGCCTATGAAGTGCTGTCGGCTTTTGGCGAATGTCAAGGCCAGGATGGTGTCCCTGGGTCTCGACCCCATTCCTGTTTTCCTCCCACTCCACTTGCCTTGGGCCTGTCTCTTCTGCCCTAGGGTAGAGGCTGTGGGTGAGATTTGCAAAAAAAGAAAAGGAGCCGGCATTTGGGGAGGAGACCTGTGTGTTCCAGAGCTCAGCTGGGAACTCCTTGCCAGGGTGTGGGAGAGGCTGGGCTACTGAATGGAGCAAACACACACCCAGGGCCCGGTTGCATTAGGGTTCCAGGTCAACAGCACAGACTGTTTTAGGATTAAAAGCAGTCCCATGGGACAGGTTGCACCAAAACATTGTTTGTTTGTTTGTTTGTTGTTTGATACAGAGTTTCGCTCTGTCACCCAGGCTGGAGTGCAGTGGCACGATCTCAGCTCACTGCAACCTCTGCCTCCCGGGTTCAAGCGGTTCCCCTGCCTCAGCCTCCTGAGTAGCTGGGACTACAGGTGCACACCACTGTGCCCAGCTAAATTTTTGTATTTTTAATAGAGATGAGGTTTCACCATGTTGGCCTGGCTGGTCTCGAACTCCTGACCTCATGATCCTCCCACCTCGGCCTCCCAAAGTGCTGGGATTACAGACGTGAGCCACTGTGCCTGGCCAGGTTGTTGTTTATCTGAAGCTTACATTTACCTGGAGGGTCCTGGCAGTGCCGGGGAGAGGAAATTTGAGCCAGGGTCACGGAGTGTTGGGCAAATGAATCCCCACTCTAGGATTCTGGAAATCTAGAAGACAGGCAAAAACCAGGAGCAGTGAGAGCAGAGTGCTGGGCCACGCCGCTGCCTACTAAGGGCTCACATGCATGGCCCTGGGAGGCGACTGCGTCCGGCACCCGCTCATTGTTGGATGAAACGAGCAGCTGGGCTCCCAGTGAGGACACGGTGGTGCTGCCAGGCAGGGAAGGAAGTTCTGGGAGTCCTGCTGGCTGCTGGTTTATCGATTGCCTCGGAATAACAGCCCCATCGAATACCAGTTCGCTGGGAGGCAAGGCGTGGTTTCCTCTTTTTCTTTCCCACATGGGTTAGTCTTGCTTGATGCTTTTCTGTTGTCGTTAGATTGTTCTGAAAGCTCATTTAGCATCAGCTCTTTCCGAGGCTAAGGGACAGGTGTGGCCTGGGTCTGTTGGGGGAGGGGGGCTGTATGGGAGGCTGAGGATGGCAGAGAGAACCCTTGAAGGAAAGGTTTTTGTTGTTTTTGTTTTTGTTTTTTGAGATGGAGTCTTGCTCTGTTGCCAGGCTGGAGTGCAGTGGCGCGATCTCGGCTCACTGCAACCTCCGCCTCCTAGGTTCAAGCAATTCTTCTGCCTCAGCCTCCCGAGTAGCTGAACTACAGATGCACACCACCACTCCCGGCTAATTTTTGTATTTTTAATAGAGACAGGGTTTCACCGTGTTAGCCAGGATGGTCTGGATCTCTTGACCTCATGATCCACCTGCCTCGGCCTCCCAAAGTGCTGGGATTACAGGCGTGAGCCACCACGCCCAGCTGGAAAGGTATTTCTTTATCATTAGGGAAATGCAGACCAAAGCCACCTGACACCCACTAGGATGGCTACAGAATTTTTTTTCTTTTCTTTGTTTTTGAGACAGGGTCTTGCTCTGTCTTCAGGCTGGGGTACAGTGGTGTGCCATCTTGGCTTACTGCATCCTCAACCTTCTAGGCTCAGGCAATCTTCTGGCTAACTTAATTTTTTTTATTATTTTTTTTTTTTTTTGGAGAGACAGGGTCTCACTATGTCTCCCAGGCTGGTCTTGAGCTCCTAAGCTCAAGCAATTCTCTCACCTCAGCCTCCCGAAGTGCTGGGATTAGAGGTGTAAGCCACCATGCCCAGTGTCCCCCACCCCTGAAGGCTATAATTTTTGAAAAGGGAAAATAACTGGTGTTGGGGAGGATGTGGAGAAACTAGAATCTTCATGCATTGCTGGTGGGGCTGGAAAATGGGGCAGCCACTGTGGCAAACAGTTTCACAGCTCTTCAATAAATAGATTTACCATGTGACCCAGCAATTCCACTCCTAGGTGTATACCTGAGAGCACTGAAAACACACATCCACAAAACACTTGGGCACGATTGTTCCTAGCAAGCGCCCGTATGTTGCTTGGCTTTGGCCTTGGTCACCGTGGACAGTGCTGCTAACGCAACCTAAGTGTCCATCAGCTGCTGAACCGGTGGACAAAATCTTTATATACTGGAGTCGTATTCAGCCGTAAGAGGGAATGAAGTGCATTTACGCACTGTGGCACAGACGAACCTTGAGAACGTTACATAAAGTCAAAGCAGCCAGACACAAAAGACCATGTAGTGTGTGATTCAGTTTATATGAAACGTCCAGAATAGGTGAATCCATAGCAACGGAAAGCGATGAGTGGTTGCCAGGGGCCGGCAGATGGGGGATGGGGAGGACGGGGTTTCTACTTGGGGTGATGAAATGTTCTGGACTTAGACCGTGGTGATGGTTGCATAGCTAAAAACTACTTTGAATTTTATCTCAGAATTGGAACAAAACAAAACAAAGCAGGCTGTGGTCCTGGGCCCCCGCGGTGCTCTCTGCAGACTGCTCCTCTTCTGCCCCCACCCCACCCCACACATTCCCAGCAAGGTCACCGCAGCCCCCTCCTCACCCCTGCAGCGCTTATTCCTTCCGCCTTTTGAGCTTCCCACAGAGTCAGCAGCGGCCACCTGCTGAGACCTGGACTAGGGCCTGCTTACCTTCTGGGAGAATTGGCTGCAGTGCCAACAGCTGGTTGAGGGGAAGGCCCGGGAGCTACCTCCTTCACTTCTCCTTCCTGTAAACTTTGGCATACCCTGCCCCCCGCCATCTGCTGCCCCCTAGCCTGCCACTGCCAAGGAGCTCTGAGGACAGGGGCCAGAGGACTCACTAGGGAGCCACCTTCTGGGAGTCAGTGGCCTTGAGGAAATCATCGCTAATCACTCTCCTGCCGCAACTGCTGGGAAAGGCAGGTCCACTTGGGAAGTGGAGCAGGCAGCAGTCATCGCTGGGGCTGGGGTGGAGGTAGGTGGCTGGGAGCAGGCCTCTGAGGCTCTTCCTGTGCACACACAGGCGCCTACTCTGGGCCCACAGACAACTTGCTCACATACCTAGAGCCCAGCCCCTGACCCCAGGCTGCATGCTTGTCTTTTTGCATCCTCCTTGCCCCCTCCCCTCCTCTCCGTTCCTTCCTCAGTGTGCTGGGCCAGGCCCGGGCGATAACCAGCTCAGGACTGTGGAAACAGCAGGCAGGCAGGAAGAGCTCCCTTCTCTCCACCGTTGGTGGCCAGATGTTGAGATTCCAGATGTGATTAGTTTGAAAAAAAACAAAGTAAAAGGATTCTGAGGCTAAAAGTCACTGTTTGAAAGTCTGTGCCTTGAGAAGAGCACTTGGGCAGAGGGAGGAGGGTGAGGGGTTTTCTTTGCTTTGCTTTGCGCCTGTGATGGACACTTTGTGAGGCCCCCAGCGGAAATTTGGGCCTGTGCTCTGAAGGCCGCGTGCTCCTGCAGCCATGGGCTCCTCTGGCAGTTCTGCTGGGGCCCTTTTAGAGTCTGTGGGATGCACTCAGCAGCTCCCAGGTAGGGCCTGAGGTCAGACCCCATGTGTCTCCCCAGGGACAGATCTTCTCCACCAGACGTCTCTTTCTGCCTCTTGGTGGGTTCATGGCTGTGTCTGGTTGAAGAGTTGTTTCCAGAAGGACCTTGTTGTCCGTCCAGATGAACTGAGCAAGTGTGAAAATCCCTGTGGAACTTGCTCTAGGGCAGATAATGTGCAGCTGGGGTGCATGTGGTTGTTGCTCCCGTGTAATTCTTCTTCTTTGGAAATGGGGGCTTTGGAGCCTGGGAAGCAGAGAGAGGCATGTGCTCCCCACCCCCACCCTGGAGTCTCCCCAGGAAATATCTCGTTCTTGTTCTCTGCTCACGGTTTAGGTTGCACGATGGGAACACAAGACCCGCAAGCTGAGCAGGGCCTTCGGATCCCCCTACCTGGCCTGCTACTCTCTAAGCGTCACCATCCTGCTCCTGAACTTCCTGCGCTCGCACTGGTAAGCACAGCTCTCTCACTGGGGAGCCACAACCCCTGGGCTAGCGGGAGGGCCGCTACTGGTGGTACCTCATCCCTCACCACGCGGGAGCCTTGTGTCTGAGCACTCAGGGGTTAGCTCTCAAAGCCACCTGCCACAGCAAGCCACCCTACCCCTCCCAGCCGTTTAGACTCTGGCCAGCAGAGGAGCCCCAGTGACCTCAGGAATGGGGGTATGTGAATGGGGGGCAAGGGACAATGCCTGGGTGGTCCCCAGGTCACATCCCAGCCTCTGCCACGTAGCCAAGGCTGTTTTAGGAGTCTCCTCCAGGAAGCGTCCAGTCAGAAGGTGGATGCTGGCTCGGGAGCCCTCAGGGGTCAGGCCTGACCATCTCTCCAGGTTAGGTTTGAATCAGCGTCAGAAAGCTTCTTTGAGGCCGGGCGTGGTGGCTCACACCTGTAATCCTAGCACTTTGGGAGGCCGAGGCGGGTGGATCACCTGAGGTTAGGAGTTCGAGACCACCCTGGCCAACATGATGAAACTCCGTCTCTACTAAAAATACAAAAATTAGCCGGGCATGGTGGTGCATGCGCCTGTAATCCCAGCTACTCGAGAGGCTGAGGCAGGAGAATTGCTTGAACCCAGGAGGCGGAGGTTGCAGTGAGCCGAGGTTGCACCAGTGCACTCCAGCCTGGGGCAACAGAGCGAGACTCCGTCTCACATTTTTTTTTTTTTTAAAAGAAAGCTTCTTTGCCCATCTCTGGACTTGGGACAGGCACCTTCCTGCTGTCAAATGAAAAGGTCAGAGAAGAAGAACTGGAACTAGATGATGAGGCACAGCCCACTGCACTTGGGAGCGAATTTCTCTGCCCAGACACCAGGCTAGACAAGGCCCACCTGCGTGGAATGTGATGGCTGCAGGCGACCTGGGGATGCAGGCTGTGCAGGGCAGCTGCCCCATCTCTGGGCCCCGGTCTCACCTCCCACAGTACCCTGAGAATCATTGCGCACGGCAGCTCATGGACTAAACATGGACCACGTGGTTCTCCAAAAAATGAGAAACTAGCTGCACCAGAGAATCCCCATTTTTGACTTGTCGAGACAGACCAGAAGTTCTGTGTGTGCCTGGCCACACCCCACGTGGAGCGCTCACTGGGGCCGAGGCACAGCTGCCCCCTTTGGATGGGGCGCGTGTAGCCTGGCTCTCCCCATTGCCCGTGGCCCCATCTCCGTCGGACCAGCCTGGCTTGCAGGCACTGGGTGCACACAGGAAGGGGCCTGCGAATGCTCCATGCCAGCACGTGCGGAGCCGGGGCAGGCCTTGCTGGTGGTCAGGCCCCTCACACACTCACCGAGGGTGGCCTAGGCCTTCCCCCTCCGTGGCCAGGCACCCTTGCTGCCTTCTCGTCATTGTCATGGCCTTGGCCACAGGAATGTGGGTGAGCAGCGTGGTCAGGGTCCTACTGAGGTCAGCCTTCCGCACTGGACCCCTGGCTCCTGGCCTTTGCTTCTTGGCCCTTTGGGCCAGGGCTGCCTGCTTTCTCTAGGCCTGGGTGGCTATCCCACGGTCTTGGTCCTCAGAGGGGTGGGTCCCCTGGCACCTGCCCTGGGTTGAATGATGTGAAGAGGCTTCCCCAGAGAGGGCTTTTCACCCCTCGGAGGGCAAGGGGTTTGGCCCATGGCACCGCCTCGGGGCCTGTGCGTCTGCACAGCCTGCATGCTTACAATCTTCTAGGCTCTCCGGCCCCAGGGAGCATTTTCACATTTATAGTCTCTGGGTAGAGAAGACTCTGACTGTGCAGATGGAGGAAGTGAGGCTTGGAAAGAAGCAATGGTTGCCCGAGGTTTTACAGCTCATGAAGCGCTGACCAGCATTGGAGAACAGGCAGCTTCCAGCTCAGCAGTGGCTTAGGGAGAAAAGATTCCATCCATTTAGGCCAGAGGAACCTGGCAGGCACCGGCACCACCCAGGCTGGGTTATGGGAGCATCAGGGGACGGGAGATGGGCCTCTTTCCTACCCATGCTGCCTCTTGGGCCACCGGCAGAGTGTCCCTCCTTACCCAGGATGGGGCCCTGGCTGCATTGGCAGGACAGTCAGGGGTCTGTGCCCTCCAGCCCCCAGGCATCCACACTCCCCAGCGGCCAGGAGGGAGGGGGCTGGTGCTGGCCGACTGAACGCTCAGAGCTTGGAGTCCCCCCACAGGAACAGCGAGGCTGAAGACAGGTGGAGGGCTGCAGAGGGTTGAGACTCAGCCCAGGGCTGGCACGCTGAGCTGTTCCACCACTCCTGCTCCCTAGAGCATGCCGGGACCACCATCAGGGCCGGCACAAAGCAGGAGAAGTGGGCTGCAGCCCACAGCGCACACAGATCCAGGAGCAGCTAGACCAGGCCAGGTGACTGCCCAGAAACACCGGCCAGCGCCACAAGGCAGCTGCCTTGATGGAGCCCCTCCTGCCAGCCCTGCCCCGGGAGCTGCTCTGAGTCTCTGCTGAGTTCTGATTTCCTGCGCAATCTCATCTTGCACTAGAAACCCCAGAGGCTTCCTTGAGTCCTCCCCATCACCTCCCTGCTGGTCCAGCAGCACAGCCTGTGATCTGCCTGACCCTGGAGGTCTGCCCCCGTCATCCACCCCTTTTCAAGGCAGAGAGTAGAGGGCCCTGGAAGGGGTCATCCTTCCTCCTCCAGGCCCCAGCCGAGTGCTGTGTGTACCTAGGAGACCAGGGGGACAGGCCCACCCACAGCCCAGTTCCAGCCGTAGACAGCAGCAAAGCACTGTCTGGTTTGTTCTTGGATCCCGGGGCCTGGGAGTCCTCCTGGGGTAGCTGGAGGAAGTCAGCTTCTTACAGATGGTGGCTCCCAGCTTTCCCTCCTCTCATATCAGCGTTGGCCTCACCTGGCATCTGCCCAGCCAGCAGGGCCATGACTTTTGGTTGAACTGGCCACCCCTGGATTTTGGGGAGGAGAGAAAGGATGTCCTGGGCTGCTTTTCTCCTCTCACCTTTTGTGTTCAGAGGCAGAGGTGTGCCCTGGTCCTCACTCTCTCCCCCACTGTTCTTCCCCTCCAGGCCCCTGCCTGCACCCTATCCTGCCATGTCCCTGGTGACCCATCCTTCCCGCCCACACCTGCCAGTGTGAGGCACACAGGTGGCAGGTGCTGGAGCCGGACCGGGCTGTTGGGCCAGGCTCTGACAGGACCCTCGGGACCAGCTCCTGCATACCCCACACCCCCACACCCTTTCCCATGCATGCCTCGCTTCAGTGGCTGTCTAGAGGTGGGTATTCTTTTTTGTGCAGTAAAATAGACATAACATAAACTGTTATGAACCATTTTAAGCTTTACAATTCAGTGACATTTAGCAGCTTCCCGATGTTGTGCAGCCCTTCCTCCTGACTAGTTTCGGAGCTTTTTCCTCACCCTATAGGCCTGGAGCAGTCATCTCCCGCCCCCCAGTCCCTGGCAGCACTCGTCTGCTTTCTGTCCCCATGAGTGTGCCTGTTCTGGACCTTTGGGGTGTGGCATCGTTCTCCATGGGAGATGGCAAGCTTTGTGGGGTCCAGGCTGTGCTCAAAAGCCTCTGCACCCAGCAGGAGTCGGTTGGTGGGCAGAGAACACAGGCACGTGCTTGAGCCAAGCCTGGGTCATGGATGGGATGTCCGAGAGGCCACCAGCAGCTGACCTGCCAGCGGGTCCCAGGGGAGAGTAGGTCACTATGTTAGCAGGTCTGCACCAGCAGTGCATCCAGAGGTGGTCAGGGGAGGCCCGGGGCAGGATGAGCCACTGTTATCTGGAAGCAGGTGTGCTCCATCCAGTCCCGAAGGGGCCATTAGCACAGACCTGTTTGCTCTGGCTGTGGAGTGTGAATGGGGAGGAAGGCTGATGGGCTCCGGGGCACTTGTTGAAGTCCCTTGCCTGAGCTGCCCCCTGCACAGCTGAACTTGGCCAGCTTTGGCTGGACCGCTACCCTCTGATGAGCCACAAGGCTGGTCTCGAGAAAGCCCACGGGGGTGGGCGAGGCGTGGATGGCCAGGCAGGGCTCGAACGGGCTTCACAGGACTGGGCTGCAGCCCTTCCTCCCTCCTGGCTGTGGGAGGAGACAGCCGAGCTTGTTAGGGCATCAGCGAGCTCCTGGTGTCGTTCACCAGTCACGGGATGGAACTGTGCTCCAGCGCACATCGGAATTGCCTGGAGTCTCCCAGGGCTCCCTCTGGGTCTTCTGAGGGGAGAGGCTCCTGTGTGCTCTGGTGTGGCGGGCACAGCCAGGCTAAGAAGCTGCATCCTGGCCTCGGAGTGTGGCTGTCGATCAGGAATCTTCCTCAACCTGGAGGTATTCCCAGGCTGGGCTAGGAGGCACCTGGAGGGGCAGGGTGGTCTCTGGAAGGTGGTCTGGGTGGGTGGGGTGCAGGCGGAGCCCTGGCTGAAGAAGCCTTACGACCAAGGCCTGGAGGAGTGAGCCGGCTCTTCAGATGGCTGGGCAGGGCCCATGAGTCCCAGGAGAGGGCGGCCCCCACTCACAGGCTGGGCAGCAGGGGCAGGGCAGGTGGGGACTCACCTCAGCGCTCTGTATACTAGAGGCCGTGGGGCAGGTGCAACCCTGTGGGACACCAGACTCACCCCAGAGCCCCTCTCCCCTAGGGAAGTCTGTTTTCAAAAACTCCCTGATGATTCTGAGGCCAGGCCTTTGGGGACTGTGGCCCTGGAGGAGGCTGGCACAGGTGGCCCTCTGTCCTGGTGACTACATGTCCTGGTCACTGCTGCATCCCACCCAGTGCCTGGCCGGACCTGCTCAAGGATGTGGTCAGGACAGGCCGGGGGTTGAGCGGCTGCATGAAGGAGGGAGGGCATGGAGCTGATGGGACAGTTTGCTTCCGATGGAGCAATGGAGGGCTGGGCGTGTGCAGCGTTCCATGGCAGAAAAAAGCGACTCCTGCTGTCTTGGCAGAACAGGCCAGAATTTTTAAAGAGTCTGTGGACTGGGAAGCCAAGTGTATTAGTTTCCTTCTGCTGTGTAACAAATTCCCACACACTTAGGGCTTAAACCACACAAACTTACTATGTGACAGTTTCTGTGTCCAGGAGGCTGGATGCGGGGGCGGGGTCTTTGCTTAGGGACTCCCCAGGCTGGAATCAAGGTGCCTGCTGGGTGTGAGCTCACCCAAGGCGTGGTCCTCCACTCTTTCGGGTTGCTGGCAGGACGCGGGTCCTTGAGGCCCAGCTCCTGGTGGCCTCCCCGCAGCACAGCAGGCAGCTCTGTGGCTTTGGCTTTTGGTCTCTCTGGCTTCTAGACCCTTTTGGAAAGGCCTACCCAGGGTCACCTCCCTTTTGATTAACTCAAGGCCAGCTGATTAGGACCTGAATTCTATTTGTGAAATCCCTTCACCAGAGTGATTTCCTCGAGGCAGGTGCCTGGGGTAGCCACTGGGCGGGGTCCATGAGGGCAGCTGGAGAGTAAGGGGTGGGGGGACACTTAGGACAGGGAAGCTGGCATAGGCTTTCCTGGGCACAAGGGCCCCCAGCTGCTGGGAAGGAAGGAGGGAGAGGGGCTGCAGTTCGGCAAGAGTGGGTCCAGGCCCTGGTAGACCAGGCTGGTCTGGCACCTGAGGGGCTGTGGCTGGGAAGGAGGGAAGAGGCACCCTCCCCATCCCCAAAGCACACACGGCCAGGAAGTCTGGAAGGAGAGTGGGTGTCAGCCTGGGATTCCCAGGTGCTAGGGGTGCTGGGATACTGCTGCCTGTTGTCCTTGGCCTGCCCGTGAGGCTTGAGCCTATCCCACTGTTTACAGGTCGTGAGGAGGCAGGAGAGCCATCCTGCCCCTCCTGCTTTCTACCATCTGCTTCCCTGTTTGTAAAACAAGACAGACTCTCTCTCAGCTATTGATGGGTTCTGGAAACACTTTGGAAAGGTGACGTGTTATTCAAATGCTCAGAATTAGTGCAGCGTCAAAGCCCGAAATTCAAGCCCTTTGATGGTCTCGGGGGTTGCATAGATGAACATTTTTTGTTTTAGTAGTTACATGCTTATTTTAATATGTCTTGGAAAAGAAATGAGCCCATCAGACGACTCATTTCATGGCTAGCGTCGTGTAGCTGAGATGGAGTGGAAAGAGCGAGTCACTCCAAGCCTGGGGTGAAGGATGTGGAGTACATGGCACTCAGGCCACACATGGATGTGGACGACGTTGCGGAGACACCCCAGGATGATCAAAGTCAGGGAAGTGTTTCTGGTCGGCTGCAGATAGAAACGGGACAGGCCTGTCCCAGGTGGGGCCGTGTGCCTCTGGCCTGGTGTGTGGCCCAGGACTGCTGGCTGGGGACAGGGCGGGGACACTGAGGGCAGTGATGCCCCCTCCCCACCTCCACCCCAGGGTTTCCGGGATTTTATGGGAGCAGAGTGCAGACAGCCTCAAATCACATTAATGACTGAAGGTTCAATCCAGGTCTTAAAAATAGAACCCAAGGCAAATGAATGAGTCTCCGTTCCCCACCCCTAGTGCGGAATACTTCCAAGGGAAATTGCGTCCTATATTACCTCATTCTGTTAGGGAGCTTGTGGTCACAGAGCTACTCATCCATCCACTAATTTTCCCTGTGGAATGGACGGACTGTGCTTTCCTGGCTTAATGGAGGAGCTAGAACACTGTCGATTGCCTAATTCGGGCCATGAGATTCCAGTAAACCTGGAATCTAGAATCAGAGTGTATTTGACTGGGTAAGGGGCCACTTGGTGAGAACGCCAGGGAGGAGCTCAGCCCAGTTCCTCTGCCGACTCTGAGCAAATGACCCACAGAGCATTGTGCCAGGAGCCAGCCCAGGCTGTCATCTCAGAGAAAGGAAAGGAAAGGCCCCAGGACTGGGGCCGTAGGCGGAGGAGCAGCTGGGGGACTGAGGGTCAGGTCTGGGGCAAATCTGGGGCCTCTCCCACCCGCTCCCTGGCCCCGGATCTGCCCTTCATCAGGAATCTGCTTCCAAGCAGATCTGATTTGCCTACTGAGCCATGCCCCCAGGGAAGCTGGGCCCTGAATGAGCTGGGCTTTTGGGCCACACCAGAGGGAGGAAGTTCCCTTTCATCTGCTGCCTGCTTGTGTGATGCAGATGAATTCTGGCAGAGGAACCCTGAGCATGGGGTATGGACCCAGGCCTGGCTCGGGTCTCCGCAGGAGGGGGTAAGAGCGACAGAGTCTCCGTCCAGAGTGACCCTCCAGCGTCTCGGGCCTGGCCTCTGCGCCCACCCCCTATTGCAGCACCTGGATGGGTCTCCCTGGTTCTGCATTTTCCACAGCAGGCAGAGTGCATTCCAAACCCTGCCGGGCCGAGGCCTGCACCTTCCCTGCTCCATGCCCTGCCCCAGACTCTAAGGCACACCTCCCTGCTATTTCCTCTTTCTGGAATGCTCTCCCCTGTTCGCCCCTCCCAACCCCTGTCTGTTTTCTGGTCCCCACTGCAGTGGCAGCCAAGGAGCCAGATGCTTGCAGGGGAGCCATGCTCCTGAGCAGGGCCGGCACCCTTCCTTTCCCTCCCACTCCACCATCTGCAGGCAGGAGAGTGGAGGGTGCCAGGCAGGGGAGAAGGTGTGCCTGGATCGTGGCACCACACTGGGTGTGCATGTGGCCACCTGATTCCATGGCAGCCCGTGACCCTGAGCCAATCCCAGAGGCTCGGCCTGGAGCTGCGGGGTGACCCTGAGCCCGGGCAGCAGCAGGATCAGGGCAGGGCACTGGTGGGTGGAGAGCTGGGGGTATGGGCAGCATGACCGGCAGTGGGTTTGCCCTGACACCCGAATGCCGCTGTTTAACAGGTCGGTGTGCCCGCCTCTGCCACCGGGTCCTGGTGGCTTTGTCCACAGGCCCTTCTCCCTTTCTCCCTGGCTCCTTCTCTGCTCTTGGGGATGGGAGGAGAAGGAAGGAGCGGCTACTGCTTCTCTCCAGTCGATGAATATGCACTAAACATCCATTCTGTGGCCTGGGCCAAGTGCTGGGGGGATACGCAGGGAAGGAGGAGCAACTTCTGTTCCCCAAGAGCTCCCAGTCAAGCTGGAGGAAGGAGTTCCAGGGAGGCATAAAGACATGTCTGTATGTCCTTAGCTCAGCATAAGGAGTTTCACAACAATCTGAATTCACCAATGAATGGAACGAGTGGATGAAGATGGGGGCTTCAATCTGCTTGAAAGAGCCTAGCAAACAAAGATACTTCATGGTGGATGGATGGATGGTTGTGTGGGCAGATAGAGGATACATTGATGGATGGAAGGATGGATAGCTGGACAGATGGATGGATGTGTGGGTGCATAGAGGATAGATGGATGGAGGAAGGATGGGTGGTGGGGTGGATGGTAAGCTGGCCCTGCTGGGAGATGCCGTCTACAGACTGGGTGTGAAAGGCGCTGCCCTGCGTGAGGTAGCAGATCTCCATGTCTCTTCTGTGTTGTGATTATTGTGAGCATGGGAAGAGCACATTTGGTCACACATGTCCGTGCTCCCACACACAGCCTTTCCTGTGAGTGTGCCTCTCATCTAGCACCCAGGGCCCCCTTCCCACCAGCGCCCGCTCCCCTGTGATGAGGCCTGGGTACATCAGCACATGCCTAGCCCCTGTGCCCTCCCTGCACCAGCCCCTCAGTTCTCCGGAGCCAACTGGAGAACCTGAGCCTCTAGACCCACTGCTGTCATAGTCACCCCCTTTTGGTCACGCCACTGCCTTTTCTTTTTTTCTTTTTTCTTTTGATACTAAGTCTCGCTCTATTGCCCAGGCTGGAGTGCAGTGGTGTGCAAACTCCGCCTCCTGGGTTCAAGCGATTCTTGTGCCCCAGCCTCTCAAGTAGCTGGGATTCCAGGTGCCCACCACCACACCCAGCTAATTTTTGTATTTTGGGTAGAGACAGGGTTTCACCATGTTGGCCAGGCTGGTCTTGAACTCCTGACCTCAGGTGACCCGCCCACCTCGGCCTCCCAAAGTGCTGGGATTGCAGGCGTGAGCCACCACACCTGGACCCCACTACCTTTTTACAAGGCCTTCAGTGGTTTGGCCCCAAAGGGAGCCTAGTGGGGGAATTCAGGTGTGGAGGAGGACATTAAGGGCCCCCAAAGTGCCTTTAAATGCAAGTCAAGCCACCCAGGATGTGGCCAGACCCACAGGGGCTGTGGAAGCGCAATCCCTAGCACAGAGCATGCCCCAGGCCTCGGGGCACTGAGTCTGTTGGGGAATGGGACACCTGGGCCTGCCCTGCAACCTGGCACCTGCGTCTTTCCTGAGCCTCACTTTCCTCCATAGTATGAGTTGCTCATTGGACAGGATGAGAGTTTGCAAGCTGGTGGCCTTCGGGCTGAATCCAGCCTGCTCACATGCAGGGTCTAAAGTGGCTTTCATGAATTGTCTATTTCTAAAAATTAGGATATTTCACATACGAGTCAGGATTTCTGGCTTCTCTTGAAAAAATTTAAAAATCTGACAGGCCTGGGCCCCTCCCTGTTACTGTCACCCACCTCCCAGGTGGACTGGACCCCACCTGCTGCCTGCCTGGCCTGGCAGCCCTGGGCTGGCTACTCTCTAAGGGTCCCTGGGGAGAGGGCGAGAAGATGAGGTCGGCCTCCTCCCGGGCTGTGACATCCTCCCTGGCCATGACGTCCTCCCTCTCCATCCCCTGCCCACAGCTTCACGCAGGCCATGCTGAGCCAGCCCAGGATGGAGAGCCTGGACACCCCCGCGGCCTACAGCCTGGGCCTCGCGCTCCTGGGACTGGGCGTCGTGCTCGTGCTCTCCAGCTTCTTTGCACTGGGGTTCGCTGGAACTTTCCTAGGTAAGACCCTGAGGGCTGGGGTGACCCTGAGCAGGACCGCTGGAGCCCCAGGGAGGTGCAGGGCCAGGTGGCTGCTGCCCTGCTATCCGTGACATCGGTGGGAGTGCTAGGGGCCCCCTCCATCGGGGCGTCTTTGCTCCTCCAGGCCTGGCTTGTCTGTGGTTAGAACAGGAGGCTGGGCTCCAACAGCTCCTCTTACCCCAGCGTGCTGAGCGGCTGCCTCCTGGGGAGTGAAGGCAGCTCCTGCTGCTTCTCTCCAGCTAATGAAGATGCACTCAATGCCCGTTCTGCGGCCCGGGCTGGGTGCAGGACTCCTTGAGTCCAGCTCCAGCACCAGCTCCCCCTTGCAGAAGACTCTCAGGCCTTGTTGCACAGAAGCCTGAGGTGGTGGTGAGTCAGCCACCTCTCTGGCAGCTCCCGGCACGCGTGGCTCTCAGGCCAGGCAGGATTGTGGTTTGTGCCGTGTTTGGCCGCAGGCAGGGCTGGTGTAGGTCTGGGGAGGGGTGAGGGGTGGAGGCACCTTATCCCTTCTCCATTTCCCTCTGCCTGTGGCTGAGGTGCTTTCAGGCTGTGAGCCCAGTGCTGGCCTGGCTAGACGCCCACCAATGACCCTGATGATGGCAGCAACTTCCAGCTCCTTGGAATCTGGGAAAGAAAAGCAGCCATGGGAAAGGCAGTAGGGGTCGGGGTGGGAGGGGAGATGGGGGCAGGGGTGGGGGACAAGAGGGGGCCTTCGGAACCTGGAAGGAGAGAAGGAGGCAGTCCCTGTCCAAGGGGAGCCCCTCCCAGTGAGCAGGGAGTTGGTCCAGCTGGCCGCATTGCCCGCTCTCCGTCATGGGTGGGAAGGCCCACGTCTTCCTCCCCATCAGCCCTGGCCAGTGCAGGAGCTTGGAAGTCACTCGGCTTCAGTGGCCTCAGTAGCCTCCTGGGACCAACGGTGTCCTGAGGAGCTCCCGGGCCTGCCTGCCATCCCCATCCTCAGATGCCGGCTACAGCTCCTTGGGCCCAGCCCCCAGGGCACCGTGGGCTGTCACAGGGCACTCCAAGTTCTCAAGGAGCTTGTGCCTGCCAGTAGGGGTCCCCCCGAGGGAGGAAGTGGCATCTGTGGGTGCAGCATTCTGGATCGCCCATGGCCAGGCCTCTCTGGGACTGTGGGGGGCACCCACAGGCAGTTCAGTGCTTCCTGCTCAGGCAGACGCTGTAGGGAGTTTGGTCCAGGAAGGGGGACAGCAGCCAGGAGCGTCTGGATCTGCCAGGTGGGGGCAGGTGCGGGCAGGTAGGAAAGAGAAAAAAGCCTTGGTGCAAGGAGAGGGAGGTTGAGGGCAGAGTAGCTGGCAGCTGGAGGTGGGGGGCAGCTGGACTGGCCGCACAGGTGCTGTCGGTTGGGACAGGGCAGGAGGATGAGCCGAGGCCTTGAAGGCCATCCAAGGGGCTGAGGCTCCATCCCCAGAGAGGTGGGAGCCATAGGGGGGGTCCCAGCAAGGAAGAGGTTGGACCGATGGAGCCAGGATCAGAGGTGGGGCTCAGGAGGAGCTGTGGAGGGGCCCTTCCAGGATGTGAGGGCGGTGAGGGCCCCATGGGAAGGGGGACTCCGGGCTGTGCAATCAGGTCCTGTGGGAGACCAGCGGCGGGGGCCCTCCAGTGGCCAGTGCTCGGGTGGATCTGGACAGGGAGGGCTGCAGAGGCAGCGTAAGGAGAGCCAGGATGGTGGGTGGAGCCCCTCAGCAGTGGAAGAACAAGCTGGGGGTCCTGGACAGTCAGAGGGAGGGAAGGAGCCTGCAAACACCAGTGGCCACAGCCTCCTGGCGGCCCTGCCAGCAGACATGGCCTAGAAACACCGAGGACCAGCAGCGCGGTATGTAGGCAAAGGTGGTCACTTCCTGCTGTGACTCAGCTCGAATTGGGTTTCTGTGCCATCTACGCACACCCTGTGCCCCACTTCCTGCTTCCTGGGAAGAAAGAACTTTCCAGTGGTCCTGGGCCCTGCCCCGTGTCCCCAGATGGTGATGAAGCTCCTGGACCCCTCCTGCCCATGCTGCCCATTGTCGGGCAGCTGCCCTACTTTCCGCCTTGGATGAAGCTCCATTGTCCTCTGGGAGGAGAGACAAATGAGGGGTTTCTGGGGACAGAAGGCTGGGAGGAACGAAGCCACACCCTTTATGGAGCGGTTACTCTGTGTCCAGTGGGACTGTCCTCTGTGGGCCTGGGACAGACACTGTGACTGTGACCCCGGCCACTCCCTTATGGCTCAGAGCAGCTCTGCCGGGGGACGCCTTGTGGCTGTGCGGCTGACGGGTGCATGGCTGGCCTGTCTGGAACAGGCTGTTCAATAGTCACCCTCTCTCCACTGGGTCTAGCTCCTCTGGGCAGCTGAGTGAGAAAACAATACCAGAGCTGACCTCCCAGAGCAACGGGAGGCGTGCTGTGGCCAGGCCCTGGTGCCAGAGCCACACAGCCTGGGGTGTGGAGCAGAGCAGCCCTTAGCAACCAGCTGAGGCCCCTAGAGGGAGAGGAACTCACCAGAGCGAGGAAGAGTGGGAGGTAGGACAGGAAGAGGAAGGGTCTGCATAAAGAGGCGCCATGAGCAGAGGGCGAAGGGCCTGAGGAGGAAAGGCGCTCTCTGTACAGAGAGCAGGGAAAGGCATCGCAGGGGAGGGAACAGCGTGTGCAGAGCCAGGAAGAAGAGGAAGGCCAGCATGGCTGGGTCAGAGTGCTCGAGAAGAGGAGCAGTGGGGCAGGGGCGGTGCTCAGCACCTTAGTCCTTAGGCCCCACGCCCTCTGCTGTCTGCGTGCCTGTTGGGTCCCTCTGACTCTGCCCATTGTTGAACTCTCTGAAGTCTCCTGGAGGGCAGGGCCCTGTCTCACCTGCAGGTCTCGCCACAGCCCGCTCTGGGGCCTCCCTCAGTGATGGTGTGGCCAGGGCTGATGAATAGCCGAGGGACCCTGCCTTGCCTCATCCACAGGTGATTACTTCGGGATCCTCAAGGAGGCGAGAGTGACCGTGTTCCCCTTCAACATCCTGGACAACCCCATGTACTGGGGAAGCACAGCCAACTACCTGGGCTGGGCCATCATGTGAGTACCAGGCTTGCCACCCCTCTGCCCTGCTGGCCACCTCCCGGAGAGGAGCTGGTGCAGCTCAGGACGCGGGGGCCAGGGCCCCTGGAGAGAGAGAAAGGAAGAACGTGTCATTTGTGGGGGCCTAGGCGCCCTGGTTCTCCCTTTCTCAGAAGCGTCTTATCTATGGTAACAGAAACAACATCCCAGAACAGGGTGGTCAGCTTCTCCAAAGAGGGCTGGAGTGTGGAGGCTCAAAGGCTGCAGGCAGGTCACAGCTGCTCAGCCCTGGTCCTGCCACACAAAACAGCTGCAGACGCAGGAAAATGGATGCGCGTCTTTGGCGCCAGCACAGCTCCACTTACAGACACTGAAGCCTAAATTTCAGATTCTTTTCACGTGTCATGAAACATTCTTTTTGATCCTTTTGCTTTTAACCGTTTAAAAATGTAACAGGCGTTCTTGGCCCCTAGGCCGTAGTTTGCGGACCCTTGTGCGGGGACATCAGGGCTGGGACCACCCGACCCATCTTCCCCGCAGGAGGGGTTGGCCAGAGCCGCCAGGGCCCAGCTCACCCGCAGCTGACAGAACTCCCTGTGCCCCAATAGCCTCTGCCCATGTGGCAGATACCCCTTCCCACAGAGGGGGCCCCGTGCCATGAGGGAAGCCTAGAACTGCTGTCGGCCTCAGCCAGGTACGGGTACTGACAAGGTATGGAGATGTGCTCCCCCGGCGGGTCAGAGGACCTGCGGTCAAGGATGGCACAGCGGGCGCTGCCCTCGGCTTCATACCCAGCCCCCACCCCAGCAGTTCTAGTTTAGCCATTTTCTTCCATAGAAGGTTTTTTGGCAGACAGTGTTCCACTGCTTTTGTTTAACACTTGAAAACCACTGGCCTAGAATTTACAGGTTCTCCACAAGACCTGAGGATCCCAAAGGAGTGAATCGTAAACAGTGAATGTCAAGCGCAAGATGTTGCCTCCTGGCTCCCACCTTCAGCAGTTGGGACCGTAGCAGCGGGGGTTGGAGACAGCAGAAGCTAGAAGGGGGGCTGTGGGTCTGGCTGGGACCCACCCTACCCCCACCCCACGTCCAGGCCAGGCAGTCCCCAGGGACACGTCCTACCTGCCTTCTAGCCTGGTCCCTCTGCCTGCTAAGGCCCAGACTATGTGCCCCCAGGCTCACCGGCCATGGAGCACCCCCACTGGGGCCACAGGATGAGCCCAAACTCAAAACAATCCCCCCCACCCAGGTCGTCCCTGCAGGCTTAGGGTTCCCAACACACCTGGCTCCCCCCTCTCCTCTGTGTGCACAAACACATGCATGTATGCACTCACACACTGTTCCCTCGCCTAGAACCCTCCCACTTATGCCCCTTGTCAGTCCTTCCAAACCCAACGTCAAGTGTTCCCTCCTGCACGAATCCCTCCCTAACCCCCCAACCTTCGGTGCCTCCCCAGTGGCTTAGTGTCCCCAGCAGTGTCTTGTGCCCTGGAGTGAGAGTCACCCTTGGGCTCGGGGCAGCCAGGCCAGGGCTCTGGGGGACGCATAAGCCGCCTCCAGAGGACATCAGCCATGCAGCGTGCTGAGAGATGGCATCAATGGTCCAGGAGCTCATTAGAGATGAGCCATTATCTGGCCAGACGCTGACACAGCGGGGACCCCCACAGGCCTCCCACGGCCCATCTGTCTCTCACCTGCCAGGGCCCCGGAGATGGGCTTCCAGGTGTCTGAGCTCCCCGGCATGTAGGACCCCAGCAGGCTGTGTGGCAGTGAGCCCGATGCCAGGGGACAGATGGCAGAGGTGGTGGCCTGGCTGTGAGGGACAGGTGGGCCTCCTGCTTCGTGTTGTGCAATCAGGGACTCCTGTCCCCCTCGGCGCCCACAGTGGGGTCGCTGCTGGTTGCCAGGCCTGGGGTTGGAGCCTGGGCTTGGATCTTTGCTTACGTCTGCCCTGCCTCCTGCAGCTCCCAGACAGGCAGACCAGTGTGAGGTCCAGGGGTGGAAGGCAGTGGGCAGGGCAGAGGGTCCCCACGGGGTCCACAGGTGTCCTCCAGCCCTCACCTCGATCCAGCCCTGCCTGAGGTTCTTGTGATGGTTTGGCTGGGGAGGGGGCAGCTTGGCACAGGGGCAGCCAAGGAGGGCACAGCCCCTGGCCCAGGCCTGCCCATGCGCCCTCTGTGCCCGCCAGACAGCTCCTTTCCTCCCTCTCCTTCCTCTCTTCCTCCCTCCCTCCCTCCTCCCTGGCAGCAGCCCAGCACCTGCGGGAGCTGTGGGATCAGAGGTAACTATAGAAATAGATTGGGGGACAGCTTGACGGCAGCTATTTCTGGAAACCCAAAGCAGCTGCGCCCGGGCTCCTTGGTGCCGTCACTGACGAGCTGCCGCTGCTTACTGGTGTGGCGGGGTCAGGAGCTGGTCACCAGCAAAGAGCCCCTGGCGATGCTCCATCCGGCCTTGGGCCTGCTGTATGCTCTGCCTGGGGCCTCCCGTCCTCTGGGCTGGGGTGACCGGGGGCTCCTGGGCGTGGGGCTGCTGTCCCACCACCTGGGAGAGCCCAAGCTGGGCTAGGTGTTGAGGGCTGGGCGGGGCGGCAGCTCCTAAGCCCCCTTCCCCACAGCCAGATCCTCCCAGGGCGTGGCCATGGGGTTGCACCTGTGGCCAGGGGCTGGGGACTCAGGGTGGACCAAACTGGCTTTGGGGGACCCTGGACTCATTTCTAGAAAACAGCCTTTGTTCCTCAGAGCATGGTTTCTGGGAGACGGGAGCACTTTGCCCCAGAATCTCCTCCTGTGCGGGAATGAACAGCCCTAGCCACTGGGACTCTTCCGCCTGGGGCTGCGTTCCCAGCTCTGGGCTGGCGGCTGGAGACCCGGAAAGAGTGAGCAGGCCCCACCCTGAGGGAACCCAGCCAGGCCAGACAGGCAGACAATGATGATAAATGGATCAGGACCGAGAACATGGGGACCCTGGTCCTGGCACAAAAGCCAGACTCAGGAAGGGGCAGTGCTGCCTGGGCTCGGTCGGCCCAAGTGGCCCAGCGTCGGCCGGAGGGCCAGGGTCACGGCAGGAAGGGCCAGCCTGGGCAGGTGGGCCGTGGCCCTGAGAGACCCTGGCTCCAGCCAGGCCTGACCTGCCTCTGTCCTTTCAGGCACGCCAGCCCCACGGGCCTGCTCCTGACGGTGCTGGTGGCCCTCACCTACATAGTGGCTCTCCTATACGAAGAGTGAGTAGGGGCTGCGGCGGGTGGGGGCGTGGCTGCCCGACTGGCCCTGTCTCTCCCTCTAGAACCTTTCCTTGTGGCCAGGGCAGGCTCAGGACAGGCTGCCGTCAGCCAGGCCCACTCCAGGGCTCCCAGGTCAGAGCGGCCATGGTAGCTTACAATGCGGCCTGCAGGACCCAGCAGGCAGCCGGCCCCTCTCCCCTCCCCTCTCCCGCCTGCGCTCTGAAGGCTCCAAGTCAGTGTTGCCCCAGTGGCTCTGGGGGATGAAGGGGATCCCGGTCCCATCTGGACACCCTCAAGCTGATGGACGCAGAGCTCTGGTGCGGGCAGTGGGTCACCCCCAGGACCTGCTGACCGAAGCCTCTCCCCGCTGCCCGGCAGGCCCTTCACCGCTGAGATCTACCGGCAGAAAGCCTCCGGGTCCCACAAGAGGAGCTGATTGAGCTGCAACAGCTTTGCTGAAGGCCTGGCCAGCCTCCTGGCCTGCCCCAAGTGGCAGGCCCTGCGCAGGGCGAGAATGGTGCCTGCTGCTCAGGGCTCGCCCCCGGCGTGGGCTGCCCCAGTGCCTTGGAACCTGCTGCCTTGGGGACCCTGGACGTGCCGACATATGGCCATTGAGCTCCAACCCACACATTCCCATTCACCAATAAAGGCACCCTGACCCCAACATCTGCTCCAGCCTCTGTCTGTCTGTGTGGGGAAGGAGCAGGCCTGGGGCACGAATATCAGGTCAAATAGCTCCCGAGCAAGGCTGGCTCCAGCCTTTCTGTCTTGAAATCTCAGAGCTGAGGGGTGGGCACCTCTCTCCAGGCCTCCCAGTAAGGTACTTAGGAGGCGTCAGGGGCTCACCTGGCCATGGCCATGGTTTCATCTCCAGGAGACTTGGTGTCTTGTGTCACCTGCTCCCACCCCTGCCCCAGCACACCCAAGACAGCCCCTCTGCTGCCTCTTCCCTTGGAGGATCCAGCCCCGTGTCCGTCAGCATGAGGGTGGAGAGGTGTGGGCATGTTGTCCTTGGCCACCCCAGTCTAGCTGGGCAGATGACACTGTCATTCCTAAATGAATGGCCTTGTGCTGACCAGCAGCTGGACACATGCTGGGCACCCTATGTGTCTGTATGGGGGTGAGGGGTGGGCCCTGCAAGGGTAAGCCTCATCTGGGGGAGGCAGGGCACAGTGACCAGGAGTGTAGGCTCAGCCATTGCCACTGGGACTCCTGAGGTGGACAGAGGGGACACCCTCCCCCTCTCCTCCTGGCATCCATGCCGCCACTTCCTGTTTTCATCCCAGTTCTGCTGCTGGTGGCAGGGTCACCCCTCAGCCCCCAGGACTCCAGGCCCCCTGACTGGGGCAGGTCGAGGACTTCTATGCTTGGTGGGCTTTGGGGTGATTCTCCCCGGGGTGCTAGAGGCCCTCAGCCCTTCAGCTTTGGTCAACATTATCCCTCAGGGTCTCTCTGTGAGCCCCGAAGGCCAGTCAGGGGCTCCCGGAGGCCGTGTGGGGATTAGGGTTCTGCGGGGAGAGGCCTCCACCTGTTCCAGCCCCTCTCCTCTTCCACCTGTGACCTCAGGCAGATCACCGCCCTCCTCCAGCTCCAGGGGTCCTCAGTCAAGCTCAGAGACAGTGGCCGAGGGCCGGCTTTCCCTTGACCTCCCGTTACTTTCGCTCAGGGCTGCAAAGCCACGGCCTGAATGGATATTTACAAAGCGCCCTCAATCCAGGATCTTCGTGCTCACACCGCCAAGATGGGGTCCCGGGCCGCATTCCTGAGCCTTCCAGGCAAGCCTGGCCCTCTCCTTGGAGGGCTGGAGGCGGGTGCAAGGAGACTCACCCCCCAGCACAGGAGTCCCCAGGCCAGAGCTGTCAGAAGCCACAGGGCTTCCGAGGAGTGAACCTGACCCTTTCATCACACGGCCTCTTGTCCCACTTCCTTGGCCCCCAGGGCACATGGTGGAGGCAGGGCTGCCAGCCCTGAACTCCTCTTGCCCCAGCCCCAGCCCCAGCCCCCTCGCCCCTGGACCTGGGCAGGTTCCCCAACTTCCCACTCTGCATATGGAGGTAGAGTGGATGATGGTGCCAGGGTTGCTGGGCAAGGCTGACCCTCACCTGTGTCTTCGCTATCCCAGGTGCCCAGTTGACCGGGCCCCACAGCCCAGGCAGGTGGCCTTCAGGGTCTGGGCCACAGAGCCTCTCCATCCCTCAGCTGTGCTGGCTCCTTCTCTCTCTGGGCCTCCTTCCCTGTCTCCCCAGCCAGGATGCTCGGCCTGGGATCCGGGCCATGGGTGGGAGGTGCCAGAAAGTCTCAGCCTGAGCACTGCTCATGTTCCTAGGCAGTTCCCTGCTCCCCACCTCCACTCCCCATCAGTCCCAGCCCCCACTGGGGGGCTTTATTTTTAGGTACCACTTACTCAGCACCCAGCTGTGTGTGCAGCCGGAGGAAGCCTGGTTCCCTGGCAACCGGCCTGGCTCAGTCCAGTGGGCCCCTCCCCTCAGGGCTCCCACCTCCTGCCCACTCCCCACTCACCCCTGCGCTTCACCCTCACACCACCCCCCCTGCCAAATGCAAATGGGGTCAGGACACCCCCTCAACCCCCTGTTGTCCTCAGAAGGAAGTCTTGGCCCATTAACCCTGGGGCCCAGGACTTATTCTCTCCCCAGAGCCTGTCCCACCGCGGCCTCCTTCCCTCCATCTGGGCTCCTGCGATGTCTTCAGGTCTCAGATCACCTCCGCTTATTCCTGCGTCTACTCTCGCCATTCCCTCCACCTGGACACCCCTATCCATCTATCCGTCCATCCATCTATCCGTCCATCCGTCCATCCATCCATCCAACAATATTGAGTTAGTCCTTCTATGACACAGGCAGGGGACTCACTCAGCTATGAGCATGGTTTTCATGCCCTGCCCTCAGGGGCACGCCACCCCTTGGGACAAGCCACTGCAGGATGGGGACAGGGCGGGATGTTTTCCTCTCATCGCTGCCATGATCGATCTGCGTCCTCAGGCTCTGCAGAATCATTCTCGCTGGTGAGGTGAGTTTTGAAGTCAGATCTGGGTGTGAGCAGGTGTCAGGAGGTGAGGCAGTGGGGTGGGTGAGGAGCCTTCCCGCCCAAGGGAACAGCATGTGCCACGGCTGTGGTGGGCCGACCCAGGAGAGGGTCCAGGGCTCCCGAGTGTCCCTTGCAACAGGCAGGCCTGGTGAGGGACTCAGGTTCCAAGAAACAAATGAAGTATGGGAGGAAAGTGACAGGTTCCCCTTGGCTGCAGGGTGGAAACAGGGTCTCCTACTGTGAGGAGGCCCCCAGGGTGGGGAGGCCCCTACAGAGTTGTTCTGGGCAGTGGTGATGGTGCTAGGCCCTGGACAGAGGCGTGAGGTGGGAAGAGGGAACATGAGAGATGTGTAAGGGGGAGAATGTCCAGGATTTGGGGATGAATGGGGAACAAAAGGGTAGCCCCCATGGTGGGCGGGTCCAGGGGAGCTGGAGAGATCCTGAGTCCCTCTGCAACAGGCAGGTGGCTGCCGGGTGTCGTGAGAGGGCTGGGCTGGAACCAGTACCTGTTCATCAGGGGGCGAGATTCACGCTTCTCAACCTGGAGCACACAGTCCTGCCACCTGGCCAATTTTATGGTTTCATTTCTATTATAATTTTAACATCTTTACTGAGATATAATTCACAAGCCATACATACAATTCACCCATACATACAATTCACAAGCCATACACACAATTCTGTGAGTTTTTGTTTATCCAAAGAGTTGTGCAAGCATCACCACAATCATGAAAACATTTTCGTCACTCCCCAGAGAGACCCCTGTACCCCTGAGCTGTCACCCCCGACTCCTCTCCAGCATTAATCGCCACCAAGCCGCTCTCTGTCTCTATGGATTTGCCTCTCCCGGACACTTCCTATAAATGGAAT
Organism: Homo sapiens; assembly: GCF_000001405.40. Classification (NCBI taxonomy): domain Eukaryota; kingdom Metazoa; phylum Chordata; class Mammalia; order Primates; family Hominidae; genus Homo; species Homo sapiens. The sequence goes on along the minus strand of NC_000017.11, from coordinate 17,502,311 downwards.
CACGGTATTTGTCCATTGGTGTCCGGCTTCTCTCACTCGGCACTGTGTCTTTGAGGTTCAGCTGCGTAGTGCCATGCCTCAGCACTCGTCATTTTTACTGCTGAACAGTGTTCCACTGTGTGGATGGAGATGCTGTGTTTATCCATCAGGCAATGGACACTTGGGTTGCTCTCACCTTCGGGCTGTTGTGAAGAATGCTGCTGTAAACACTTGTGGACAGTTTTTGTGTAGACACGCTTTCATTGCTTTTGGGCAAATACCTAGGTGTGGAATTGTTAGGTCATATGGTAACTCACACATTGGACCCACTGAGGAACTTCTAGCCTGTTTTTCACAGCACGTGCATCTTCTTACATGCCCACCTTGATGATAATTTTTTATTTTTATTTTTATTTATTTATATTTGAGACGGAGTTTTGCTCTTGTTGCCCAGGCTGGAGTGCAGTGGCGCAATCTCAGCTCACTGCAACCTCCACCTCCCAGCTTCAAGTGATTCTCTTGCCTCAAGCTCCTGAGTAGCTGGGATTACAGGTGTCTGCCACCACGCCCGGCTAATATTTTGTATTTTTAGTAGAGATAGGATGTCACCATGTTGGCCAGGCTGCTCTCGAACTCCTGACCTCAGGTGATCTGATCGCCTCGGCCTCCCAAAGTGCTGGGATTATAGGCGTGAGCCACCGCGCCCAGCCCCGATCATTTTTTTTAATTGTCAGTGTACTCTGGACCCCCTGGATGGCCACCTCTCATGCAGTCCTGCCATTTGGGATTGGCTGGATTGTTTCCTTGGGGAGAAATGGTGCATTTCCGTAGGTGGGGGGCCACTTATGATGCAGCAGTTCCACCCTGGGTCTCCCCACAGACACAAGTGCCTGGGAGCACCAACTAACACCCATCCCCACTGCATCCTGTCTCCTGAAACCCCCAGCATTCGCCAGCGGGACAGTGGACACACACGTCGTGGCTTAGTCACGCAATGGTCTCCCCTGCAGCAAGGAAAGGAATGAGTGGCCGGTACCTGTGGAAGGATGTCGTGGACCTACGATGCATTGAAACCAGACACAAAAGGCAAAACGGATCTACGGTGGTAGAAGCCAGTGTAGTCGGCAGAGGCTTAGCCAGGTGAGGGCGCGAGGGAGCTTTTCAGAACTGGAGGTGTCCTGTGCTTGGATGTGGTGCTGCCACAGGTGTGCACAGAGGGGAACCTTCAAGCTGTAAACTTTCCATCTGTGCACCCTACTATAGCCAAGTCATATCAAGTTGGACCATATAAAGTTGCCAATACTGCATGTGACCATTTCTAACTTAGAAAAGCAGTATTATTCAGCCGGGCATGGTGGTTCATGCCTGTAATCCCAGCACTTTGGGAGGCCGAGGAGGGCAGACCACGAGGTCAAGAGATCGAGACCATCCTGGTCAACATGTGAAACCCCATCTCTACTAAAAATACAAAAAACTAGCTGGGTGCGGTGGCAGGCGCCTGTAGTCCCAGCTACTCAGGAGGCTGAGGCAGGAGAATCGCTTGAACCCGGGAGGCAGAGGTTGCAGTGAGCCGAGGTCATGCCACTGCACTCCAGCCTGGCGACAGAGCGAGACTCCATCTCAACAAAAAAAAAAAAAAAAAAAAGAAAAAAAGAAAAGCAGTATTGTTCTGTGATTCAGACTAGTATCCTAAAAACTTAAGAGAAAATGGAGCAGTGTGAATAGTATGAACCAGAAAATGATCAGTGACAACCATCACACAGGAAATTTTGGAAGGGACACATGGCAGTGTGACCTGTTTTCGCTAGGGTGGTCAAGTGGGCCTCTCTGAGGAGGTGGCATTTGAGCCAAGACCCAACTTCAAGAAGAAGCAGGAGGGAGGAAGAGCCTCCGGGCATCGGGAGTGGCAATGCAAAGGTCCTGAGGTAAAATACAAAAATTAGCCAGGCATGGTGGCATGCACCAGCACTCCCGGCTACTCTGGAGGCTGAGGCAGGGGAATCGCTTGAACCCAGGAGGCGGAGGTTGTAGTGAGCCAAGATCACACCACTGCACTCCAGCCTGGGTGACAGAGCGAGACCAAGGAAAGGCATGGTGTGGCACTGGGCCAGACGGACACTGCACACACTGACCCTGCGGCCCCTCATGTGTAAAATGGCCATCATAGTCATGACTGCCTTGTGTATAAAGCAGGTGCTCAGGCAGTGCCTCCCTTATCACCCATGGAGCTCCTCAAGGTTTTCTCTTTGCTTTCTAGAATCCAGAATCTGTCTCAGGGCTTGAGGGGCATGAGAGGCGTCCGGTCTGACCATATCCAGTGCCTCCGTCCTGCTCCTGCTTGCACAGGTGCTCACTCCCTCCGCCAGCACCTCTGCACACACGGCCTTTGAGGACATATTGCTGATGGATGGGCTGAGCCGGGCAGCAAAGCTCCGTGCATCCTGACCCTTGGTTCCTGGGGCAGAGCCGGGAGCCTTGGGCTGAACTGGCTTCTGCTGGAAGGGTCTGCTCTGTCGGGTACAGAGCTCATCACTGATGAGGAATCTACCAGAGTTAAAATCTCAGCTTGATGAGGGGAGCCTGTCAGAGGGAACGCAAAGCCAGCTCTATTTGCCCCTTTCCTCCTCTTCAGGAGGTGGCGTACCAGGGCCACACAGGATAGAAGCGTGCCTCAGGGCCTCCTCTGTCCAAGGCGCTGGTAGAGATGGGCTCTGGCCGCACGGGCCAGCACGGCAATGCCCAGGCCCGAGGGTGCTCTGGGTTCCTGTCACCTGAAGTAGCCACTTCTGGCCTTTGTGTGGACTCTGTCTCAGGACACCACAACAGGCAAAGCTCTGATGGGGTGCCCAGCATTCTCCTCTGGCCCAGCTCTCAAGAACCTTCTAATTGCTCTTTGCCCTCAAATGAGGCTGTGTGGCTGGCATTTCCTGCCTGGGGCTGGTGGGGGGGGGGTGGGTCCACCTGCCCACCCCCAGATCACCCCCGACATTGTCAAATATTTTAAACAGTTCCCCTCCCCTCTAAGCAGCAAAATTGCTGCACTGCAGGTAAATACTATTTACAGACAGGCTCATAGCCTCATATACGCTGTTTGTTGTCTCATGCCCCAAACACACAGAAAACAGAATTATTTATTGCATACAGCATGGGACTGTGATCAACCTGGACATCAAATGCCGCGATGGCTGACAGGGCCCAGGCGGCGGGAGTGCTGGGAAGCCCAGTACACGTGCTCCCTCTCTGTGGGACTCCGGGATCCACGGGGCGGATGGTTCTGTGAGTTGCGAGTTGTTCCTGTTTGTCTTCCAGCCCCCAGTCCTCCCCGGCCACTCTGATTAGCCAGCCTAGGGTAGGGCCTGGCATAAAGTCACACAGGCAAACCCCAGAAGAAGGAAAAAGGGCACCTGCATGAACAAAGAGCTGGGTGGCAGAGGCTGCACCGGGGTAAGACTTCCTTCATGCAGTTGGGAGTCCGCCCATGTGGGGACATCAGGAGATGCCACCCCACAGAATTGGTGGCTAGGCTGTCCTGGGTGTGGCCGAGAGAGGCCTGATCCCAGTGCTTCTTTCATTCTGGTCCTTTCTGAAATGGCTTGGGTTTTTAAAAAACCATGAGCATTTATTACTTTTGTAATAAAAGGAAAGAGATGCCCTTTTAAAAGAAAAGACGAGGGCGGAAACAAGGAAGTTGGCTTGCTGCTTGAGGAGTAAAGTCCCAGAGGCCACCTCCTTGACAGGAGGCGCTCTGGGGCATTCAGAATGGGAATGGCAGGTGGGCCTGGGTCTTCACAACCCAGCATCCGTAGGGCAGACGGCCATGCACAGATGGTACCAGGAATCACTGTGGCTGAGGACACAGGCTAGATCAGTGCCTGCCAGTGTCATGTTCCTGATTTAAGGGGCCAGCCTGGACACTGACCAGGGGAGAGCTGGGCTGTGATCCTTGACCCTCGGGCCCTCCACTCATATCAAATGGACCCTCTTGGGACTAGAGCCCCAGGAGGCAATGGCTGTGTGGGGTCCACCTTCACTATAGCCCTGGCCATCAGTCATCCCAAGTTAGAGCCCGGCTGCCCATGCAGTGCCGCTGTGGGAGGCACAGGAAGGCGGTGCTCAGTCTGAAGGTGGTTCAGGTCCGTACCTTAACTGAGCCCCCCCATGTACCCTCAACTGGCTCCTTTATGCAGTGAACACCCTGCACCACTGCAGCCCTATATCCAGGGCTGCGACTCAGTTCCTTCTCCCCTTCTCCCAGACTCTGGCAGACATACCTCAGATGGGGGCAGGAACCAAGAATGGCGGGGCTCCAGCCCCAGCTAGCCTGTCGGATAACTGCTGCATAAGTGACACCAGGAATCAGAGCCAGGCCAGGGCCACTGATGAGCCCTTGGATGCTCACTGTGTGATGCGTGCATTTGAAATATCTGACAGTAAGAGTGAGGCCTGGGAGAGATGCAGGGACTCTGAGGATGGGGGCCAAGCTGGGCTGAGAAACAAGTTAGTGGTGTCCTGCAGCAGCCCCTACAGCAAGTGCCAGCGTGGGAGGGAGGTGGGTAGGCATGGGGTGGGTGGTATGGCACTCACAGCACTGCCTGCAGACCACCACCTGACAGCTGGGCCGGTGGTGCCAGCTAATGGCTCCCTAGTTTTCTCGTAAGTCAGACGTGGCCAAAGCAAAACACTGAGCACACAGGTTGCCTTGAGGAGCAGTGACTGCCTCAAGAGCTCAGGGCTGAGGAGCTGGCTCCAGACAGCCTGTTGCCAATGTTCAGCAACATCACCCCACTCCTGGTTACTGATCGACCTGGTGTGCTCTTGAGAGTACCCCCACCAGGCCTCATGGGTCAATACTACTGTTATTGTTGCTATTGTTATTACCAGGCCCCGCCCTCCTAAAGCATTTGCATATTTTCATCCTTAATCACAGAACCAGAATCAGTATCTTCCAGAAGAGAAAACTGAGGCCCAGGAGAAAGCAAGAGGCTGTGCTGTGCTCCCAGGGCCTTCCTGGCTCGCTGTGGCTTTGAGCTCCAGGTCTCTCAGCTAGACAATGAGAACGTCGGCCCACGCGCGGCACAGTAAAAGCCCAAAATGCTATGATGGACGGGGTGGGCCGCTGGCTGCAGAGCCCTCCATACCACAGAGCATCTCTGGCTGGGAGAAAGGAGCAGGCTGAGGCCTGCAGCAGAGCGCGGGGTTGGGGACCGCTCCTGTTGGGCCCCAGCAAGGCGCCCTGAGACCCCTGCTCCATCCCTGCCGCTCCCCACCCGCCTGCTCCTAGCCTCTGTTCTAGCTCTGCCCGCGGCGGCCACAGCCTCCCCGAGCCGCCGGCCGGGCCCTCTGCTGCCCTCTGGCGGCCCGAGCGCGCGGTGCCGAGCTCCGCGCCTGAGGCCCTGAAACCCCGCGTCCGCCCGGCGGTCGCCTCCCGGGAACAAGAGCCCGGCTGGGGACCGGAGCGGAAGGGGGCTGGGGCTGGGGCTGTGCTCTGAGGACTGCAATATACGGTCCGCGCAAGCACTCAGCAAACGCTGCTGCGCTTACTGGGTTACTTACTAGATTCCTATTCTCTGGGGAAACTGAGAACCAAAGAAAATAAGTGTACGCGCGCGGGAGGTGCAGGAATGGGGGTCCTTGCCCGAAGTCGCAGAGGGACAGGGGCACCGCCGGGACCAGAACCCCGACGCCCCTGCGGCCGCCGAGCCCGCGGCAGTGGAAAAGCGGAGTCCGAGCGCCTCCAGCCTCAGCCCGACCCTGGACTGCTCCCCCCAGCCCCCGCGCCCAGAGAGCAGGAGCCCGGCAGCGGGTGACGAGGTCGCCGGGACTGGGAGCCGGTGCGGGGGAGGCGGGCCCCGCGGGGCGTGACGCACCGAGCTGGGAGGGCCGGGGCGGGGCAGCCGAGCAGGCTGCATATAAGGGCGGCGGCCGGGCGCCAAAGCCAGAGCAAGCGGCCTGTGCCCAGATCCTGGGAGAACCCCAGCCGAGCCCAGCCTAGCCCGAGCCCAGCCCGAGCGGAGCCGGAGCCCCAAGCCCGAGCCGCGCCCAGCCCGAGCAGAGCCCTCCAGCCGCTCACCCCGCGTGCCACCCCAGCGACCCTCAGCCGCTCTCTGCCCTTCTCTCGGCCCCGCGCCCGCCCTCGCGGCCCCTCTGCCCAATGAAACTGGCCGCGATGATCAAGAAGATGTGCCCGAGCGACTCGGAGCTGAGTATCCCGGCCAAGAACTGCTATCGCATGGTCATCCTCGGCTCGTCCAAGGTGGGCAAGACGGCCATCGTGTCGCGCTTCCTCACCGGCCGCTTCGAGGACGCCTACACGCCTACCATCGAGGACTTCCACCGCAAGTTCTACTCCATCCGCGGCGAGGTCTACCAGCTCGACATCCTCGACACGTCCGGCAACCACCCGTTCCCCGCCATGCGGCGCCTCTCCATCCTCACAGGTGAGCCGGGGGCCGGGCAGGTGCGGGAGGGAAGGGCGGGGAACCCTCGGCCAGGGCGCCCCGCGAGCGCCGGTCCGGCTGCCGCGCGCCGAGTAGTGCGCTTCGCGCTTAGAGAGGCTAGCGCGCCCCGCGCGGCCTCAAAGTCAGCCCGACTTGTCCCCTGGGCGGCCACCCTCACCTTCTCCTTTTCTGCTCTCTGTGCCCCCTCTAGGAGACGTTTTCATCCTGGTGTTCAGTCTGGACAACCGCGACTCCTTCGAGGAGGTGCAGCGGCTCAGGCAGCAGATCCTCGACACCAAGTCTTGCCTCAAGAACAAAACCAAGGAGAACGTGGACGTGCCCCTGGTCATCTGCGGCAACAAGGGTGACCGCGACTTCTACCGCGAGGTGGACCAGCGCGAGATCGAGCAGCTGGTGGGCGACGACCCCCAGCGCTGCGCCTACTTCGAGATCTCGGCCAAGAAGAACAGCAGCCTGGACCAGATGTTCCGCGCGCTCTTCGCCATGGCCAAGCTGCCCAGCGAGATGAGCCCAGACCTGCACCGCAAGGTCTCGGTGCAGTACTGCGACGTGCTGCACAAGAAGGCGCTGCGGAACAAGAAGCTGCTGCGGGCCGGCAGCGGCGGCGGCGGCGGCGACCCGGGCGACGCCTTTGGCATCGTGGCACCCTTCGCGCGCCGGCCCAGCGTACACAGCGACCTCATGTACATCCGCGAGAAGGCCAGCGCCGGCAGCCAGGCCAAGGACAAGGAGCGCTGCGTCATCAGCTAGGAGCCCCGCCGCGCTGGCGACACAACCTAAGGAGGACCTTTTTGTTAAGTCAAATCCAACGGCCCGGTGCGCCCCAGGCCGGGAGCGCGCGCGGACTGGCGTCTCCCCTCCCGGCGATCCGCCCCCAGCACTGGGGAGGCGCCACTGAACCGAGAAGGGACGGTCATCTGCTCCGGAAGGAAAGAGAACGGGCCAAGACTGGGACTATTCCCCACCCCCGGTCCCCCATTGAGGCCCGCCACCCCCATAACTTTGGGAGCGAGGGCCCAGCCGAGGGTGGATTTATCTTCTCAAAGACCTAAGAGTGAGCGCGGGGTGGGGGAGGGATGTGAAGTTATCCAGCCTCTGCTAGGCTTCAAGAAACCGTCATGCCCGCTTGAGGGTCAGGACCCACGGGGCATTATCTTGTCTGTGATTCCGGGTTGCTGTGACAGCCGGTAGAGCCTCTGCCCTCCCAAAACTAAGCGGGGGGGCGTGGGTCAAATCATAGCCAAGTGACTTGTTTACATGTGAGTGAAACTGCACAAAGGAACACAAAACAAAACTTGCACTTTAACGGTAGTTCCGGTGTCAACATGGACACGAACAAAACCTTACCCAGGTGTTTATACTGTGTGTGTCTGAGGTCTTTAAAGTTATTGCTTTATTTGGTTTTTTAATATACAATAAAATAATTTAAAATGGAAAACCGGTTTTTTTTTTTTTTTTTTTGCTTTTAGAGATGGCTGGAGTGGGGAAGGGTGGGGAGAAGGAAAGGGCTGGGCTTTGACTTAGGTGGAACTAGAACTTACCTTCCCCAGAACTGGAAAATAACCCTGGCCTTCTGAAGGCAGCTTCAGCTGCCAGAAAAGCCCCAGATGCCTGGGGCATCTATGTAGGGGATGGTTCCCTAGAAAACCGGGAAGAATATAAAGGATTTCAGGGTCCCCCCTGGAGATGAACTCTTTCTAGCCATCCACCCGCTTAATTTTCTTTGGGTTAGATGACAAAAGGCCTCATTTTCTGAGAGAATGTTCTGAATTCTTCAGCGTAAAAGCCACTGGAACTGTGCCTAACCATTTTGTCACCAGACTCAGTGTGGGCCCAGGCAAACTTTCGGACTGTTGGAGGCATCAGTCAGGCCCTGGGGAAAGAGCCTGAGACCCCATCTGGAAACAGGACCATCCTGGCGCGCCCCCACCACCCGCTCACTCCAGGGTGCCACCCTGTCTGGAAACAGCTAACTCCTCAGCCTCTGCTCCCCTCTAGCTCCAGGAAGTGCTCCTGGCCAGGTGTAGAGCCCCATCCCCCTTCAGCCTTGCTGTCTCCGTCTCATGGCTAAGGCACCCCAGAACACCAATCTCTCTGCCACTAGTACTGCAAACCTGTTGGTGGGTGACACCTGCCAAGCCTCTAATTCTTCACCCCGGGAAGAGAGAACACCCTCGGCATGGGCTCACTGTGGGGATTAAGTGTGATGTTTGAAAAGTACTTAGCATAAATGCCGGCCACCCAGTAATCCAAGTAATTGGTGGCTTTCAGAGGACGCTCAGCCCTGTGAGAGACACTCAAAATTGTCCTAGAAGGATTTCAACCCTGCTCTGGTGAGGGCGGCTCCCCACAGGACTGAACCTCCTCGAGTCACCAAAAGGCACCCCCCACCTCCCCCCTCCAAAAATAAAAGGCAACTAAGGACAGCCCAGGGATGACCCGCCAGGCAAACTGCCCTTGAGGCCAGCCGGGAGAGGAGTTCCTGTTCCACACTGGTTCAGCGGGTGTGTGTGCTGGGGCGGGTGTGTGTGCTGGGGCGGAGGGAGTGAGGAGCAGAGGTGTGGTTGTGTCTGAAGAGACTGAGAGAAACATTTTCCTCTCAACTATCTGAGAGCCATCCCACTATGAATTTCTCAGTACAAAAAGCATTATGTCCTGAGACAGCAGAGCATAAGTCCTTTTAATTATGTGTTTGAAAAATGTCACAAGTCAAAAAAGGAACACAAGGCAGGCTCCGGCTCCCTCCACCCCCGTGAGGAGCCCTTGTCCATTTCAGCCTTGCACTCAGAAAGACCCCGGGGGTCTTGTAGTTCCACGTGCTTCATGTTTCGTGGTATCTGTCAGAGCCTTAAAACAGGCCCACCCACTACTGTGAAATTTCAAGGAAATAACTGATTCAGTTAAATAACAGTCCCAAGGTAGACCTGGTCTCACAGGTGACCACCCGCTTAAATCCAGAGCCTTCTTTTCTGTCCAAAGCCACTGAAATTTGATCTCCTCCTTCACACATTCCCAGGTCCCCAATATGCCACCCACCTTCTGACAGGTGGCTACAGGTCTACACTAATGGAAGCTCTGCTAAAAACATCTCCACCCAACCCTCCTGCCAACGAGGTCAGCTGGCAGGCATCTGCTAAGCCCCTAAACTGGTCAGCGCAGGTTATGCGCCCATTCCGAGACCCAAACAATACTCCAGGACTTCGCACCTCCTCCTCGAGAGGCAACGGAGAGAACTGCTCTTACTTCAATCTGACAGTCAAGGGAGAGCACACAAATAAAACGTCCCATCTGGAAGAAATCAGGGAAGCTGGGGAAATGAGGCTGTTCATCAACTTTTAAGAGCTCAAACTTGGCTGTGTAACTTTCAGACCTAGCTTATGGTTGGGGACCACCTGAACTGGCCCCCAGGGTTGCCTCTCTCTCAACACAAGGTGCATACTGAACCCTTCTGCAGTGTAGTACACGTTGCTGCCGCAAGTGCAAAGGCCACGAGGGAAAGACCTTTTAACCAGAGCAAGGGGAATCTGAAATGCCAGAAGGGGGAAGGTCGGTTCGCCTGAAGACCTCTTCTGGCCTGTGTGGAAAGGACGGCCCCTTGTCAACCCTGGGGAAGCACTGCAGATGTGAAGCGGTTTGGCCACTCTTGGGCACTGACTGAGGGTGATGAACGAGGAAGGGAGCAAGAGCTGAAGGCGAGGAGAGCGCTAGGAGGCAGGGAACCTGGAGCCAGGGGCTGCCTGGCAGGGCTCTAGGCTGAAGCCCCCAAAGCGTAGTTCCCTTCACTGGCTCAAACATAAAAGGAACCAAACTGTTTGGGGAAAAAGGCCACCCTCTGGCCTTTCAAAACATTCTCTCACAATTCTATGCCATATGAGTGCAGGCTTAATTCGTCCAGTGAATTCTATGCAAATGTTTCAAGAAGCTGCTGTTAACAGGAACAATGTGTACCTGGTACACACTGATCCTATGGGGGTGGGAGGAGAGAGAGGGAAGGAAGCAAAGAGGAGCCGCCTCCCTTCCTACTGTGCTCTTCAGATCTGTCAGTGGGGCCGGGCGCAGCAGATGGCCCCCTCCCCAGAGGCAGGGGAGAGTCCTCCACCCCCTCTGCAGCCTCCAGGAGCATTCTGACTTCCACCAGCAGGCACTCCAGTTATTATGCATCTAGACATATGGATCTACACGAGGAACCCCCGGCGCAGCCAAGCTCTGCGCTGGCTCCCGCACAGGCGAAGCGCGCGCAGCAGCACAGGAGCCCCGCCCCTGCAGCTTGACGAGCTGAGCTGGGGTCCACAGGAACCACGCCCCAAGGAGCGTTTGGGGATGGTAGTGGGGAGACAGGCCATTGGCTTCCCCCTCTTTCTAAGGAAGTCAGCCTCACTCTACTCCTTGGGGATTTCGAACATGCAGAGGCTCTTGTACTTTTGCAGAAGCTCATTCTTGGTCCTGACTTGCTCCCGGAGGCTCTGCAGCTGCTGCTGCTGCTGTTCGGGGCTCAGGTGGATGCCGGGCATGGTGCTGATGAGCTTGCGCATCTCCTGGAACTTGCTTTTGAGGGCGTTCAGGTCCTGGTGGACCTCCGGGCTGTCCTTGTCCATGCTGTGGGGGAAGAACAGCTGTTAGCATTCACAGCTTGATACACGTCTTGGCGTTCCTGCCCTGCACCCCCTAGAGCTGGCTGTCATTCCTGCCATAGCTTTTAGAACACTTCGTTTTATGTGTCTATCCCCTGACTAGGCTGTCCACCCCCAGAGGGCAGGGACGGGTTCTTTTTTAGGCAGCTGGCACAGAGCTCCCAGGCCTAGCACACTTGCAGATCACACACAGACACTCTTGATCTTCTGTCAAGTCAACTGTCACTCTGAGGTCAAGGACCATGTCTGCCTGGTCACAGGTGTCTCCCTACCCCCGGCCCAGTGTGTAGGTCACTACAGGCACTCAAGAAATGTCCGTGGAAAGAATGAATGCTTAGCAAATAAGCTCATGAACATGTTGGTTCAATGAACAAACCAATACCAATATCAGGTGACAAATGCCAAACAAAACTTGTTGAAATACGACATTTTGTCTAACTGGAGCCATTTCTAGGCCAATCAGGAGGCTTTATCAGTTAGCAAGAGCTAATTTTAGCTGAGGTTTTGATGCTGGCTTGAACCTGTTAACATAAAGACTAATTTCCACAGAGCTGTTCATAAATGTTAGATTAGTTAAAATGGAACTGATTTAAATGTCTCAGCAGACACAGGCTCTCTTCTACCATGGTCATGGACAGTCCTTGTCTTTGAGTCAAGTTCACTTTCAAGGCAGACGGTTCGCTCCATCTCACAGCTATTAGCTGCACAGAGGTCCTACTCAATGAAAAACGAGGCAAGAACAATCTCACTTAAGATCAAAAAAACAGCCTGGCAGTTGCTCCTGTACATTTTTTGTTTGTTTGAGACAGGGTCTCACTCTGTCGCCCAGACTGGAGGGCAGTGGTGCGATCTCGGCTCACTGCAACCTCCACCTCCCGGGTCCCGGTTCAAGCAATTCTCCTGCCTCAGCCTCCTGAGTAGCTGGGATTACAGGCGCATGCCAACACGCCCGGATAATTTTTGTATTTTTAGTAGAGACAGGGTTTCACCATGTTGGCCAGGCTGGTCTTGAACTCCTGACCTCAGGTGATCCACCTGCCTCGGCCTCCCAAAGTGCTGGGATTACAGGCATGAGCCACCACACTCAGCTTCCTATACGTTTTTTAAAAGTTAGTAAGTGGATGAGCTTTTGAAAACAAGTGGTTGAGACCAAAACTAAAAGGCAATTCAGTAAGCTGTTCTGAAAGTAAGCCATTGAGGCATAAGAGGGAAAAACTGTCAATGATCATTAATTTTTTCAAATAAATGTTCATCCGTAGTGGGAAATTTCAACCCAGATGGTGCTAATTCATGTTTACTATTCATCATTTCTCTGCTTACGCAGGCAGAATATCCATCTTTCCTGGCGATCCATCAGTTACGTCTCACACCTTGCAAATCAGATGGCCACCATGGCCAGCTCAGTATTTACCAACAGCTCTAAACTCAGAGGGAGGGTATGGAGAATCAATCACTTCTTCCAGGAAATGAGAGGCCAGGAAATGATGCCCTCAACTGAGAGACACCATTAACAGTATACCTTATCGCAGATTCTAGAGAGGATGAACTGGTATTCATGAGAACTAAAAATCCTTTGGAAGGAAGCAAATAGGGAACGTCTTTTATTTTAATTCTTTGAAGTCTCAGCTCTGATCCACAAATGTGGACAGAAACCATCTGCACTTCTGAAATCCTTCTACTCGGATGGCATGCGTGTTAACATACCGTTACGAATTTAAGTCCCAAGGAAGTTTTAAAATTAAAATATAGTTTTTAAAAAAACCGACTCACATGAGTCTCAAAGGACATGGTAAAACAAACAAAAAAGTACTTAAAATAGAAATGTGGATGACAGATAATCCCATTCTTGAAGCAAACATAACCTGGCCCAAAAGAAAATTTAGTTCTGAAAGTTGAAAGTGGGTCATGTTTAAGATGCTCATCTCTGAAAACCCCCAAATAGCAAGGGTTGCGTGTTCTTTGGTGAACTTTCAGGAAAGGAGACAGTCTTCAGATAATAAAAAAGGAGCTGTAAGACAAGCCGCCTGGAGGGCAGCTGAGCCAAAAGGGGCCATGCAGCCCACAGGGAGGCCCCTCTGCAAGCCCAACTGCCCTAGTTGGTGGAGGTAAATAGCATGGAACTCCTGGAGTGAAGAGAACATGCTATTCAGAAGTGGGCATCTGCTAAGCCAGGATGACTGTGAAATATTCAAGCCAAAAGAAAAGGGACAGGACCAAATACCGAGTGAATAAAAGCAGAAAGCTCTAAGTGGGCCTACCTTTGTGTTCAAGGTTAGTCATCGGCCAACTATAGAAGGAATGAAAAAAGCCACTAGGTCAAGGAGGATGAACATCGTACAAACAAGGCAAGGTCAGAGCACTTTGGTCCCAACTACTGTGGTACTGTGGTTTCTTTTTTTCTTTTTTTTTTTTGAGACAGAGTTTTACTCGTTGCCCAGGCTGGAGTGCAATGGTGCGATCTTGGCTCACTGCAACCTCCGCCTCCCGGGTTCAAGTGATTCTCCTGCCTCGGCCTCCTGAGTAGCTGGGATTACAGGCATGCGCTACCACGCCCGGCTAATTTTGTATTTTTAGTAGAGATGGTGTTTCTCCACGTTGGCCAGGCTGGTCTCGAACTCCCGACCTCAGGTGATCCGCCCACCTCAACCTCCCAAAGTGCTGGGATTACAGGCGTAAGCCACCGCACCCAGCCCCCTACTATGGTTTTTTTAAAGAGTGGACAAAAATACTACCGCCAGGGGTGATCCTCTGAGCATCCTTCCCACGTCTGACAGACAGTTGTATCCGTGTCACCAGACTCAAAGGCAAACATCACAGGGTTTTAGGCAGGTGTCTGAGAATCATGCCCTGATTTTCTTTGTTCTTCTTTTTAGCATGGATGCTTTAGTACAGATGCAAACTGGCCAATAACTCTGCTAGAACCACTGACACAGACTTCCTCCCAAATCTGACAGTCATTTCTTTTGACCTTTTGGTGGCATCTGACTCAGTTTCCCATTTCTTCTTCCTCACAACTTCCATGCACTGTGCCTCACACTCCACTCTGTCCCAGCTGCCTTGCCCTCAGACCAGCCCTTACCAGTCCATTCCTCTGCCCACAGGCTCTCCTCGCACGGTACTAACTCCAGTGGCTTTCATTTTTCTAAGATCACTTTTTTAAAAAATGACAGTAATAGGTACTTGAGGGAAAAAATTCAAAAATGAGACAACCAAGGCTTAGAAAAGGGAAATCTCATTAACCCCTTGTTCCAGAGATAACCTCTGCTAACATGTGGTGTCCACTGTTTCAGATGGCTTTGAAATGTACAACAGCATACAAAACACACAAACTTTTCTTATTTGTTCTGACAGAAATGTGACCATCCATAGTTCTCATTCTTGCTTTTTCTACTTAACAAGGCACCTCAGATGTCCTTCCATGTTAACACATATACAATTAGACAGCGAAATTACCCTGGCTATTCATGGGTGGTTGTACTGTACTAGAATGACAGTGAACATCTTGTACTTATACCCTTATGTACTTGTGTGTCCGGAATTGGTGGGTTCTTGGTCTCACTGACTTCAAGAATGAGGCCACGGACCCTCACAGTGAGTGTTACAGCTCTTAAGGTGGCGCGTCTGAAGTCTGTCCCTTCTGATGTTCAGATGTGTTCGGAGTTTCTTCCTTCTGGTGGGTTCGTGGTCTCGCTGGCTCAGGAGGGAAGCTGCAGACCTTCGCGGTGTGCGTTACAGCTCTTAAGGCAGCATGTCTGGAGTTGTTCGTTCCTCCCGGTGGGCTCGTGGTCTCGCTGGGCTCAGGAGTGAAGCTGCAGATCTTCGCGGTGAGTGTTACAGCTCATAAAAGCAGCGTGGACCCAAAGAGTGAGCAGTGGCAAGATTTATTGCAAAGAGTGAAAGAACAAAGCTTCCACAGCATGGAAGGGGACCCAAGCGGGTTGCCACTGCTGGCTCCGGCAGCCTGCTTTTATTCTCTTATCTGGCCCCACCCACATCCTGCTGATTGGTAGAGCCGAGTGGCCTGTTTTGTCACGGCGCTGATTGGTGCATTTACAATCCCTGAGCTAGATACAAAGGTTCTCCCCGTCCCCATCAGATTAGTTAGATACAGTTTGGACACACAGGTTCTCCAAGGCCCCACCAGAGCAGCTAGATACAGAGTGTCGATTGGTGCATTCACAAACCTTGAGCTAAACACAGGGTGCTGATTGGTGTGTTTACAAACCTTGAGCTAGATACAGAGTGCCGATTGGTGTATTTACAATCCCTGAGCTAGACATAAAGGTTCTCCACGTCCCCACCAGAGCAGCTAGATACAGAGTGTAGATTGGTGCACTCACAAACCTTGAGCTAAACACAGGGTGCTGACTGGTGTATTTACAATCCCTGAGCTAGACATAAAGACTCTCCACGTCCCCACCAGACTCAGGAGCCCCGCTGGCTTCACCTAGTGGATCCCGCACCGGGGCTGCAGGTGGAGCTGCCTACCAGTCCTGCACGTACGCTTGCTTTCCTCAGCCCTTGGGTGGCTGATGGGACTGGGCGCCCTGGAGCAGGGGGTGGTGCTCGTCAGGGAGGCTGGGGCCGCACAGGAGCCCATGGAGTGGGTGGGAGGCTCAGGCATGGCGGGCTGCAGGTCCCGAGCCCTGCTGCGCGGGAAGGCAGCTAAGGCCTGGCGAGAAATCGAGCTTAGCGCCGGTGGGCTGGCACTGCTGGGGGACCCAGTACACCCTCCGCAGCTGCTGGCCCGGGTGCTAAGTCCCTCATTGCACGGGGCCAGCAGAGCTGGCCGGCTGCTCCGAGTGCGGGGCTTGCCAAGCCCACGCCCAGCCGGAACTCCAGCTGGCCCGCAAGCGCCGCACGCAGCCCTGGTTCCCGCTCGCGCCTCTCCCTCCACACCTCCCTGCAAGCTGAGAGAGTGGGCTCCAGCCTTGGCCAGCCCAGAAAGGGGCTCCCACAGTGCAGTGGTGGGCTGAAGGGCTCCTCAAGTGCTGCCAAAGTGGGAGCCCAGGCAGAGGAGGTGCCGAGAGCAAGTGAGGGCTCTGAGGACTGCCAGCACGCTGTCACCTCTCACTTGTGCAAGTATTTTGGTAAGATCATTTTCTAAAAGTAGGGATTCTGGGTCAAAGGTTATATATATTTAAATTTTTGACAGATATTACCAAAATGCCCTCCAAAAAAAAAACTGTACTGATGTAGATTATCTGTAGCCACGGAGGACACACTTCTCCATCCCGCCCTGGATGATACTGGCTACTACTTACCTATCAACTGTGTTTCTCTGCTCCAGTTCTGCCAAGACCTATGAGGCCTTCCGGAGAGGGAGGCCTTGAACTCACACCCTTGCTTTCATCTGCTAACAGCATTACATGTAAAAAATATTCTTTTTAGCAAAGAGTGACAAAAGGTGCTGCTGCTAAACGGAGTATGAAAATCACTGCACTACAAAATGCCCAGAACGTGTTCATCCACTCCCGAACCCTCGACACGGGGACCACCTCCCCAGTCAGCCTTCCTTCCTGTACTTGAGTTTCCTCCCTCCACAGTTACCAAGTCATTCCTGCCTGGAGTCTGGCAGATGGCAAATATCCAGCATAGACTTGCTGTCAGCAGGGGACGGGGGGAGGGTGCAGTCCCACCTACACACTCTACTGGCCACGCTAGGACCCCCAGGCTTGCACCTGTGTGCCCCCTTCTTCCAGCCACCATCCTGCCAGCTCCATCTCCTCTAGACCAGCCACCTCCCATTGCCACTGCCTTCCTGTGGACCCAGGTCCTCCCCTCTTCTGAAACACTTCTGCCCCACCTACCTTTAGAAACCCAAGTCTGAGCAGGTCACTATGCTGCTTAAAAATCCCAGATGGCGGCCGGTGGCTCACGCCTGTAATCCCAGCACTTTGGGAGGCTGAAGTCAGCAGATCACTTGAGGCCAGCCCCGTCTCTACTAAAAATACAAAAAAAAAATTTTTTTTTGTATTTTTACAAAGGCGTGGTGGCGTGTGCCTGTAGACAGAGACGAAACCCTGTCTCTACTAAAAATACAATTTTTTTTTGTTTTGTTTTTTACAAAGGCATGGTGGCGTGTGCCTGTAGTCCCAGCTACTTGGGAGGCTGAGGCACGGAAATCAAGTGATTCAAGTGAACCTGGGAGCCAGAGATTGCAGTGAGCCAAGACACGCCACTGTACTCCAGCCTGGGCGACAGAGTGAGACTCCATTTCAAAAATAAAAAATAAAATAAAATAATTCCAGATGGCCTCCTACCCACAGATAACACCTTTCAGGCAAATTCAAACTGTGAAGGAGACCCCCCCAGTGCCACCACAAGTGCTTCCAGCCTTCCTAGGCAAAGCTTCCCACCCTTCCCAGGACCCACGTAAATGCTTGCCTGGCATTTCTCACGCCCACTAAGGAAGTGCTGACTCGCGAAGGCCTGCCTTCGTGGGGCTTGCCTCTGCTGGGGCCCACCTTCTGGTTATAAGTCATACTGAGTGGATGGAAATGACATGGCAGAGGAGTGAAGAGGCTTTTAGGCAGACTGGAAACACCTCATCTGAGCAGTCTATGAACACCCCCTATCTGTGGCTGCTCATCCTGCTCCCTGGGGTGTGGCTGAGGGAGAAGAAAGTGAACGGCAGAGGCCTGCAGTAACTGCATGCGGACTATCCCCGGGAAGCCAGTGTGGGCACTTAGCGGGGGCCGCTTCCTGCACAACCCGGGAACGGGTCTCAGCTGGCATGGAAGGCCAGGGCAGATTAAAATAGATACTTGAGTGGGAAGAAGACAGTCAATAACACCCTGTTCCCACAAAAGAGGTCTGGCTGGGGCTCTGAGGTCTTGCTGACCTGCTGAAGCGGCCAGGCCAAGCTGGAGGGGCCAGACAGCGTGCTCATCACTTGAGCCCCATCTGTGGTGGCAAGGACGGCTCCCCTCTACCTACCTAGCAGCCTTAGACCTTGTAAAGAATTAAAACATTGAATTTAAAAAATGTTTTTAAAGTACCCAATGTCGACAGATTACTCTTACAAAGTGAGCCAAAACCATCACGCAAGGCAGCAACAACTGTAATTCAGAAGGCCTAGGCTGAGCTACTTCATTCCAAACTCAGATTCAAATTTGTTAAGTTTGAAGGAAAAAATAATAATTTTCCCCAATCTAACAGACCCCATTTCATTACTCCTTTATGATGCATTTTTAAAATGTAGCATCTATATATATCAAGAAAGTCTCAAAGTTGGGATTTATAATATTTCTTATAGGCATGAAAATGGGATTTCTTTTCCCTTTCCTCATTCTTTTTTTTTTTTTTGAGATGGAGTCTCGCTCTGTCGCCAGGCTGGAGTGCAATGGTGCGATCGTGGCTCACTGCAACCTCCGCCTCCCGGGTTCAAGCGATTCTCCTGCCTCAGCCTCCCTAGTAGCTGGGATTACAGGCGTGCACCACCACATCCAGCTAATTTTTGTATTTTTAGCAGAGACAGGGTTTCACCGTGTTGGCCAGGATGGTCTCGATCTCCTGACCTCGTGATCCACCCGCCTCGGCCTCCCAAAGTGCTGGGATTACAGGTGTGAGCCACCGTGCCCAGCCTCCCTTTCCTCATTCTTTAAAAATAACATAAATGTGTAGTTTAATTTTTCATTCAACTGCGGGAAAGACACTAGAAGAGATGAAAGTGCTATGGGTTCCAACTCCAAGCAGGGCTGTCCCAGCCAGAGCACTCCCAGAACCAGGTGGGTCCCTGGGGGTACAGGAGAGGCTCTGGTTCACAGGGCTCTGTGCAGCATTTCTGTGGGCACTTCTAGTGGAGGGGCTGGAGGGTCTGCCAGCCTGGAGGACTCCGCCCACCCAACAGCACCTGCAGCAAGAGGACCCTCTGTGGGCTTTGTGTTGGGTTATTCAGGCAGACAATCTGAAAATGGTCTGCAGAGATCCCTGAGTAAAGGCCTAAGTTTGGGCTCAATTTGAGAAGAATGGAGAACAAAGAAAAATTAGCCAAATAACATTCACAAGATAAAATAAGCATAAAGGCAAAGAGACTAATTAAATGCTGATTATAATACTCAAAAGCGAGGCTCAACGACCTGGCCAATGAGTAGTATCAACAGGCTTGGAAGTAAAGAAGCAGATTAAAGACGAAATGTTCCATTAACAAAAGCATCATGATCTAGCATCAGGCAGGCTGCTAGAAAACTCCACGGGAAAGGAAGGGCCAGGGA
This sequence comes from Homo sapiens, assembly GCF_000001405.40. Lineage (NCBI taxonomy): Eukaryota > Metazoa > Chordata > Mammalia > Primates > Hominidae > Homo > Homo sapiens. The sequence continues at coordinate 17,483,027 of NC_000017.11, read as the reverse complement.
AATACTGACAAGAAAGAGGAAGGGTGAAAAATTAACCTTAAAAGATAATTAAATGTACCATGAAGATTTAAGAACTAAAATAGTTTGGTGCTGGAGAAGGAGAGAATGTCCATAAGTAGATCAGAAAACATGTGGGAATTCAGTGCATGGTAAAGGTGGCACTGCAAGCAGGGAAAATAACAAATATTCAAAAACAGCAGTGGGAAGATGTGGCTAACCGAGGCCCCCTTATTCTTCCCACCAAAATAAATTCCAGGAGCCTCAAAGAATTACAAGTAAAAAATGGAACCATGAAAGTTCTAGAAAAAAGAGATCAATACCTATAATTTTAGAGTGGGAAAGCCTTTCTAAGTAGGACCAAAACTCAGAAGCCATAAGGGAAAGGCCTAACAAATCTGACTACATGAAATTATATGCATCTGAATGAAAAACAAATAGAAAAACCATGACTATGAACAAAGTCAAAAGAAAAGCAACAACCTGGAGGAAGTATTTACAGTACATTTGACACACATTATTTCCTTTCTGTACATAAAAAAATCTAACAGAGAAATGGACAGTTTATAGGGAAAAATAAAAGTGACATATAAAATCGCCTATGAAGGGATGCTTTACCTAACTTAATGAAAGATCAATATATCATTTCTGACCTATGAGATTTGCCAAAGTTAAAAGTTTAATGGTGATGGCAGGTGATGGGGAAAGACACAAAAACTGTTGGTGGAAGCATAGATCAGGGCATTCTTTGCTCATAGTGACCCAAACAGATTCACATATCCCATTGCTAGAAATTTACCCCCACAGAGACTACCAAGAGTTCACCAAGATAGCATGGGCAAAGATGCTTGCTGCAGTGCTGATTCCAACAGCAAAATGCAGAAACAATGACGGTGTCCTTGAGCAAGAAACTGTTTACATAAACGACAGCACGTTCATAAAGTGGAATATTACACAGCTTTGCAAGGGAGCTGGGAGGAGTGAAGGGAGAGGCCCTGTTTCCATTTCATATCCATGGGTACTTGTAGAATCCGTCTACAACTTTAATTTTTGTTTAATGCTTTCTGGGTGGCAGATTTATAGGCCATTTTAGGTTAACTGAAGCAGTCTAGTCTACAAGGACTGAATTTTGGAAAAGAGTTAGCTAAAAAGACGTAGTGCTCTAAATTTAGCATAACTATCACTATAAAAAATGTTTGTACCCTATGCCCCAGCAATTCTACTGCTGGGATTTATCTGATCATAAACTTACTCCTACACAAAGATGCTAACCCCAGCACTGTGCTGGTAATAGCAAGAATAAGAAAAACAGCTAGAAGACCATCAACAGAAAACCAGTTCCATCAGTTATGCTGCATCCACAAGATGCAATTTTCTGCAGCTGCCTTAATGAGGTAGATCTTTATGTGCAGTATGGAAAGGTGGCCAAAAGAGACTAATCAGTGAAAAAAGTCAAGTACGACGTGATCTCAATTTGTATAAATTTTTGAAATGACATTCATATGTAATTCCCAGAAGGAACTTAGGAAAGTATTAACAGCAGTTACTACAGGTGAGGGGACTTGGGGGAAGGAACACATTTTCCATTTTACGTTTCTCTGTACTTCTAAACTTGCAGTTGTTACTTTTATTAAATAATTTTTCAAAAACTCTGAATTCTTTATGAGAACAAGAAAGGCTAAATTCACTACTTCAGATTTTACCTCCTTACTCACCCCTGTGCAAGAAGTAAACAAAGAATAAAAGGATCATTGGGGAAGTTATAGGAAAGGAAGGGACCCAGGGCCAGAGAGCGCCACCTGGGTGGACCGGACATGGTCCCAGCCCTCATCTCCACCCGCCAGTACTGTGTCTTGACTGGCTTCCAGCCTGACAGTTTCACTAGCTCCCCATCCCTCAGAAGACACCTGCACTCTGTTTCCTGGCTCTTCCCTCCTCCCCAGCCACCTCTTCCTGCCTTGGATGTATGCTCAACACCACCAAGCTAGAAGCTGACTCCCATGAGTAGATGCTATTTCTTGGCTTCGTGTCCTTACATGTTTTTCCTATACCAACATTCCTCCTGCCTCCCTTTCCTAATTGAAGACTCATTGTTGGCATCACTCTTACCAAGCCTTCTGACTCCCCCAGGCTTCACGAGGTCTCCTCTCCCTTCCTCCTCTGCCCTTATTCCTCCCTCATTTGCCTATAAACTCAAAGACACGCCTATACTGAAGGTTTGCAGGTTGGATCCTAGCCTCTTCTCATGTTTACAGCTGCAGAACCACTCCATTCCTTTGTGGCTACTGTTTCCTCCACGTGGCTTTTTCTGCTCTTCTGTCTTGTCTTTCTCTTTTTTCCTCTCTCTCTCTGTCTCCTCTCTTTCTTTCTTTCTTCTTTGAGACAGAGTCTATGTCACCCAGGCTGAAGTGTAGCAGTGCGATCATGGCTCACCGTAGCCTCAGCTCCCTGGGTTCAAGCTATCCTCCCATCTCAGCCTGCCCAGGTGCTGGGCTTGCAGACAGACATGAGGCACCGCGCCTGACCCGTGTCTTTCTTACCAGGGGGTTTCTTCCTATGCTTAGTGACCTTGGCCATCCACTCATATATTTAAGAATAAAACACTAAAAGGCTTAGTGGAAGCTCTGCAAATGAGTGATGCTTGTTCATTTTCTCAGAATTAATTGACTAGGCTTTTTTTTTTTCCAATGTCTTTTCTCTTAATTGGTCACGCACCATAGAGAGGGCACTTCCACTCTCTTTGGCTGCCAATCTAGAAGCCAGGTGGGGGAAGGCTCGGGTGGTGTCTCTCTTCAGACTGTGAACTTTCTCTTAATCCCTCTTTTCAGTATGGCTCCCCCTACCTACCCCTGCAGTGTGCCTGGTGTCCCACAGTCAAGGTACTCTCTGGCTTATTCCTTCCTAAGAATAAATCTCGGGAGAGTAACCTTTTAACCATCTGCCAAGTTGGAAGAAGGGTAGTCACCCGGCCGCTTGGAGGGGATGGGAGGTGGGACAGGACTGTGGGGACCTGCTTCTTAAACAGACTTCCAAGTAATCTTCCTGTTCTTAGACCCACCTTCACCCCTATTTCCAGGGGGTCCTTGCACTAGAGTTCCTGAGATCTGGGGATAGGCCATGGTTAACAAACCAGGTGCTTAGGAGTTGGTAGATGAATTAGCCCTGGTCATCCACTTTGTGGCAATCATCTCCTGTCCTATTCTTTTTGGTTTTATGCTTTTTATTTTTGACACAGGGTCTCATTCTGTCACCCATGCTAGAATGCAGTGGCATGATCTGGGTTCAAGTGATCCTCCCACTTCAGCCTCCCAAGTAGCCAGGACTGCAGGCACACACCACCATGCCTGGCTAATTTTTTTTGTATTTTTTGTAGGGACGGGGTTTTGCCATGTTGCCCAGGCTGGTCTTGAACTCCCAGGCTCAAGCGACCGGCTCGCCTCAGCCTCCTAAAGTGTTGGGATTACAGGCATGAACCACCATGTCTGAAGGTTTTATGCTTTTTTTTTTTTTTAAACTCCCTTCTCTGTCCTTTTAGATGGAACAGAGACAAGCACATGTGATCAACCCACTATGTTTCACAGGTACACTCCTGAGTACATCTCCCAACAATCCTATGACATAAGCATTCCCATTTCACAAGAGAAAAACAGGCTCAGAGAAGCTAAGCTACTTGCCAAGGTCACCCAGTCAGCACATTATAGAGCTATGACATAATCTGAACCTCTCTTTTGAGGTCCACTATGGACATATTAGAGATAAGAAGATTATGGCCTAGAAAGGTTAGGCATTTATATCAAGATTAGAAGGCAAGAAAATGTCAGTACACAGATTTGAACACAGGGCTGTCTAACTTCAAAGCCTGTTCTCTCTAGTATAACTTACTACTACATCTTTTAAGGCCAACCCAACCCAGCTGCTCTACCAGGGCTCAAGAATATACTCTTGGGGAGTTCAAGAGCTGTCCTTGTGAATGTGTACATTTTGTGTTTTCATTTTTCCACATTTTTCTTAAAACCAGTAAACTAGGGTTAATCAGAATAAACCCTTTATAATCCAGCACTGCCCTAGGATTACAGGGGCTCCATATGTATTTCTGTCTATGATCATTATCACAGGCTCACGAAAACTGAATAGGCTGCCTTATCCTATAAGCATTACTTTTTTTTTTTTTTTGAGGCAGAGTCTTGCTCTTGTTGCCCAGGCTGGAGTGCAATGGCATGATCTCGGCTCACTGCAACCTCCACCTCCCGGGTTCAAGTGATTCTCCTGCCTCAGCCTCCTGAGTAGCTGGGATTACAGGCAGCCGCCACCACACCCGGCTAATTTTTGTGTTTTTAGTAGAGATGGGGTTTTGCCATGTCGACGAGGCTGGTCTCAAACTCTGACCTCGTGATCCGCCCGCCTTGGCCTCCCAAAGTGCTGGGATTACAGGCATGAGACACCATGCCTGGCCCCTATAAACAGTATTTAAACACCAAGTGAAACCAAATGAAGCCAGGGTCTAATGTGAGAACAAAGCCTTTGTAGTTATTTGAAAAGTGGCAGAAGAGCATCAGGTCATCCCACAGCAAGTGAATCTAATTTGCTTAAACTCAAAAGTGGGTGGGCCACTAACAGTCAAGACCTTCACGTTGTAACAATTCCATTTCAGTAAAACAGTGAAGAGCACATTCATGTTCACCTGAATGTTACTGGAATCGTAATTTTCTTTTAATTTACTTTGTTTTGGTCTTTAATGGTTGAGTAAGAGTTACAAGCCTAGGGGTTTACACCTAGTATCACGTGGATATACAGTGAAGTAACATAATGAAAATAATTTACAGCCTGGGCAACATGGTGAAACTCCATCTCTACAAAAAATACAAAAATTCGCTGGGTGCCATGGCTCATGCCTGTGGTTCCGGTTACTTGGGAGGATGAGGTGGGAGGATGGCTTGAGGCCAGGAGGTTGAGGCTGCAGTGAGCCGAGATCACGCCACTGTACTCCAGTCTGGGTGACAGAGCGAGACCCTCTCTCAAAAAAAATAATAATTTAGGCAAACATAAGGATCAGTGAGACTTTTGTGTTTTTGTTTTTGGTTTTTCCTCTACAGAGTCACTTTGAAAACTCAGGCTACCCTGAAGGCTGGCCAAAAGGATGACAACAATTATTTCCTTTGGTACTGTTAGAACAAAGTCAGTACAAGTGGGTCTAATCATCTGAGGCAACTTCTGTGTTTCTGCTTAGTCTAATGTTTCCCATCGCCACCACTCCCGTCTCAATCTTTTTGAATTGTGGGTTATTCCCAATCATGTCTTTTTTTCCTTCTATCTAAACCTTTGGGGGTGAAAAGTTGGCCCCTTTTACTGCGTCCATCCCGTAGCACTTGGCACAGGGAAGATGATGCTTATCTGTTGAGTTTGCTGAACTAAGGAACTAAAGTGAGTATTACCAACATTAAAGGTGAGAAAACTGAGGCTTAAAGAGATTTAATTTGCTCAAGATCGCTGGGATGAACATTTGAGCCGCTGGACAAGAGTCTGCATTTAGTCTCTAAGCTGGCTTCATTCTTAAGGATATCGCACCTCTCGAGGCTCAAATCGTTTGCTTAACTCATGGAATGTCTCTGTGGTCTTGGGAAAGGCCTCTTCCCGCTCTGGGTCTGAGTTTCCCCATCTGTGAAACGGGGGCGTGCCCCAGAGCGCCAAGGCCTCTTGCAGCTCTGAAACGGCTGAGAGGAGAAGCTGGAGGGAGTATGGGGCCTGGTCCTCTCCTAGGTTCTTACCATTTGATGATGTTGTGAACCAAAGGTAAAAAGGAGTAGTTCTCTTCCTCCCTCGCGCGGGCAGGTGACTGAGGCCGTGGCGCCGGCGACTGCTGCGGTTGAGGCGCAGGGACCGGCGGCGGCTGAGGAGGCGGCAGCGGCTTGGTGTCAGGCAGCGGCTGGTCGGACGTTGGCGGCAATACATCCTCCGCCTGTCGCCCGGCTGCCACCCCAGCAGAGGCCATGGCTCCGGGGGTAGGTTAGCCAGAGGTCGGGTCGCCAAAAGCGTCGCGCACTCTACACGTCACCACCGCGCGCCCTGCAGGGGCGGGGTGTGGAGGAAGGCTCTGAGCGTGCGCACTGGGCAGTCGGCGGGAAAAGGCGCGGAGGCGGGGGTGGGGAGGCTGTTGCTAGGCAACGGGCCGTGGGTGGGTCTGGGGTGCCTGGATTTGGATTGTGAGTCAAGATTGCTAAATTATTAAATAGTGAGAAATAGGGGTTTATTTCAGAAATAACAATCTTTTTTTTTTTTTTGAGACGGAATTTCGCTCTTGTTGCCCAGGCTGGAGTGCAGTGGCGCGATCTCGGCTCACCGCAACCTCCGCCTCCCGGGTTCAAGCGATTCTCCTGCCTCAGCCTCCCTAGTAGCTGGGATTACAGGCATGCACCACCACGCCCGGCTAATTTTATATTTTTAGTAGAGACGGGGTTTCTCCATGTTGATCAGGCTGGTCTCGAACTCCCCACCTCAGGTGATCCGCCCGTCTCGGCCTCCCAAAGTGCTGGGATTACAGGCGTGAGCCACTGCACCCGGCCAGAAATAACAATCTTCTTATTCCTATTCACACGATGAAGAGGGCCCCAAAGCCACAAACACAGGAAGCCTTGAGATTAGTAAGGTGCAGCCTGGCCCAGTGCACCCAAGTCTGGAGAGGAGCCACTGGACCTGTGGGAGGCGTAGACAGCACTTACCTGCTGGGTGAGGCACCAAACCCGGCCCAGCCCACAGTGCAAGACATCGAGACCTCGAGTTTAGCCCTAAGGACGCAGAGGCAAAGGGATTGCGGTCCCTTCAATGCTGCAAGGTTGCTTAGAAAGAGTCTAATAATTCAACTCAACACACATTTAGTATGCACCTGCTGGATGGCCACCTGTATGTGTGGTTGCAGGCAGGCTGTCCTTGCTTTCAGTACAAGGTAGAGGGGATTGGTGCCAGGAGTAAATATCATATCCTGGAAGAACGACAAGGTCAGGTACTCTCCATACCTTCGGGCCAGTTCCCCAAGCCCCTAGGTCCCAGTTTCCTCACCCCTAAAATCATATTTAGTTCAGATTCATGGCACAGCCTAAACTGCATTCTAACTTCACATGCGTGGCTGACCCCAAAAGGTCTTGTTGGCATGAGGACTCCCTAGGATCATAGGCCAAAGATGGGTTTATGGTTATGCTTCTCAAAACAAGTTTGATATGAGGGCTGTGTAGTAATTTTCCGGGCAATGGGGACACCCACCCCAAGCTTAGCTAGTGAGTAGAAGACATGAGTGGGGAAAGCTGTCAACTGGTGAGCCCATTCTGCTGTAATCCACCATCATGGGCAGTACAGAGAGGCGAGGAGGTCCACATCCACATAGCATGATGAACAGGAGCCTTAAGAGCAAGGTGGCCAGGGAAAGGATCAATGCTGATATTTTCAGGCACATTGGGAGGGCTGTGCGGAGGCAGATCCTTGGGGAGTAGGACCATAGATGGAAGTGCTGTTGGAGGGTGCGCTGTACAGGTTCTGTAGTAAAGGGCCTCAGCACAGCTCTCTGCAGCAAGAGCTGCCCACGGTGCCCCAGAGAGAGAGCAAAGGGAGGGAGTGGGTTGCGGAGTTTTCTTCCTTCTAACCATTGACCTCTCCAACTAAGGGAAAGTTCAAGAGTTCTGGTTGAGCATGGAGGAGAAAAAGGCCAGATGTGCTTGAAGAGACTGTATACCCTTGGAGTCATCTGGGGAAAGATGATATAGTAATAGTAATAATAATAGTAATTACCACAACTACCATGGAGTAAAAGTAGATACAGGGAACAGAGTTACAGTCACTGTCTCAATCCACAGACAGAGGTCTAGAAGATGGATGTCAGGATCCCCATTTTCTAGATGAGAAAACCAAGACTTACAATGGTTAAGATCCCAGCCTAAGGGTCAACGCAGTTGCTGATGCCAAGTCTATGATCTTAACCAACACTAAAGAGACTTCGGATCCCTACCAGTTCTGTAACTTTATGATTCAAAATGTTAAAGTGGGTTTGAATTCAGAATTCAAAAACCAATCCAATATTCATCAATAATATCCCCATGGCAATCACACGTCATCTTTGCCCTCCCAGAGTGTTTTATAACTTAATTATGAGCCACAACTATATCATTGTCAGAAAAATGAGGATGCTTCTTAAAAGAAAAAACACTTGAGGTATAAATAGATATGGCTAAAGAAAACAGGTTGAAAACCTAGGAAGCATGAACCAGTATGGTGCATTGACAGTTTGCCCTAAAAATAGTTAATATAATTAGTGGCAAAGAGTAAAGCTGACTTCATAATGTTGCAAGCGGATGTCAGAAAAATACTGCCTGTGCTGGTTTCATTAAAGCTGAAATTGCCACAACAAATGTGTGTCTGTTTATAACCTGCTCTGTTAAAAGTCAGGAAAGACAGATGCTCCATTGATATGTAAGGACAATGTATTGTGGTGAAGGAAACTTCACCCCACCACAAGGGAAGCTCTAAGGTCATTGCTTTCTTAGGTGGATTTATGCCGTTTCTCACGGGGCCTTGTCCAGTTAGTGGTTACAAGGTCAGGCTTTGGAGGCAGCCGCCTGACTTCAGCCTCAACTCAGCCTCCTTGGAGCTTCGTGACTGGGCAATTGCTTAATCTCACTTCGTGCAGCCATGCCACCTCGCAAGACTGAATGGGCCATTACTTGTAAAGCACTTAGAGTAAATATCTGTGCGCAGTAAATAGTAATTCTTCTTGCTATTAGATTTAGGACTTCTTACTTCACCAATTAACAAAACCCAGACAGACAGCAGCTAAGAGGAATGATCCACATCACTGCCCTTTGATAAAAATGTAAGCCAAACATGCAAGCCGCAGAGGCGGTGTTCAGTTTTCTAGCAGCCATATTAAAAAATAAGAAAACAGGTCGGGTGTCATGGCTTATGTCTGTAATCTCAGCACTTTGGGATGCCAAGGCGGGTGGATCACTTGAGGTTAGCCTAGCCAACATAGTGAAACCCCATCTCTACTAAAAATACAAAAATTAGTTGGGCGTGGTGGCACACACCTGTAGTCCCAGCTACTTGGGAGGCTGAGGCAGGAGAATTGCTTGAAGCTGGGAAGCAGAGGTTGCAGTGAGCCAAGATCACACCACTGCACTCCAGCCTGGGCGATACAGCGAGACTCTGTCTCAAAAAAAAAAAAAAAAAAAAAGAGAGAGAAAACATAGGTGAAGCTAATTTTAATGATACATTTTATTTAACCCAATATGTCCAAAATATTATAATTTCAACAAGTAATCAATATGAAAATTATTAATAGGATATTTTACTGTTTTTCCTACTGTCTTTGAAACCGGGTGTTTTACACTCACCGTACATCTCAATTCCAGCAGTCACATATCACTGCTCAGCATCCAAATGTGGCCAGCAACTACAGAACTGGATGGTGCAGAGAAATGGATTCATATCAACATAGACAACACTCACATCATAATGGTGGAAATGGAGGAAAAAGCGAGTTCTACAATGGATATAGAGTATATTACCACTTATGCAAATGTTGAAGCATGAAAAATAACATTCTCTATTGTCCATAAATATGACACCTATGTAAATGTATTTGAAAAAGGAACTGGGGGATACACCTCACATGGATGGGACAGGGGACGAAGCAAGGACTGGGAATATAACAGGCACAGCAACTTTCTATGTGGTGTTTTATCTCTTGTATATGAGATAACTTGAAGTAAATAGGATAAATATGAACAACGGCCAAATAGAGGGGTGGGTGCAAGGGGGTTTGGCACATAGACTCCATGCTCTGCTCCTCTCTGGCTCTATGACGCTGGGCAAGTTATTTAACCTCCCTGAGCCTGGGTCTCCTCATCTGCAAAATGGAATCATACAGTACCTACCTAATGGGGCTGCTGAAACAGTTACAAGAGGGAATGCATGTCAAGAGCTTCAAACAGTGCCTGGCACATAGTAAGCATCTATGTGTTAGCTACTACTGCTACTTAATTTTTTTTTTTTTCAAAAACCCTGGAGTAATTATTCCTTATGCAATAAACTGCTACTACAAGAACACATACAAAAACCAGACTGCACCCAGAACTGAACTTTCAGATGCTCAAAGTGGACCCGTATCACACATATCTATGAATATTCTTGTGATACAAGAATTCTGCTACGTAAAGTCCAAAAATAGTCATGTCTCCGTCAGACAGACACCATGGGTCTTGTTAAACTGATCATGTCATCATATGATAGAGGGCTTTTTCATCAAAGCTATATTCTTACTTATGATTCATCCTTTTCTTTTCATAACCTGGAGCCTCAGGCAGGTGGAAAAAGCTACACAATACTTTGATTTTTGTGAGTTAAAAAAAAAAAAGGCAGCAATCATTGTTCTGGCCAAATGTAGTGCAATGTATACCAGGAATCAGCTCACTGAAGCCACGATTCATTGCATAAACCTCAGACAAAAGCCCTTTGCTTGGGTCCACCCTGCGGATTGTCTTTCTTCTCTCTCTGAGCTCCACTTGAATCTCCTTTTTATTCTTTTCAGCCGTCCTCTCCTAACTCTGAGATACTCCATTACGTTCATTTTCTCAACTCATTTCTGTTAGTGGTTTCATTTCTCAGAATCATTTGTTTTGGGGGCATTTCAGCATACAAATCCGACTGTATTTTTTTCAGACTGAGAGAATGTTCTCCTTGAGTCCTTTCTTTTAGTCCTTCTGTTTGTGATCTTTCACCAGATCTTCACCAGCTGCCCTTAAATTACCAAACAGCTTTTGATATAATACAAATGAGAGGCAATCCATTCCAGGAACTAGCTTTTATCAAAAATGGTTCATTATTGTTCTGAAGCCGTATTTTTTCCAATCTCTTTACTACATAATTTTCATCCAAATTATTTGTTAGCCAATTTCTTTTTCTGTTTACCAGCTGCTCCCCAAAAGCCTCAATCTTAACCCCTTCTGTTAATCCTTTTTTTTTAAAAATGCCCTTCTTCTCATGGTCATCTTTTTGTTTTTGTCACTCTTCCCCCCAGCTTTTTTTTTTTTTTTTTTTTTTTTTTTGAGGCAGAGTTTCACTCTTGTTGCCCAGGCTAGAGTGCAATGGCACAGTCTCGGCTCACTGCAACCTCCACCTCCTGAGTTCAAGCGATTCTCCTGCCTCAGCCTCCCGAATAGTTGGGATTACAAGCACCCGACACAATGCCCAGCTAATTTTTTTGTATTTTTAGTAGAGATGGGGTTTCGCCATGTTGGCCAGGCTGGTCTCAAACTCCTGACCTCAGGTGATCCACCCACCTCGGCCTCCCAAAGTGCTGGGATTATAGGCGTGAGCCACTGCACCTGGCCCGACTTTTCCCCTTTTCTAGAAGTTGTTTTGGGTTTCACTTTACTAGATTTATTGTACATCTTTGACTCTTAACTCCAGTTTCAAAATTGTAAATAAAACATTAGCCAGGCAGGAGAGTCGCTTGAACCCAGGTAGCAGAGGCTGCAATGAGCTGAGACTGTGCCACTGCACTCCACCCTGGGTGACAGAGTGGGACTCCATCTCTGGCTAAAAAAATTAGCCAGGCATGGTGTTGCTTGTAGTCCCCAGCTATTTGAGGGACCAAGGCAAGAGGGTTGCTTGAGCCCAGGAGTTGGAGGCTGCAGTGAGCTATGATGGCACCACTTCACTCCAGCCTGGGCAACAGAGCGAGACGCTGACTCAAACAACAACAACAACAACAACAAAAAGATTATGCAACTGGAATGCCAAAGAGGCTGGGATCTTTGCTGCCTCAAAGTGTGGTGTGGCTTGCAAGGTCCCAGCCTGATAGTCACAGGGAGCGCAGAGAGTATTACGGTTGTTTATTGACAAACCTTGTGCTGGGCATTTTGCGTAGATTTGCCTCCTTCTTATGAAACTCTGAAATATCCATTACCCTACCTGCCAGAGGGGGAAACTGACTCACGTTGAGCCTGTCTCTTGAAGGCTCACACCTCGGCTCTTTCTGAACCCTGAGCTGCCGAGTTCTTAGATACAGCTCACTCATCTTGTCACCTACAGGGACCTGGCTGCCCTCCTTCCTGCTGGCTCTCTCTGTGTGGGACGGAGCACACCAGGGGCTGGAGGGCTGAAGAAGAGTGCAGCCATCCAGGAGGGTTGGATGGCAGCTCTGCTACCTCCCAGTAGTGTTGGCTAATGCAGGTGCTAGCCTGGAAGGGTGAGCCGTGGCATCAGTGTGCGGGCGATGCAGAGTGAACCCTCCCCAATCCCTCCTCCTTTCCCTTCTTTAAGTGGGTCAGGTGGAGGACGCAGCGGTTGTAATCTATGACACTGCTGTCCTCAGTCACTTCTCCCTCCCACCCAACCATCTCCCTCATCTGCAGATCAGGAATCCTCACACTGGGGATTTTGCTGCTTTCATGGGGAGGCTGCAAGTGAGATGATGTAGACAAAGGGCTCTGTAAATAAACCAGTTGGAATTTGGGGACCTGGTATGGGAAGCCCTGTGGCCACCTAATACCTGGTAGAATGAATCTAGGGGTCACATACTCACTTCTGGCTCCAACAAACGGTGTGGTCCCTCACCTAAGAGCTGCGAGGAAATACCCCTGGCCATCCACACGCCAGGTGTGGGCACCGGCTTCATGCCCAGGTCTTGCAGGATCTGATAGACAGAGGGGAGGAAGGGGTGCTCCAGGCCAGCCCACACTAGAACAAACTGAGCTCCAGAATGAAGGGGACCCTGGTGATGGTTTCATTCATTTTTCAGGTGAGGATGCAGAGGCCCAGGGAGGCCAAATGACTCACTCACAGTCATGCAGCTGGTGGTGGGAGAAGGGAGATATCATTTGCATATTTTCCCCCTCCAACTCTCATGTTGAAATGTGACCCCCAGTGTTGAAGATGGGGCCTGGTGGGAAGTGTTTGGGTCATGGGGTGGATCCCTCATGAGTGGCTTGGTGCCCTCCTCACAGCAATGAGTGAGTTCTTGCTCAATTACTTCACATGGGAGCTGGCCGTTAGAATCGGAGAACTCTCTCATGTGGTGCACCCACTCTCCCTTCACCATCTGCCACAAGCAGAAGCTTCTTTTTTTTTGAGAGAGAGTCTCGCCCTGTTGCCCAGGCTGAAATACAATGGCACAATCTCGGCTCACTGCAAACTCCGCCTCCTGGGTTCAAATAATTCTTGTGCCTCAGCCTCCCGAGTAGTTGGGACTATAGGTGTGTGCCACCATGCTCGGCTAATTTTTGTATTTTTAGTAGAGGCGGGATTTCACTATGTTGGCCAGGCTGGTCTTGGACCCCTGACCTCAAGTGATCCGCCTGCTTCGTCCTCCCAAAGTGCTGGGATTACAGGCGTGAACCACCATGCCTGGCCAGAGTGGAAGTTTCTTGAGGCCTCACCAGAAGCAGATGCTGATGCCATACTTCCTGTACAGCCTGCAGAACCATAAGCCAAATAAACCTCTTTTCCTATAAATTACCCAGCCTCAGGTGTTCCTTTATAGCAACACACAATGGACTAATACAAGGTGGGATGTGGAAATAGGAACAAGTACATGACCTTGACCTCAGGAAGAAATCAGGAACCAAAAGGGACAGATGGCTTTCAGGGTAATGTTTCTAGCCTGTGTTCTACCTCCCCAGTGTCTCAATTGGTTTTAAATCTGCAGTTGGCCGGGCACAATGGCTCACGCCTGTAATCCCAGCACTTTGGGAGGCTGAGGCGGGTGGATCACTTGGGGTCAGGAGTTCAAGACCAGCCTGGCCAACATGGCGAAACCCCATCTTTAATAAAAATACAAAAATTAGCTGGGTGTGGGGCCGTGTGCCTGTAATCCCAGCTACTCGGGAGGCTGAGATAGGAGAATTGCTTGAACCCAGGAGGCAGAGTTTGCAGTGAGTCGAGAATGCGCCACTTCACTCCAGACTGGGAGACAGAGCGAGACTCCATCTCAAAAAAAAAAAAAGAAAGAAAGAAAGAAAGAAAGAAAAGAAAAAAATCTGCAGCAAATGCCTATCACTGTGGTTTTTTATGTTTTGGAAAAATCCAGGGCTGGCAGTCATGAGAGGGCTCAAACCCAGCTCCAAGCAGGGGGTAATGAGCATGCGGGGCTGTCCAGCCTCTGGTGAGCCATTGCTGGCTTACATATGTCTTGATTTTTCCGGTGGCCTTGGTGACAGCTGGCAAGGGACACTGCTTATGTAATGGCCTTGCCAGAGATTGCTTTAACTGCAGGGAGAGAAAAAGTGTGGGAAGAGCCATCCCCAAGCTAGGAAACAGAGGAGCTTCCTGCAAGGCAAGTTCAGGGGCATCTATTAAAAACTTCTTGGCAGACAAGCTTATGACCCTATAGTGACCACCAAGCCTCTAACTAGATGTCACCCTAGAAGCCAGGTGAGAGAAAAGCCAGCTGTGGGGCAAGTGCTCCAAGTTGGCCCCAGGTCTGCATGTTAGAGTCAAGCTAGTTGGTATGGTTTGAAAGTTTGGGTCCCCCAAAAGTTCATATGTTGAAATCCTAATCCCCAATGTGATGGTATTAGGAGGTGAGGCCTTTAGGAGGTGATTAGGTCACAAGGGTGGCACCCTCATGAATGGGATTAGTGCCCTTATCAAAGAGGCCCAAGGGAGCTCGTTGCCCCTTCTGCCATGTGAGAACAGAGTGAGGAGACATCACATGTGAATCGGGAGGCAGGCCCCCACCAGACGCCACAAAATGTGTTGGCACCTTGAGCTTGGACTTCCCAGCATCTAGAACTGTGAGCAATAAATTTCTGCTATTTATAAGCCACCCAGTTTATGGTATTTTGTTATAGCAGCCAGAATGGACTAAGATACTAGTTTCCTAGGTGGAAGTTGGCTTTTCTTGTAGTGTGAATCAGTGGAGATGGACTAAATATGCAGAGTTACACTGGGCAACAGTGAGAAGAGGCCACAAGCCAGGCATGATAATCAGCCACAGGGCAGCTTCTCATTGTTCCATCTTGGGCTGCAGAGAGCACTGGCCTGAATTGTGTCCCCTAAGGGACAGATCAGAGAACAGGCTCACATCTGCCAACAGCCAGCTCCGTGACCTTGGGTGAGTAATTCAACCACCTCGTACTTGAGTATCTCAGCAATAAAACGGGAGTTATGCCCCTCCCATCTCAGTGCTGTCCGGGGGATGGGAGGGTGCATATGTGCAGTATCAGGCCAGGTCTGGTGCTCCTGAGACACCCAGGAAACAGAGTTAAGGGAGCAATTCCCGCTCACTTCCTCAGGCTGCTTTCTGTTCTTTCTTCTTATGTTTGTTGTTCACACATCTTGAGAGTTGTTCATGTGCATGGTTCCCAATTAGCCAGCAGTGCAGAAAAGAAAATCAGAGATAAGTTAGGGTAAACAGAAGTCATATTGTTGCATCTTTCTTTTTTTTCTGCACTTTTTGCATTTCAGCTCTCATTTGGTGTCATATGCAACCTGACTCACAAGCTCATCATCGGTGTTAACACTACCTTAGTGGTGAAAGATTAGGATACTAATAAATATTTATGGAACCCCTGCTCCATGTGAGGCCATGTTATTAGGTGCTGTGAGGATACGAAAGGTATAAGAAATGGTGTTTGGCTCAGGAAGCTTTTTAATCTTGTGGGTAAAATGAAATGTTGCATGAGTGACAAGGCTCACTGGCGTTAGCCAAGGATTAATTTCCCAGCTGAGACACCTGTTCACCCTCCATCCATTCAGCCACAAGCAGATGCCACTGAGTCTGGTCTGAATGATGCGGGCCACGTCAAGGAACCCAGCCAGCTCAGCCTCCTGCAGAAGAGGCGTAAGAAAGAGCAAATGTGGAAGAAAAGCAGCTCTCAAAACAGCCTTAGTCGGGGGATTGGAAAGGAAACAATTGCAGGATTATTGTCTGAGGAAAACAGAGATCACACCAGATGGCAGGATGCAGGGGGAACAGATCCCAGGATTGGCACAGCTCAATTTAGGGAGCTAAAACCACACAGATGACAAAACAAAATCCTCCAAAAGCTCAAGTTTAGATCCAAATGGGTTCAACCCCCCATGACAAAACCTCTAAAAAGTTAATCAAATCCAGAGAGAATGCATATAAGTGAAGGAAATTATTTCATAAGGATAAATAAATCTATGAGAAGAACTAATAAAACTAGAGAGAGGGGTGCATCCTTCAAGGTCCTATTCCCTGCCTCCTGAACGTCTTTTCTGGAAACTCGGCTTACAAAGTCTCTCCCTTTCCAGAACCCTCCATGTGTCTGAAGCTGCATCTGGCCCTTTAGTCTGCCAACAACGTGGCCATCCATCCTTCATCCTAATGGCCGGCATTCTGCCATTATTCCCAAAGAATCAGCCATGCGTGGTGCTGATAACACCTAGCTGCTGCTGCTGGAGATCTTGTAGTGGGGAGGGGCAGCTGGAAGACAGGGATTTAAATGGTCTGTAGTGCCATGGGAACATTTCTGGCAAAAAAAGAAAAAAAACCACTTTGTAGTCAAATATCATCCATTCCCTACTCATGCCCTACCCAGCTTCCATTCCAGCCCTGGGTGATGAAACATCACTGGGTGGAACTAGTCATGATCATCACGTTCTCCTTGGCCAGTGACTGGTCTACAGGTGGCCATGAGACTCAATTTTGGCCATTAATATTCATTTATTTACTTCTAATTTTTTAATTTTAATTTTTTTTTTGAGACAGAGTCTCACTCCGTTGCCCAGGCTGGAGGACAGTGGCGCACTCTTAGCTCACTGCAACCTCTGCCTCCCAGGTTCAAGCAATTCTCCTGCTTCAGCCTCCCAAGTAGCTGGGATTACAGGCATGCACCACCACACCTGGCTAATTTTTGTATTTTTAGTGGAGACTGGGTTTCACCATGTTGGCCAGGCTGATCTGGAACTCCTGGCCTCAAGCCATCCACCCACCTCAGCCTCCCAAAGTGCTGAGATTACAGGCGTGAGTCACTGCACCCAGCCTATCTTCTCCTACATTTTAAATGTATATGTGTGTTTTGAAGATAAACTTGAGTTCATTTTGTTTTGTAATCTGCTTTTTTTCTCCTAACAGTTTGCTGTGAATGGCTTCCCATGTAAGCTAATATTTATTTACAACATGATTATCAATAAAACAATGCATTAAAAACTAAGCCAAAGGAAAAAACCCAGCAAATTCCTGTAAAAGGGCAATAATAGGTTGGGATTTGGCAGAATTTCAAGAATCATAGAGATGACAGGTAGCTTTTGGGGACCATTTTTATTGAAATGAAGCAATTGTTACTTCCTCTGGGATTCATATTTGTTGAGCTGTCCTGGAATCTCAAGACATCCCTGGAATTTTTTAAAGGGAGAATTATTTATTATTAATAAATAATTACTTCATTAATATTTATTAATATCCTATTGTTCCTGCCTGCCAAAGGAAATGGTATTAGATCTTAAAAGTTAAATGTACCTACATATACGACCATGCATACAAACGTGCTCTCTATCAGCACTGTTGCTGGGTGAGAACACCAAGGGTGGCAAACCAAGGAGCAGGTTCCATGCTGCTGGTGGGTGGGGAAGGTGCCTGCATAGAAGGAAGGCACCAGCCCTTGACAATCTTGCCTTCTGGCCACCCAGTCTGATGACTGACATTTTGAATGAGTATTGAACAGACCAATCTTTGCCTTCATACTCTTTTCTCTACCGTTGCTTCATCAAAGTCTAAACAACAACTGGTAGGCAATGCAGTATTTACCTCAAGAAGACACAGGGAGGGGATATAGCCCTCCTGATTACATGTGTATAGCCCTCTCCTCATTACATGTGTGTTTACTTTCCTGGATGGGCACCATTATGAAGCCCCTGTTGGCAAGCAGCAAAGCCCAAGTCACCCATCATAGGCTCGGCAGGTCCCTGAAGACTTGAGAAGGACCTTAATGGGTGTCTCGTCACACCCTCATCATCATATAAAACAGAAATGTAAGTACAGTTCCCACCAGATGAGTTTACCGTCCAAACACAGGACCACACATGAGAAAGGGAAGATTAGAAATTATACCCAAGGACAGAGTTGGGTTTTAGTTTCTGGAATTAAAAAGCAAGTCATCAGAATTCCCAAATCATTCTCCAAGAAGTTTGTTACCAGGGTTACCAGATAAAACTCTAAGTTTTGAAGTGTGAAAATCAGGTCTAGCTGGCAAACCAAGGGTGGGAGGAAGAGAGAGAGAGACAGAGAGACAGAGAGAGATTTATTATGGGCAAGGGAGAACTGGTTTCACGTCGTAGCCCTGACCACTAAGAAAGAAGCTTGGCAGGACGCTAACTTTTGGAGGCAACATCTATTCCCGTGCACTTGAGAATACCGTTCTAATTCATTTAGGGGTTAACTGAAAAACTACTAGTTTCAAGTGGAGCCCAGAGCAAGAACACAGCCTACAGTAAAACTAGACTGCGATGGAAGCAACTGTTACCACTCTGGTTATAGAACCCTGATCTGAGAGTTTTAGAGACAGCGTGGCACACAAGGATGCTGTGTGGATATCTGGAAAGTGCAAATAGGAGAGTTGCGACAGAGCCCAAAGACAGGAGGACCAGCATCTCTAGCAGATAACTACTTCTGATGTTTTACTGGACCCAGGTAGAGACTAAGCACCTGGCCATGGGGCGTTAAGTGACTCTGTGGCCAAAGATGACCTTCATGAGCTGGGTATTAAGTTCAGGTGAGTGTAGAACAGTTAATCAAATATTTGGGAAATGGTACATTTGGGTTTGGGACTGCCCCATGGTGGGCAGACAGACCAACCTCAAAGCAACTCAGAGAGCTTCAGTAGATTCATGAATAGGTGACCCAGAATCCGATGTCGTACAGCTCCGTTGCACCAATACCTCTCCCCTAACACACATCTATGGCCTCATGGTAGGGACAGGGAGCTCTTTATGACCAGCTGGGCTAGTTCACAGCTGTGCACTCTGTTGATGCTGGCTGAAAATGGACTGCTGCTCACTACAGCCCCATTCAGCAGTGGCCTGGAAGGACAGTGGTCAAGGGAAGTCCTTCTGGCGGGTACAGTTGGGAGCACTAAGCCTGGCTATCATCTCACTGTGGAGGGCGTGTCCTGAGATGTGGATAAGCATGGATTCCGGAGCAGTGGCATCTGGCTTGCCTGGCTGATAGGGGCCTTGAGTGTAGGGGTCCCAGATTTAGCAAATAAAATTATAGGACACCCAGTTAAATTTTCCAATAAACAAATGATTTTTTAGTATAAATATGTCCCAAATAGTGTATGAGACACACTTATACTTAAAAAAAAATTATTGCTTATCTGAAATTCAGATTTTACTAGTGTCCCAGGTTTTATCTGGCAAACCTACTTGAGGGAGCGACTGGCTGTCCAGTATTTTACCTGCCGAACTCCTTTATGAACCCACCTGAGGGAGTAACCCTGGAAGGCCACAGACAAGGAACTCTGGGGAAGAGGCATGGAGCTGGATCTATGGAGTGGGTACACATGTGTGGATCTTCGTGTCTTACATAATGCCCCGCAGAATGTCCTCTGCAGGGAGGCATGGAGCAGCAAGCAGACAGGACGGCTTGTCCTGTGGATGCAGCCGGACTCTCACCTCCACCTCCTCAGAGATGACAGTGGCCAGTGATTAGAATGATCATCCTGATAAGTAGGGATGCTATGCTTGGGCTCAACAGTATGGGATCCATCTCACCCACGCCAGTTCAGCTGCAGCCACTGATGAATGCATATATGCCCAGTCTACGGCAATCTATGGAATAGGAGAAATTTATGCTATGTGGTGTTTGTTTGTTTGTTTGTTTGTTTGTTTTGAGATAGAGCCTCACTCTGTTGCCCAGGCTGGATTGCAGTGGCTCAATCTGGGCTCACTGCAACCTCCGCCTCCCAGGTTCAAGCGATTCTCCTGCCTCAGCCTCCCCAGTAGCTGGGATTACAGGCACACACCACCACGCCCGGCTAATTTTTGCATTTTTAGTAGAGACGGGGCTTCCCCCTGTTGGCCAGGATGGTCTCAAACTCCTGACCTCAGGTGATCTGCCCCTCTCGGCCTCCCAAAGTGCTGGGATTACAAGCATGAGCCACCACACCCAATCACTATGAGTTTTTTTAACCACAATAAATTTTTTTTAAAAAAGGTGATACAGCTTCTTCCACCGGGCTCTCTTGGAACCGGGTGAACACTCTCTCTTGGAGCCTGGCAGCCATGCTGTAAGGAGGCCCAGACCAACTTTCGCAGGAAACCATGTGGAGAGGCCCCATTTGTGGGTTCCAGCCAACTGCCCAGCTGAGGTCCCAGGTGCCACACGTGTGAGTCGAGGCCAGAGCGAGTCACCCCTGGCTGCCAAGGCTCCCCAGCTGGGCCCCAGCCATGGTGGGGCTGACAGACCAATCCCTTGTGCCTGTCTCCCTGCCAGACCCACAGAGCCCAGGAGCATCATAAAAGGATCGTTTGACACAGCTCAGTTTTATGGTGGTTTGTTGCCAGCAATAATGGCTGGAGCAGGTGTCTTAGAAATCATTCCTC
This sequence comes from Homo sapiens, assembly GCF_000001405.40. Classification (NCBI taxonomy): domain Eukaryota; kingdom Metazoa; phylum Chordata; class Mammalia; order Primates; family Hominidae; genus Homo; species Homo sapiens. Next base: position 17,462,480 of record NC_000017.11, on the reverse strand, counting down.
CCCAAGATGGTTCTTCCCTAATTCTGTACAGGGTTTCCCGAAAGGGAATCTTAAGGGCAGCAGGAGCAGGTAACGGAAGACCCGCCTCATTCCCTCCTGTTCTTTACAGTCACAAAGAGGTCGGCTTCTGAGTACAGGTCCTGGGGCACGTTCCTCTGTGTTGCTCCCCCACAGTGCAAGAGGCCATCTGGGGCTGAGGGTGTCCCTGGGGTGGTTACTGATAGCCTTGCACTTCCCTTTGACAACACGGACTTTGCCTTGGGGCATTTAGAGTTGCCTCGGTGGGAAGGACAGCGCCAGCACACCTCTGCGGTTATTGTGGTCCTGAGAGGGTCTAGCTGGTCTCAGCATTTCTTCACAGTCCACTTTCCAAGGGGGTGAGGAGGCTCTTGCAGCGTTCCTTATTTGGAGGGAGGTGGTGCAGGAGAAAGGGGGAGAGGCCTGGAAGCTGCTGAGGGACAACACAACAGACATCCAGATGCCAGAAAGCACAGGTGCCAAAGCCGGGTGTCACTCACTCACTCATTCTTCAGGGGATGCTTCCCATGCTCCTGCGGGCCCTGCCAGGCTGAGAAAGGCGAGCAGCTCAGCACTCAAGACAAACACATTAGAACCAGAGAGTGTCCAGGTGTCTATGAGGGACATTTCATCACTTTATCATTTTTTTCTGTACCGTTTTTTTATTTTAGGAGTTGGAGTCTCACTCTGTGGCCCAGGCTGGAGAGCAGTGTTGCAATCATATTTCATGGCAGCCTCGAACTCCTGAGCTCCAGTTATCCTCCCACCCTAGCCTCTCAAGTAGCTGGGATTACAGGCACGTGCCACCACACCTGGCTCTATGGCCTTTTAAAATTGGTTATTTTCAGTAAGTATTTCTTTCTTTTTTTTTTTTTTTTTTCCCGGAGTCTCGCTCTGTTGCCCAGGCTGGACTGCAGTGGCGCGATCTCGGCTCACTGCAAGCTCCGCCTCCCGGGTTCATGCCATTCTCCTGCCTCAGCCTCCCGAGTAGCTGGGACTACAGGCGCCTGCCACTACGCCTGGATAATTTTTTTTGTATTTTTTAGTAGGGACGGGGTTTCACTGTGTTAGCTAGGATGGTCTCGATCTCCTGACTTCATGATCTGCCTGCCTTGGCCTCCCAAAGTGCTGGGATTACAGATGTGAGCCACCGCGCCCAGCCTATTGTCAGTAAGTATTTCTAAAAATGTTTCTGAAGTCTGATTTTCTGATGCGTTTTTAATTGATTCTTTTGAATTTTCTAGATAAGTCAATCACATCACCAACAACTGATGGGCTTGTCTCTTGCTTTTTAATCTTAGTAACACTTACTTCTTTTCTTTGTTCTATTTGATTGGTAGGACTTACTGAATAAAAGTGAGTGATAGCTTCATAGCTCTTGTTTTGTTCTGGACTCAGTGGGAATGTGGTGAATGCTTTACTATTAAATTTTATATTTGCTATTGGTTTTTGATAAAAACTAGAGGTTAAGGAAATTTCCATCTATTTTTAGTGATTAACTTGTTCATGATTTTCCTAATGAACTTAATTCACTGATCAAAGTTTAATTTCTGTTCAATAGAACAGTCTTTAATAAATGACCAAAATTTCATCTGGATAAAGAATGGTTTGCCTATGAACAAAGTTCTCCATGAGATTGGACTGTGTCTGGTGAG